>NC_000011.10:115051212-115354242 GCF_000001405.40 Homo sapiens
AACATTGTCTGCCTCCTGTTAATAAATTGTTCCTCTCTTTGCACAGCAGAGAAAAGATGAAGACAAAATTGGGGGGAATTATTTCCCAAGTATTGTTTTTCTAACAATAGCAATCCCTGCTCCTGAGTACTCTATTTTGCTTAATATGTTCTTTCTGCAAAGTGGTAAAATGTGGCAGTGTAATAACCCAAAACGCAGCGTGAAGAGCCTGATTCCCCAAAGTGTCCACTGAGAAAACACACAAGTGTTTCCATCAAGAAGGAATTGTGTGTATTGAGAGAAGGTAAGTGCACAAAATAAGGGTCTACATTAAAGTGGGGTCCAGGCATCAAGGATTAAATGTTTGGATTCTTTGCTTCACAATAGAAGCATTTGCAGGAAGAATGGGTCTCCATTTCTTTCCTTAATGGGGGTATCACACACACTTGGCGAGTGCATGTCTTCTTCAGGATAAAAGAAAAATTGGCTGGTTTAAACATAAAAAAGCACCTGGCCAACAAAAACAGCAATAATGCTGAGCAAAATTAGAATAGATTTCAAAGAGAGTGGGCCTTGGAGTGAGGTATTAGGGAGAACTTTCAGACATCATATGTATGAACTTCTGAAACGCATGGCTAATGGGTATTTTGGAGATGGACTTAGAAAAGTGAGCTTTCCAAGGTAGCTCAAATATCTGCTTGCATCAGACTGGAAGAATGCACTAAATCTTCAATCTATGTATGCTGAAAAGTACTTTCTTCTCTCAACTCCTTGTTGTTCCTCATTTTCTAGTTCCTGCTTCTCCTACACATACCTTTGTACCACATCATGTCCTGGCATCACTTTAGCTGGGTGAGGGAAATGCTGGTACAGGTGGGATTCAGAGAGGTGCAGCTGCACACTAAAGAGGTCAGAGGATGATCTGCCAGGGGATAAGGGCAGAAAACCAGTCTGAAGAGGCAGAAATCAAAAGCAGAAAGACAGAAGTACGCTCACATTGTAAGTGGTGAAGGCTGCAGGTTTGAGGCAGACACGGAATGGAATGCAAAGGTTCAGATTGGGTCAGGATGTCAGGGCTCAGAAAGAACCTCTATGCCAGGCAGGGCTGCAACATATGGTCATGCTGTGGCCTCTACACAGGGGCCTTCATGCACTAACAGCCCCGATTCTTCACCTCTTCACCTGTGACTCTGCAGTTCTTCTCACCAAAGAGGCAAATTCTATTTCCCTGCTCACTGACTTTGTGTTTGGCCATGCGATATGCTCCAGCCAGCGGGATGTTAGCCAACGTAATGTCTACAGGCTCCAAAAGCACCTAGGCTTGCTCTCTGCACCTCAGCCATTGTCTTGAATAGAATAGGCACAGACTTGTCCCATAGGACTAGTCCACAGAAAGGAGATGAGGGACATGGAACAGAGGTGAACTGCCCCAGCTGAGTCTTGCCTAAATCACCAAACCCCCAACTACCCCAGCCATGCCAATGAGCCACGTGCAATCAGCAGAACTACCAGATGAGCTCAGCGAACCCTCAACTAGCCATCAGATCAGCAAGAACAGATGGTTTTGCTGGGCGTGGTGGCTCATGCCTGGAATCCTAGCACTTTGGGAGGCCGAGGCAGGCGGATCATCTGAGGCCAGGAGTTCAAGATAAGCCTGGCTGCCATGGTGAAACTCTGTCTGTACTACAAATACGAAAATTAGCCAGGTGTGTTGGTGCGTGCCTGTAATTCCAGTTACTCGGGAGGCTGAGGCAGGACAATCGCTTGAACCTGGGAGGCAGAGGTTGCAGTGAGCAGAGATTGTGCCACTGCACTCCAGCCTGGGTGACAGAGTGAGGCTCTGTTTCAGGAAAAAAAAAAAAAAAAAAAAAAAGAATAGAAGGTTTCTGGTTTATGCTAGTGACTTTTGGGGCAGTCTGTTACACAGCATTTTGTGGCAATAGCTAACTAATAATGGGTAACCAGTAAAGAAGAGTGAAGGGGTTAAAATCCAGCCTGCATTGTGCTGTACCACCTGACCTAGAGCTGCATCCCACTGAGTAAAGGATTCTATTCTCTAATTCCTACAAAGGCACCATGTGGGCTAGTGTAAACCCCTTTACAATCAGAGCTATCCATTCCCCTCATCTCTCTGTCTCTTATCCATTTAGGAAGTCTAAATGTCTCTTCCTAGTTTACCTTGGCCTGCTTAATTGGCCTGAAATTCATACTGCACCTTCCCAGCCCCATGTTTGTTAATACTCTAGATTATTTTATAGCCTCCTCCTTTGAAAGCTCTTTCTGTGTCAATCTCCAGCCCTGGCCAGCCCTACCCTTCACTTTCTATTCCTGTTTCTATGTTCAAAACCAGTGGCACAGTCAGATAAAGCATCATTTGAATGAGTCCCCACTCAATCACACTCCCCAAGCTCACTAGGGCCATCACAGGGCTCAGCAAACTTTGCACCTATCCTGGGTTGATTCCCTGCTGCATTGCTCAGGTCCCTTCACCAGTAGGCATGGACCAACCACCTTCTATGGGCAAAACAGGGTGCAGATGCCAGGCAGGTGAAATGCCTTCAAAGCTCCTCTTACCACCTGGGAAGAGAGGTAAGACAACTATGTGGAATACTGACCAGAAAGTGGTTAGTATCTATAGCAGTCAAGGTTCTCCAGAGAAACAGAACCAATAGGATGGATGGAGGGATAGATAAATGGATGGATGGATGGATGGATGGATGGATGGATGGATGGATTTAAGGGGAAATTTCTTATAGGAATTGGCTCACATAATTATGGAAGCCAAAGAGTCCTGCGATCTGCTGTCTGCAAGGCGGAGAACCAGGGAAAGCTGGTGGTGAAATTCAGTTTGAATCTGAAGGCCCGAGAACCAGGGCAGGCCACTGGTGTAAGTCCTGGAGTCCAAAGGCCTGAGAACCAGAGGTTCCAATGACTGAGGGCAGGAGAAGATGAGTGTTCCAGGTAAAGAAGAGAGTGTGAATTCGCCATTCCTCTGCCTTTGTGTTCCATTTGGGCCCTCAGTACATCAGATGGTGCCCACCCACACTGGGGAGGGTGACCTTTATTCATCCTACCAATTTAAATGTGAATCTCTTCCGAAGACACCCTCACAGACACACCCGAAAATCATCCTTTACCCGCTGCCTGGTCATGCCTTCACCCAGTCAAGTTGACATGAAATTAACCGTCAGTGTGTCATCACTGAGCTACAGATAAAGTGCTGTCAGTGTTCAGGGGAGAAGTTTACTTTTAGCTGAGGGTCTCAGGGGAGGTTTCAAGGAAGAGGTGACTTTGAACTCACTCTTGGTGCAAGGAAAGAGAGAGTGGGGAGGGAGAAGTTCTTTGGGCAGAAGAAGCAGCAGGAGAAAGGGCAGGGAAGCCTTCCTGAAAGTTATGAAATCACCTTACAACCACGGGAGCTATTTGGCATGGGTCCACATGCGATGTTGGCACGTGGGGATGGGGAATCTCCTTCCAAAAACCTAATTTGTCAACACCCTGGGCCCAAAGGAGAAAAACAAAAGCCAGAGAAGCCAGAGTCTCTTGCAGCCGAGTGGCTGCTGCGACTCAGGCGCGGCCTGTGTAAATAGCGCCGGATGGGATTGCAGCTAATAGGGTTATTAATACCTGTCACATCCCAGGATGGCAGAATAATGTGGAGGTTTTCTACTATAGATTAAAACCAACCAACAGGGAATTTTCTGAGTCTAGCAGTCACAGCTTTCTCTTCAGACAACTTTTCCTCCAGCCAAGCAGACAGGGGTAAGTAATTGTCCCAGGGAAAGGTTTGTCACCATGGTAAATGCAAAAGCAGGAACAAACCTGCCTCACTTAGCCTCAGGCAAGAACATGGGTATTTGAAATTAACATATAATCCCCAAACCTCCCTTCCGCCTGCAGCTTTGACCTCTTTTCCTGGCCCAGTCAGTCACCCCAAAGAAAAGCCACCTTTATTTGGGCTTTGTGCCTCCCGCTCATAGGTGGGAGGAAGAAGAAAGCAGAAAGCTGAAGAGATGTGAAGAGAGAAGGGGGTGAGAGGGAGGGGTCTGGATGTTCTGCAGGTTGCTGGGCTCTGGGGCTGGAGCTCAGGCAGGGCAGCTCTGGAACAGAAACATACAACCCAAGCTGATGACGTTCTGTCCTTTCTGGGCCCCCAGCCAGTGGCTGGAGTGTGGGCCAACCTCTTCCCTTTCACAGAGATGAGTCAGGAACCCCTGAAGAAAGCAACAGGTCAAGGGGGTGAAGCCCTGCTGGAGAGGAGGCTCCTTCTCATGTGAGACACATCATCCCCACCTCACCTAGAAGAACGTCCATGGGAAAACACACAAGGTGAAAGCTCAAGCTCCCCTTCATTTTTGTGCTGTTAACCAAAAGGGTCAAAAAGTATCTCAGAAGGGACTGCACATAGCTTTATGCTGCTTCCCCCTCCAGCCCTATTCCACCTCTCTTTCCCAAAGGAAAGTTCTGGTCATTGGTGGAAGTTATAAGTGCCTGCATGGGGCTTTAGCCAATGCCAAGGGACACACACACCTCTTCAAAGCTCTCTGCTATGTATTTATTCTGCCAGGATTGAGCGGTCAAGGGCCCCAGGTGAGCCCTGGCATCAATCACAGACACCAAATACGGCAAGAGAAATAGAGAATGAAATGTGGAGCTCACACTGCCCTCTTTGAATGGGACTCTGCACAACAGTTGCTCTGGCCCCAGCCCACTGGAGGAATCAGGTTTGCTGAACAAGACCTGGCCCTATGATACCCTGATGTCTGTTTCCTTTGGAAATGGATGCTTGGTTCCACCTTTTTTGGAGGGTGCCCTTCTTTCCTGTTTGCATGTGCAACTACTCCTGGGAATCAAATCTTCACCCTCCTAGATCTCTACTGTTATAGACTGAATTGTGTTTCTCCAAAATTCAAGTGTTGAAGCCTTGACTATCAATGTGAATGTACTTGGAGATAGGACCATTAAGTGGGTAAGTAAGGTTAAATGAAGTCATAAGGGTAGATCTTTAATCCAACAGAACTGGTATCCTTATAACAAGAAGAGATACCAGGGATGTGTGCTTGCATGAACAGAGGAAAGGCCATGAGATGACACAATGAGAAAGTGGCACTATAGTCTGAATGTTTGTGTTCCTCCAAAATTCATGTTGAAACCTAATCCCTGATGTTGTGGGAAGTATAAAGAGGTGGAGTTTGGGGAGTTGATTAAGTCATCAGGGATCCACCATCATAAATGGGATTAGTTTCCTTAAAAAGAGGCTTAGCAAGCTCCCTTGCTCCACTTCTGCCACGTGAGAATAATAAGAAGGTGCTATTTTGAGACAAAGGGTAATTCCTCACCAGAGACCAAATATGCTGGTGCCTTGATCTTTGAATCCCCAGCCTCCAAAACTGTGAGCAATAATTTTTTATTGTTTATAAATTATGCAGCCTAAGGTATTTTTAATAACTGTCCAAATGGACTAAGACAGAAATTGGTACCAAGAGTGGGGTGTTGCTATAACAGATACCTAAAAATGTGGAAGCAGCTTTGGAAATGGGTCATGGGTTGAGACTGAAAGAGTTTTGAGGTACATTGCCATGAAAGAAACCTTAAGGGAAATTCTGGTGAAAGCTCAGAAAAAGAGGAGAGCTGAAGAGCTGGAGAGCAAGCCTTAATCTTCTCAGAGATTACCTAAGTGGTAGTGAACAAAATGTTGGTAGAAACATGGATGGTAAAAGCCATTCCAATGAGGTCTTAGAGGGAAATGAGGAACATATTATTGGAAACAACTGAAGGATGGACAACCCTTGTCATAAAGTGGCAAAGAACTTGGCTGAATTGTGTTCATCTCCTAATGTTTTATGAGAGGTAGAATTTATGAATCAAGAAATTGGATATTTGGTGAAAAAAAATCTCTAAGCAAAGTATTGAGGATGCAGTATGGCTTCTCTTGAATGCTTATAGTAAAATGTGAGAAGAGACTAATGAATTAAAAATGACGTTTATAATGAAAAGAGAAGCAGACCCTAAAGATTCGGAAAATTCTCATGTAAAGAATGAAAAAGTGTGTTTGATAGAGAACACTAAGTGTGTGGCCAAGTGAATGTTTGATAAGGAGATTAGTACAGGTCGTTAGAAGCCAGGTGCTGTTTATCAAGACAATGGAAGAATGACCCTGAAGGCACTTCAGAGATTGGCAGGGCTGCCTGTCCTGACACTGGCTCATAGTACCAAGTCCTGGGGGACAGAACAATATCAAAAGAAGTTCCTTGGGCACCTGAGGGAACTCTGTGCTTGCTGCCCTTCCCTGCCTCAAGTCTCTGCTCCCTGCATATTGGCACAGCATTCCTCAGCTACCCAAGATGTGGCTCAAGCAAACCCTGACTCACTGAAGGGCACAGTTGGTAAACCTTGGTGGCATCTGTGCAGTACTGTATTCATGGGTTTGTAGAGTACACAAGCTGTGGGGGCATGATTACTTCCACCTAGATTTCCAAGGATGTCCCAGAAAGCCTCAGGGCTCAGGCAGAAAACCATCACAGTGATGCGATCTCCACAGGGAGCCTCCACTATGTCAATAACTAGTGCAGCCATGGGAGCAATGCTGCCCCTAAGACCCCAGAACAGTGGAGACACCAGCAAACATCCCCAGCTTGGGAGAGATGCAGGCACATGACTTCAAACCAAGAGAGCTGTGGCCTGGGCTGCACCAACCAACACAACCATGGGAATAGGGCCACTCCAATCCTTGGGGGCCAAACCCTTACCCCATGTGTCTGAAAGGCAGGATATCAATCAAAGAAGATTGTTCTAGAGACTTAAGATTAAATGTTGTTTGCCGTGTCACGTTTTGGACATACCTGGGACCTGTTACCCTTTCTTGATTTCTATTTCTTCCTTTTGAAATGGAAATGTCCACCCTGTGCCTGTCCCACCATTGTATTTTGGAAGCACATTATTACCTGTTTAATTTTTCAGGATCATAACTAGAGAGAAATTTACTCAGAATGAATCCTGCCTTGATTCTCATCCATGTCTGATTTTGGTGATATTTAGATGAAACTTTGGAGTTTCGACTTTTTAGTTGATGCTGGAACTAAGTTAAGATTTAACTAGCATTAAGACTTTTAGGACTATTGGGGTTATATAAATGTATTTTGTCTGTGAAATGAAAATTTTAGGGAGTCATGGGTGAAATGCTATGGACTGAATGTTTGTGTTCCTCCAAAATTCATATTGAAAACAAATCCCCATTGTAGTGATATTAAGAAGAGGAGCCTTGGCCAGGCAAAGTGGCTCACACCTGCAACCCCAACAGTTTGGGAGGCCAATGGAGGATCACTTGAAACCAGGAGTTCGAGACCAGCCTGGGCAACAAAGTGAGACTCCATCTCCACAAAAAAAATTTTAAAAAATTAATTGGGCATGGTAGAGTATCTGAAGCCCCAACTACTCTGAAAGGCTATGGCAGGAGGATCACTTGAGCTCAGGAGTTCTAGGCTGCAACGAGCTATGATTGCACCATTGCACACCAGCCTGTGACAGAGCCTTTAGGAAGAGGTTAAGTTTTGAGGGCTCCACCATCATGAATGGAATTAGTGCCTTTATAAAGAGACTCAAGCGAGCTCCCTTGCCCCCTTCTGCAATGTGAGAACACTGCAAGAAGATGTCATCTTTGAAGCAGAAAACTAGTCTTCACCAAATGCTAAACCTGCTGGTGCCTTGACCTTCAAGTCCTCAGACTCCAAAACTGGGAGCAATAAATTTCTATTGTTTATAAAGTACCTAGTATAAGGTATTTTGTTATAGTAGCCAAAACAGACTGAGACAGCAACCATCTGTAAGCCAACAAGAGAGGCCCCACCAGAAACCAACCTTGCCAGCACCTTGATCTTGGACTTCCAGCTTCCAGATTATGAGAAAATTAATTTCTGTTGTTTAAGCCACCCAGTCTGTAGTATTCTATTATGATAGCCAGAACAGATTAATACACCTGTCTTACTCTTTTTGTCCCTGTGTACCCTGGTGTCTTAGAGGAGAGGAGGATGAGTCATTCTGACTCTGGTGACCACCACAAATTAGTGTGGAAGGCAGAAATCCTGCCCATTGGTTTGCAGGGCAGTGTTGCCTGGTGGTTAAGACATGAGCTGGGCTCGTGGGAAGATTGATTTTCCTCTCCATGCCCAAGGATCCTTCTCTGTCAAATGGGAAGATAATTGTGCCATTGCTGTGGGACTGTAGTAAAGATAAGATTAAATAACAACACAGAGTCAACACTCAAAACAATGATATCCATCATGATTATTATTACTTTACTGGCCCTACCATGGATGCACAGTATGACCTTGAGCCTGGTCTCTCCATGTGTAAATAATGAAGATAGACACTTCCCATCTTCCCAGCATAGTAAGAGTTTGAAAAGAAGCAAAGATAAGAAAGAGACAAGGAAGAACAATGCCTCGGACACCCAGGTTTGCTTCTATTATTACTATGATTACCATGATCATTGTTTGGCTCTTGTACTACTTCTATAGCTGAGTCCCACCCTGAGAGTCCACCCTGTACTCTGGCCCTTGATCCTGCAGAAAGCTCTCAGGTATAATCGGGGAAGGTCAGATGGTGCCTGCTGCCTGCTTCTGCAGCCCTTAGCACTCACAAGAAACCCAGGCTTACCTGCACTGCCCAGCCTCCAGCAGTACAAACAGTAGTGGAGGGGAGGCCAAGAAAGCCAAGTGAGTTGCTCTCATACCTTCCCACCCCCTTCCCTGCCTGGCCCTGGTCCCCTAACAATGGAGAGGGAACACTTTTATCTCTCTGATAATGTGAGATATATAAGATGGGCCGGAGATGATGGAGAGGGTACCAGGCACCCACAGAGCACAGCCACCATCCAAATGCAAGCTGCTTTGTTGGAAACTGAGTGATAAGTCTACCCTCTGCCTTCCCTGACCTCTCACGTAGTGTGCAAGGCCCTTCCTCAGCAGGGCTTGGGGAGAAGACAGTGGCCAGCAGCTGGCAGCCCTGAGAACCCTCCTGGGCACTTAGCCACTTGTGGCCCAGCCCTCGTCTCCTTTCCTGAAATCCCTCTGCCCATCCTGGCAGCTGAGGCACTATGCCAGCCCCACGCCCAGCAGGACGGGGCTTCTCAGACATTTCCAGATGATTCATCAGCTGGAGGAACAGTCCAGAAGATGAGGCCTTTTGGGGTCCCATGTGTCCCTGAACCCTCAGGATTGAGATCTGGGCTGGCTTTGTCTCCAGCAGCCACTGACTTTCTCTCCTCATTCCTCCAGAATCTCTCACACCCAGAGGAAGGAGAGCATTCTCGCATTCACTGTGGCCAGGCCTGCTCACCATCAAAGGCCTTCGCAAATCTCTCCTCCTCTTCCCCCTCCTCTCAAAAAAAAAATGTTGAGAGGACAATAAAGTCAGCAGATGACATGGGTATTAATCCCAGGACTCTCACACGTGGAACCATTTAAAGAGCTGGTAAAGAAGCACACACGAGAAATGTTATTTCTGAATGGGGACAAAGCACTCAATCCTGCCAGGATGAGTAGCCCCGTCCCCCCACAGCCCCCTGCCCTCACGGCTGTTTATGGTAAAACTTCATCACAAGATGCTATTAAGCTTGGCAGTTACTGTAAATGCTACTGTTGCTGTTGACTTCCACAGCCCCAGGACATTTTATCCAAGACTGAGTGGCTTCCACAGAGAGACCCAAACTGCCACTTGTTTCTCTTCAGAAAGTAGAAGGTGCCCTAGAGAGAGATGTGAGCCATTCTTAGGCTGGGGAATGTCGGCTCCCTCCCTCCACTTTGTGGGCTGTAAGGACAACAATGAAGTCAGTGGGGCTGGTGGGAAAGATTCCAGGGCAGAAGGAAAAGCAGTTTGGCCATTACGAGAAAAGCCAGAGAGCCTCGTCCAACCACTTCCATCTGTCTTCCCAGCCACCTTGATGAAGGGAGAGAAATAGCCTATTCTGGAATCTATAAATGAAAACTGGACTTAGGGCCAGTGTGAATCATTTGGGGTAGGGAGGTTACAGGACCCGTGCTTGCCTGAATAATTGCAACAAGACACAAGGACACACCTGAATTTGTCAGCTGCTCCACCACTTTTTCCTTCCCTTTCCTAAAGCAGCTACAACCTCTGGATATAAGCCACCGAGGGACTTGTTTAAAATTCTCTGTGATTAATTCATGGCATTTATCTTACTTTTATCTGAATTTGAGAGGGGAGAAAAGCTTTGGTGCCTTGCCCAACATCCCAGAGCAAAGCCTTTTTCATTGCCACATCTCTGGTGTCTGATGCCGTGCCCAATGCACAGACGTGTTCACTGACCACTGGTTGCCTGGATGCTGTTGATGCAAGTGACAGCCAGATGTGGAAACTGCAGTGGGCTTTCCACGAGGAAACCCCGCGGTCAAATCTCGGCTCCATCATTTGCTGGCTATGTAACTTTGAAGCATTTCATTTCTCTGAGACCCAATTTCCTCTTCTGTAATTTGGGGATAATAATACCTACATCATGAGGCCATTGGTCAGATTAAATGAAATAAAGATGTTAAAGTGCTTATCTCAGGGTCTGACACATCAATAAATCTTGTTGAATTTGAATCTAAGAGATCCAGTACTGACCTCACCAAGCCCCATAGAGAAAGGCCCATACCTCTGAACTGGGCGCAATCAGCAACAGGGATTTTCTGCTACACCGCCAGGGTCAGCTGCCTCTTCCTCCCAGCGTCTCTCAGCCACTGCATTCTATTTCCTTCCTCCCACTCCCCAGCTGATGTATGCTCAGGGAAAGCTTACGAATTTTAATTTCATCCTAAGTCAAACATCATTATGAAAGTTTCTAGATTCTAAAGCAAAGATCCCCAGCTTGACCTCAAAGAGAATCTACTGCTCATATCCCAAGGAGCTTAGGGTCACTCAAGTTAGGGACGGTAGGTGTCCAAACAGTCCAGATTCCTCAGTGTGGTGAAAACTGTGGCTGCTACTGTTACTCTTGAGCAGTGGAGAGGTCTTGTGTTCTGGAGGGTTCCAATGAAATAATTTGCCTAACTCTTCAAATTTGCTTAATCCTATTTTGGAGACTCCACACTGCTCCCATCTCAGAAGATCAATACTAACTGTAAACAGGGCAATATTAGCAAACATATGTCTCAGTACTGAGTTAGTCTCTCCTTATCTTGTATCAGCTATTTGTACTGCAGATGTCAAATCACTGAGCTATTGTCCCGTCTACTGCAGAGTTACTCCAGAAGCCAAGGTTCCCCCTTGATACAGCAACAGTGATGGTGTTCTCATTAACTGAGCCAGGATCCCAACAGCATTCCCCTGCATGTTGGTGCCCTGCGACCTCCAATTCTGCTTTGGGAAACTGCACATTTAAATAAACATCCTGGATCTAATGCGTGGCTTTTCTCTTTGATAATGCTACTCAATAGATTAGAAGCTCAACAAGGGCAGAGATTTGCATCCAGTTCACTCATTGATATATGTCATGTGATTAGAATACTAGAATATTTCCTGGTACAAAGTAGGTGCTCAGTAAATATTTACTGATTAATGTCTTGCATTTTTCTCTAATCTCCTGGTTTTGTTCTACCTTTGAACACGGGTTCTTGTGCTTCCATCTCTGCAACACTCAGTGTCTGGCTTTTTCCTGAAAGAGGGTGTATGGTAGAGTGGAGAGAACTTCACAGTCAGACAGATCTAGATTCAAATCTCAACTATACCACTTTAAAAAAAAAAATTAAGTTCCAGGGTACATATGCGGGATGCACAGGTTTGTTACATAGGTAAACGTGTGCCATGATGGTTTGCTGCACCTATCAACCCATCACCTAGTATTAAGCCCAGCATGCATTAGCTATTTTTCCTGATGCTCTGCCTCTCCCCACCTCTCCAACAGGCCCCAGTGTGTGTTGTTCCCCTCCCTATGTCCATGTGTTCTCATTGTTCAGCTCCCACATATGAGTGAGAACATGTGGTGTTTGGTTTTCTATTCCTGCCTTAGTATACCACTTTTAAGTGATGCTTATCTGAGCAACTTGCTTAGTTTTTCTTTTTCTTTTTTTTTTAATAGTGCTTCCTTATCCCTATCTCTGAAATGGGTATAATAACACCTATCCCACAAACTTGTTTAAAGGATTAAATTATGTACATAAAGTCCCTGGAAGAATTCCTCACACACAGATCAGGCTCAGCAAATAAAATATTATTTCACTCTCCACTTTCCCACAAATAGGGGTGTTGTCAAGAGTCAATGGAAAACTTTAGTAATGCTCCTTGCATATTTATGTTGTCTAGTAAATGCTAGCTCCCTTTACTGTCCCTATGTTCATTTAGTCATGAAAAAAAAAAAACAAAAAACATTCATTGAGCCCCACCATGTGCTGGGGATTCTAGGATGAACAGGCAAAGGCACTGCCCTCAGAGGCAGTGTGGGCCAGGCACGGTGGCTCATGCCTGTAATCCCAGAACTTTGGGAGGCCGAGGCAGGTGGATCACGATGTCAGGAGTTTGAAACCAGCCTGGCCAACATGGTGAAACCCCGTCTCTACTAAAAATACAAAAGTCAGCCAGGTGTGGTGGCACACACCTATAATCCCAGCTATTTGGGAGGCTGAGACAGGAGAATCACTTGAACCTGGGAGGTGGATGTTGCAGTGAGCCGAGGTAGTACCACTGCACTCCAGCCTGAGCAACAGGGCAAGGCTCCATCTCAGAAAAAAAAAAAGAACTCATGGTCTGGGGTGGTGGGAAGGCAGTTCTACAGAGAATTGAACACTAGAAAGGGGCAACAATAAAGAAACGTGCAGGGTGCTGTGGGGGCACGGAGGAAGATACTCACCTTTGCTGACCATCTGACCCCGCTTGTGCATGAATTCCTGATCTGGCTCAGCCAGCCAGTGCCCAGCTCTGACTATTGCAGTGGTGCCAATGTCAACAACAATCAGCTCTTTTGAGGTTTCAGATTCACAGGTCATAGAACTATACAATAAATATTAGATATGGAATTTTCCAAATCCCACTGATAGACCCTTCTAGTACATTGCTACCCACTTCTTCCCACTGCCATACCCAGTCCTTCAGCAGGTGTTGCTGCCAACTGTTCTCGGTCCTCTTCTACTCCTGGGATAGACAGGAGATTTAATTTCTTTTTAAAAAGTCTCCAGTGTTATTTTGTGTGGAGAGGGAAAATAAACTAATACTTGCTATACTTTGTGCAGAGCACCTTCTGGGCATCTTACTTCTGGGCATCTTACTCCTTCAATTCTCACAGCAGCTCCGCCGGATACATAAGTATTGCACTACCCATTCTTCAGACATGGAAACTGAGAGTATACAATTCCTGTTTAAAGTTGGATACTGAGTTACAAAGCAAGTCTGGTCTGAACAGAAGCAGTTCATTACAGTTGTACAGGTCCAGTGGCCAAAGGCACTCAACTGAGAGGTATATTAGGTGCTGAAATCCAATCTGTGCTCTGCTTACGAAGATGGGCACCTGGTAAGGGGCCACACCCCCCATTTATAATTATACCAGGGCACGGTCTGTTTGTGGTGCCATCATCCATCAGGCTGCATCTGCCTTTCTCTTCTTCAGACAAGGGTGCCATATGGGCTAGCAGCAGCCTCAGTTAGGAGCCAGATTTGCCCAACTCCAGAGTCCAAGCACTTCCCACGAGGCCCTGCAGCCTCCCAACACTCCAGCATTTCACTTTACAGATGAGGAAACTGGGGATTCCACTCACTAAACATTACCATGTGCCAATTCTTTTTATAATAACACTTCAAGAGAGAATATTCTTCACACTTACCACATAAGAAGACAAAGACTGGAAAGGGCTAAATGAATTGCCCTAAATAGTGTAAGTTTCAGAACAAGAATTTGAACTTAGATTTTTTTGGCCCTGAAGAATGAGCTCTTTCTATCATGCCGAGCTACCTCAAGAGGACAACTGCTGGCTCAGAGCCACAGAGCTACCTGGCAGCACAGCTGGGACTAGAACCTGGTCTCTGTCCAAATTCAGTGAGCAACTGTCATTGGCTGTTTGGGGACAGTTCCGGTTAGCCATTGGTATGCTTAAAAAAGCCATCGCCAAACATAGTGACTTAAAACAAAAACAATTAGTAATTTTGTTCAAAAGCCTGCAATTTGGGCAGGGTTTGGTGACAATGGCTGCTGGTCTCTAATCCATGTGTCTTCAGCAGAGCTGGGGGGTCCACTTCTAAGATGGCTGTTACCTAGGAACTCAACTACTACCGTCATTCAGGGACCTGGAGTCCTCTCTATGTGGACCTCTCCACTGAAGTGGCTTGGGCTTCCTCACAACATGGCAACCAGGTTCCAAGAACGAGTGTTCTAAAAAGACCTGCAAGGTTTCTTTTGATCCAGTCTTGGACATTCTAGACTGTCACTTCTGCTGCATTCTATTGGTTAAGAAAGTCACTAAGGCCAGCCAGGATTCAAGAGGAAGGGAATTAGACTCTACCTCTCACTAGGATGAATCGCCAATAATTTGCTGCAATCTTTAATTCACCATGGGGACCTTGGCTCTAGAGAAAGTTATTGACATTTTCCTAAAATAGACTTCATTTAGCTGTTGTGGCATCCAACTGCCCTCCTGTACAGATCATTCAATGCCCAAGGGTACAGGTTGGGGTGAAGATTGGATAGGTCCCCTTCCCCCTGACCTGTAGTGAATGTGATAGCTAAAAGGAGCTGAGCTGATTCTGAGCCGGGAGCTTTAGGCCACATCACAGTCCTGGCTGCCCCTCACTAACAGAAAAAATTACCGGAGCGAAATCAGTCAGCACAGCATCTGGTCTGCATGAACTGGCTGACTCCAGCCAGGCCCTCGGCGCCTCACTGTCACAGGTATTAATTCCCCTGGACATGCATGCCAGAGAAAGCCAGGGTTGAAAAATACTAATAAATCCATCTGAACACTGTGCTCTCTTGGGGCTTATCAGTATTTCAGTTCTAGTCACAAAAATAACATACTGTAAAAGACTGATTAGTCATCGGATAATTGAGTTCTTAAATGTCAAAAACAATATCGTATGAATATTCAACAGATCATGCTACTGAAACTTACCTGTTCCATCAACAATGACTAACATTTTTCCCCCATTGTTCTTTCCCAGAAATTATGTTAATATGACTTTTCTGAAGTGATGAATGTGGTTCTCTTTAAAACATATTGTCTTACAGGTTAATGCATAATGAGCTGGTTACAGGAAAACTGCTTGGGAGTCGTGCTGGATTTCATCTCTCTACATTAGCTTCACCTCCCGGTTCAGATAGAGGGAGCATCAGAGTAGAATTCCTTCCAGCAACAGATAGACTTCAGAGCTCTACTCTTTGAGAATTCTATTTATTTCATTTATTTATTTATTTATTTGTTGCTAGAGACCTGGAGAGATGTATTGTTTTCATGCAGCTTAAGTTGAAGCAGAGACCAAGGTTCAGCTTTTCTTGGAGGCTGGTGTATAACTTAATTCCACAGGAAGTTTGAGTTGGGTAGGATAAATGTATCTGTAGAAATCTATCTATGTTTTTCTGAACTCACATGTACACACACACACCTCTCCTATCAAGTGGGGATGTGGGGTATGCAGTTGTGGTTAGAAGAAATTTTATGAGCCTGGAGTTCAGAAAGGAGTGATCTCCCCCAAGCAGATCCTGGTTTTTTGTTAGCCTGGCCTCAGCAGATGCTGCAACAGCTGGAGCCAGGAGCAGCTTGGTGGGGTGGGAGCTGATGTTAGGGTCAGCTCACAAGCCCTACAGTGTGTTGGGACCCTTGCTTTTGGTGGAAGCATCAGGATGTGCCAGGCACCCACTGCTCCTCCAGCCGTACACTGTCTGCTCCTGAGGCTGTTCTACCTCTTTCCGGTCAGAAGCATGAGACCTTCTGACTGGCCGATCCCAGCCCCAGCCAAGCCCAATACAACTCGAATGTGCAGGGACAAAGATGCCTGTGACCCCTTCCTGGCTCACTGATTCAAGGATTTACAGCATGTCCAACATCTGTATCTAACCCTGCTTCCTCCCCAGCCCTGTTCTAACCTTGTCGTGCCATCATCTACCTAAGCATCCTTCAAGAATTTCATCCTGTTTCTGGCCTTTCACTCCTATCTTTGGCAGTAGATCCTTTATGTCTCTCCCAGCCTTGCTGGCAGTCACCAAAACTTGCACAGATGCAAAAAATATTTTTGTTTTACAATAGTTCCTGACTCCAACCATGTCTCCCCATCCCTGTCCAACTCCACATCTTCCCATGCTTCCATCCTATAGATCCCAGGTTCCCTGAATACAGCAGCACAAACATCTGCTCACAGAAAACAATTGAGAGCCCCTCCTTTCCCCTCCTGAGATTCTAGGAACTCAGAGAACCGAAAGAAGACACTAAAATATTTCCATCATTCCAGAGTTTCCTTCTGCCTTCTGCCTGGTTTTGCAGGCCCAGGCCTCACTTTCTGCATGGCTGGGCTCACCCATCAATGGCAGATAATAAACAGTCAGGTGGACCACAATGGTAGAGTGCTGACCTGGGCAGAGCTCTCAGACCTGGCATGAGGTGGAGATGGAAAAGCAACTCCACAGAGACCTTTCCTGCCCTGGAGAGACTTAGAAGATCATTTTCCAAAACAAACAAACAAAAAGGCCACTGAGCAACCTAACAAGCAGACGGGGTCCTCCCGTCCCAGGGAAGGGTTAGGGCTCAGCTGCAACCCACAGGGCTGAAACCAACTGGAAACAGGCTGGGCAGCCACACTTGCCTGCCAAGTGCCAGCAACAGAGGGGTTGAATCTTCTTAAGCATGTTTTTAATTACTGCAAGAATATGTCATCCTAAGCGGCAGCATGGTTCTCAGTTACCCGCGTGCAGATTGATGCTCTCTGTATGAAGTGGTTAGCACAGACATTTAAAAACAATTAGGATCATGGTGAGGCAGCTCAGAAAGAGCTCGTTATGTAGGGGGATGGGGAAAGTCAGGCCATTATGCTCCCCAGATAACTAAGTTATTTGTACTTTTGATGAGGAGGAGGGAGATGATTGGTTTCTTTAATATTTCCCTTTTGATGTCAGACAGGAGCTGTGGACACACACACACGCACACACAGACAACGTTGCCAGATAACATGACAGATGCAATGTTAATGCTTTTCGGAGGCACTGGCAATGAGTGGGCCTAGAGAAAGGCAGCTAACTCTTTGGCAAAGTCTCTGATGCCTGTCGTGCCCAGCGGGCTGAGGGGGGACATGAAAGGGAGGCTGGGACCAAAAACAACTGGGTGGGGGCATGGATGAGCCCAGGACACTGATGGAGCCCTCCTGGGCAGAACCCACAGCAGGGGCCAGGACACCTGCCTCCGGAAAGTGGCCTCAGAGCCAAGAAAAGACCTGGAGGAGGGCCTCTTGGCGAACCAGGTGACACGGGCTTCACCTCCCTGTCTCATGTCCTGGCTGGTGCCAGATGTGAGGCTGAGCCCAGAGCATCTCTGATGGATGCCAGGTAGAGGAAGGGAAGGGAGCAGGGAGTGGGGCTTCTGACCAGTCTCCACAGGAAGCTCCTCTGTTCCTGCGAGCATCATCACACGAAGCCCCTGAAACCTCATTGGATCTCTCCTCAGTTTCCAGGGGGCAGCACTTCAAATAACCTGCTTGCCATGGGTTGAATTACGTTCGCTAAAGACATGTTGAGGTCCTCATCCCCAGTACCTGAGAATATGAACTTATTTGGAAATAGGGTCTTTGCAGATGTAATCAAGTTAAAACAAGGTCTTTTGGGTAAGTCCCTTCATCCAATATGCCGATGTCCTAATGAGAAGCAGAGAATGCCGTGCACTAACAGAGACTCCAGGTGAGGACAGAGGCAGAGATGGGGGCCATGCAGCTGCCAGCCAACAAGCACCATGGCGAGGACTGCCGGCCACAGCCAGAAGCTGGAAGAGGCTAGGAAGGATACACCCCGAGTCTCAGAGGGACCATGGCCCTGCTGGCAACTTGATTCCTGACTTCTACCTCCAGAATGTCCAGAGGGAAAAAATCCTGTTGTGTTCAAGCCGCCCAGTTTGTAGAACTTTGTTAGAGCCATGAGAAACTAATAGACTGCCCAACACCAATCCTTACTATCATCTGCCCATGGAGAGGCCTCTGAAGCCAGGGTTTCTATGCATTCCTCACTTTGTTCCTACACAGATTCACTTATGCATACATTTTTAGGGAGAGTATGCCAGGAGATGCAGTTGGAAAGGCCTGGGAAGCAGTGAGGAGCCTTAGAGAACAGGCTGTGGCTGGGTCTGGCTGGGAAGTCACGAAAGCCACTGCCCCAGTCAGCTCCCCTCCCAGCCTTCTCATGCTTTCTCCCTCACGCGGTTCCCTGAGGCCTTATCACATCATGGGAAGAACATGGGCCTTGGGGTCGGTCCCATCTAAATTTAAAACCTGGTTTCATTAGTTCTACTAGCTGTGTAACCTTACTCAGCCTCTCGGAGACTTTTTTCTCACCTGCAGATTGGGGGCTGTTGGGAAAATTAAATATTACATAATATGCAGCAATTGTACTGGCAATTATACTAGTATGAGTAGTAATCATGTGATGTGAGTCTCTGCGGCACCAATGCTTTCTTCGCAGATGAGAACTTACTTAACTCCTACAAAGATCTTCTGAGTGACACCTTTCCTAGCGTCTGTGCCATAGGCCAATGGCTGGTAAATTCTTTCTGATCATGGCTTGGTGAGACCTCTCAGCCAATCTTCCCGTTTGCTGGTAATGTTTAAAATGGTGCCCCCAAATTTCAGGTACTTTAGGAACATGAAAGAATTGTTCTCTAATAATGCCAAAAATATTATTGCAGTTAATGGGAAGAATGGTACTATTTTAAATAAACATGAGTGAAAATGTGCATTTTCGACTCAGCTATTGTTGTATAAATGAGTTGTGGACTGTGGTTCTAGATTTACTTCCAGAAAGACTCCCTTAAAGCCCCAGGCCGGAGCAGAGAAGCCACAGACAGGGCACTAAACTAATCTATAGGTGGAGACTGAAGCAAGATGAAGCTCCTGCTCCATCCCCATGGATAGGTCCACACCTCAGATATGCCCAGTGGTCAGCCCAGCTATTTTCAGGCAATCAAGAAGTTGGGACTATTTTTGACCGCTGATGATTTCATAATTTGCAGAGATGTTGATATCTCCATATGCCGCCTCAGAGTGTGATTGTCTCACAACAAGCATGAGAGAATCGCACCTCGGCAAGGAGTTCAGTAAATTCATCTGTGAAACATATTTCAATTCCAAAGGCAATTTTCTAATTAGAAAGGACACACAAAGCCTTCGCAATCTGTGAGCAGTTCTCTCAGCGGAGCTTGGTCCTGGGCTAAACCAAGCCTGAATATGAGTCACCAAGTGCCTTGCTAGTCCAAGACACGGGCTCCCCAAAACCCCAGGACCTTGGTTTGAAATGGAGTTGGGGCTCAAGGTCAGTCAGGCACCAGGACCTCCCCCGCTACCAGGACCATTTCCTTACAGACTGGCCCGGAAGCTACATGGACTTAGTAGGCAGGAGAGTCTTCACCCATTCAGCATTTATTTACTGACGATGTGCCAAGGGTATGACCAAGAAAGACATGATTCTTGCCATTCTGGGGCATACACAGGCACAGGGACACAGCCAAGAGAGCTGGGCCCTATTTCTAAAGGGAATTTGGAGCATTTGACAGAACAGGCAGACAGGGTACAGAAAAGGGCACCTCATGATGTAGCTCACCTTAGTAGGAGCCTTCCATTAAATCACATCCCACCTGGCGTCTCAGCCTGGCACCGAGGTCATTGAAAGTGGTCATTGTGAGGAGGAAGAGCTGATGCGGGGAGAGGAGACACCCAGGCTGCAGAAGCAGCAGCATCCCCATCTGTAAGCAGCGAGCGTGAATGCTCAGTCTGTCTTTCTTGATAGACTTGACTTTTAATCTCAACTTTACCCCTAACTCAATAGTCTTTACCATCTCCCCTTCCTGGTTCTCAGCTTCCCCCTCTCTGAACTAAGAAGAATCCTTCCCCACTCTTTCCAATGATCCATCAAGGTTGTAAAAGCCAGTGAGATTCTGAATGGACATGTGTTCAAGCTCTAAAGAAATCCCAAGAAGCGTCACCTGCAACCAATCAATCATTAAAAAAAAAAAAAAAAAATCTCCACAGGAAGCAGCACAGAGCTCCCAGGCGCTCCTGAGTTGCTTCCCTCGCTCTGTTGAATAGGGGTTTGCACCTTCGGAGCACCCTTCCTCTCTCTCCTTTACATCTCATTTCATTCCGGTCTCCTCTCCCCCAGGCCACACTCTCACTGATCCCAGAGTCCTGTGCCCCTCTTCAGCTCCAGCCGCCATCATCAGAAGCCTTGGGCATTTGTTTTCTCACTGCACGGGGCTGCACACTGATACATTTGTACCACAGGAAGCAGAAAACTAGTTTAACATCTCATTTATTTCATAGATGAGAAAGTAATTCCCTGCTGAATGATTGTCCCGAACCAACAATTCAGAGAGGAGGAATTTACAGTGCTGGCAAGGACCGGGGTGCATTACTGTAGCGCCGTTATATAACGGAGCTGGAACCTTTTTTTCTCTCTCCTGTTGGCCTAAAGAGAAAAGCCATTAAATATGATTAAGGTTAAGAGATTGCTAAAATTACAAACAGCCGCCATTCAATTATTTTGCTCTATAAAATGCAACACAGATTGGAGTTATTTCTCTGAAATGTGTTTTTAGAAAATAACATAACACAACTAATGTGGTTTGATCTAGCAAATCAGGTTTCAGATATCATTTCTAATGCAAAGCTAAAAGGTTCATAATTTAACTTAAAGTTTGTAACTTAAAGTCGTCGGATGCTTTCTTTATAGAAAAGCTTTATAAAGAGAAAAAAATCAATACCATCCCAAATAATATTCTGAAGTCATCTGCAGCCAGAGATTCAATCAATTTTATCGCCCATTAAAGGGATAGACAGAAAAAAAATTTTAATTTAAAAAATAAAAAGAACCAGCAATAACTTGGCCTAAAAGGTCCATAATTTTTTCTTTTTGGGAAAGTAAATTTCTTTGATATTTTCTGTCAGTTTTCATAAGGCCAAAGGATGTAAATTTCACAGGAAAGGTGGCAAGAAAATGGGAAAGTAACTCCTCCAAGTCTATTCCATCCACATGGCTCCAGAGACCACTTCTGGTGCCAGGGAGAAGCCCATGTACTTACTCTTACTGCCCCTGGACTTACGGTTCACATAGCAGATGACTTAATCTCAGCTTAGAAAGAATAAAAAGCTCAACTGCATTGAAATGAATTTTCTGTCCAGTTTGTATTGAAAATTAAAATAATTGGAAATCAGGAAAAACCTCTATGCAGATATATTAGTGGCTAGAGACTTCTGGTTATTATGGTTAATAAAACACCAGAATTATATTACGCTCTGCTCACAGACTCTAGCCCAGGACTTGCTCTCCCTCTAGACAGAATATAAGCCACTTATGAGAGTAAACTTTGTACACAAGCTAAACACATAAAGCCATGTATTGGAATTGAACAAAACATTGCAAGGCAAATAAAAGCTAGCTAAATGCCAAATTCCCAAGGGCAGCCAAAATGAGAGCTCCCACTTTTCATGAACCATACACGGATTCTTCCTTTGGTCATTCCAGAAACTAAGAAACAGTAGCTTACCACACTGGTGGCTGATAAGAAACCTGACAGGTTCTGCACTCTGGTCATATTTTCAAGCCTAGACTCACACATTCCCCAAATCCCAATATTCTGGATACACACAGGCCTTTGCAACATGGAACAGAGGCTAAGAGTGTCCAAAGTTTATGGGAGGGAAGGCCTCAGGGAGAAGGAAGGGAACCATTCTGTACAGGCTCAAATCACCTATTGATTACTGTGATAATGTTATCTAAAGCAGAAATAGAAACACATGGTCAGACAAAGGATTTTATCCAACTTGTGAATGTATGCACGTGAAAAGAAAACAGGACTAAATATTTTACACTGGGAGTGTTCCTGAAAATCAGTAACAGCCACTGGGGACACAAAACCTGCTCTCTCTGTCTCCTCTCAGCACGCCCTACTAGCCCTTACTCACAAACCCTCCCTTCTTGTCTTGCAAATGTCTTACATTCATTCAACAACATTAATCAAGCACCTCTGGTCTATACGTTATACTAGGAGTTTCGTTCCTATACTCAAGGAACTCTTTATGTATTGGGGAGAACTGCATATGTACAAATAATTATAAATCAATAAGATGGATGATTGGGAGGCAAACAATGTGCTAGAGGAGCCCGAAGAAGAATACTCCCTTGGGCGATCAGGAGGGGCTTCACGGAGGAGGTGGCAATTCAACCTGGTCTCAAGAAAGGGGAGTTAGCCAGGTAGGGATGACAGGAGGAGGCAAGGGAGGGCATTCCAGGCAGAAGATAGAGTGGACACAAAAGGCACAAATATGTAAATGCAAACAGCATGTCAAGGAATGACACGTTGTTCAGCATGGCTACAGTATAGGATTGAAAAGAGAGAATGTCACATGATGAGTCCAGACAGACGGACTGAAGCCAATTTGTGAGGGTCCTTGTATGTCACGCTAAAGATGATGGAGACTTGTTGAAAGTTTTTCCATGGCACAATCAGGTTTATGTCTGGGGAAGATAGCTCTCAAGGCAATGTGCAGGGGGTTGAAGGCAGGTGAGGATGAAGACAGGGAGAGCAGGTAGGAGGAGAAGAGGTGATAACCTCAGGGAGAACCGAAACAAGTTGAGCTAAAGCTATGGCTGTAGATGATCGGGCAGTGATTGATTTAAGAGGTATTTAGACAGGCGAATCTATAGCACTTCGTGTTGATTGAATGTGAGCAATAAGGAAAGGGAGAATTCGAGAATGCATCTGTGGCAGATATATCCAGCAGGCATTTGGAATTAAGGGTCTGGGACTCAGAAGGGAATGTGGGGCCTCACAGATACTGTGACCTCTGCCCAAGGTCACAGAGAGACAGTACTATCATATTTCCCAGAGGAAGACAATGATGGGTCCTAGATTCACAGGCATGAAGGGCCCTTTGCTGTGGGTCAGAAGCCCCTAACTCCAAGTGAAAACAGAGATTGCTATGAAACAAAAGAGAAAAAGGAGAGGGAAAACACCCACTAAGGGTGTCATCTGCCCTTTCTGAGCCTCACTTTCATTTATAGGACACAGAGGAGGTACACTGAGTCAAGGTGCTATTTTAATGAACTTACAAGTAAGGCCCCTTAAAAGTACAGATCCAAACCAGATCCTGAGGCCAGAAGGAAGACCAGAATTAGGGTGATATGGCTAGAGGTACCCAGATTCCTCACATCAACACAAGATGCTGTTTTGCCAGATTAATTTGAGGCCATCGGCTAGAAAAGTTACCAAATCAGAAATAGGTAGGAGGATGGGTCATGGGGTATTCAGTTCCCTGGCCCAAGGAGATATACTGGGCTCTCCTGTGCCTGTTTCTGGACTTATCCAGGAGTTCTGCCCACTTTGTGCCATCCTCAGTTGCCTAACCAGTACCATACATTGACTCCTCATTAATTTCTGCTGCATTCTGCCAGCTCAGGGGCAGCTGGGACTGGGAAAGAGATCCCAGTTCCTGGGCCCTGCTTTACACCTGAGATGCTCAGACTTCCCAGCAGCATGCATCCTGTCTGGGCCCCTGATAAGGGCTTGTCCATATCTCCACTTCCTAATGAGCAAGAAAGGCCAGCTGATGGTGCAAGGCAGACATCATATGATCAGTCCCAAAAGTGTTGCAGGAGTAGGTGGCCTTTCGGGAGAAACATAGAAGAAAATAGCTTCCTCCTGTGGAGTCTGTGAAGGAGATGAATAGAAGAGGTGGCTTGGCCAGAGGGTGCTATGGCAACTACAGCTGACCCTAGTGCTCTTTTGAGAGCACGAAATATGGAAATGGGGTAGGGTTGGGGGAGGGACAAACAAGGGAGTGGTGCAGTCATGGGTTCATCTGAAATGTAGTTGGCCTTGAGAAACACTGCCATAAGAAAGCTTTTATTATGCCGGTATGGCTAACCAGGAGAGCCCATTCCTAAGCCAGTGTGAGCCAAGGATCCAGTAACAGGGCCCACAAAGTGAGAAGAGGGTCTCAGGGTTCCCCAGGAAGAAAAGCGAGAAAGAAAAGATGCTCTCACATTGCCAGGGCTTCTGTTGTGTAATATTGTGGCAGGCGAGGCTGGGACTCCTTTATATACTTAATCATGTTCCATTTCCAGCTGACACAACTCAACAGTTTATGACACAGCACCACTTAATAAGACTCACTATCAACTTAGGAAGGGGGATGATGAAGCCGGGGGAGGGAGAGATGAGGGAAGAAGCTGAGTGGAGAGGGTGAAAATGATAGGACTTGTTTTTAAAACAGAAAGTCTGTTGTCAGTTTAGATTACAGTCTAAGCAACCAGGGCAGGTCCTTAGAGGGTAGGAACATTCTAAACTAGCAGAATCTTCTGTACAGAGGCACTGAGCTGGAAGAAGCCAAATCCTCTCTTAAGTAAATGGGGTAGCTGTGGGTATAGGGTCAAGATGGCATTTATCTTGGCTTCTGAGAGCAAAAGAGGCCAGTGAAAGCTGGGGTTCCTTTCCACCATTCCTGACCTGGGCAGCTTCCAGAACTTACCTCTCCAACCAAATAGTAATTTCACTGAAGGCAAAGAGCACACTCTCTTTTTATTATTATAAATCTCTACACCACATGACAGTGGATGGCCTCACATTGGGCAACCAGTGATGATTTGTCCATCTGGCAGAAAACATATTTTCTACCAAGAGATGATCTTATTTCCCTTGATGAGACAGAAGATAAATAGAAATTTAGAGCGTGAAAGAGCATTAGAAATCAAACCATCAAATTTTCTCATTTTGCCCATTGGAAAACTGAGCACAAAGAGGTAAAGAAAATTGCAGTGACACAACCCAATCACTCACCCAGACCCCAAACCCAGCTCTTCTGAGTCCTCGTTCCACTGCTTCTTCAATGACACTTCAGTGCCTCTGCAAACTGTGTGTCTGCAATGACTTCACAGCCGTCTGTCCATCCATCCATCCATCCCTCCTTTCTACGTATACAAGGCTAAGTGTGTGAATGGGGTAGCAAGGGGCAAGTCCATAAAAAGATGAATTAAATCACGTTCTGTCCAGTTCCCTGCTTCCCTCACTCCTAAGAAGGAAAGGCACATACACACGAAAAATATCAGCCCAATATGCTCATAGAGTGTGTTCATAATGCAATTTAGCATAGAGTAGATCAGGTAGGATGGGCTAGAGGGATTTGAGAAGACTTCACCAAAAAAAAAGTCCAATGTGAGTTTTCTAGTAAAGAATAGATGGTGGCCAATCATGGGAGAGAAGAAAGATGTTCGAGGTGGAGAGAGCCCAAAGATGCCCTTCCTCAAACTGTCTCACCCTTTGGTTTCAGGAACACCATTCTCTTGAGCTCTTCTGGTGACCCTGAGAGCACTCCTTGAAGTCTTTTTAAAGGGCGATATCATCATCATCTCTTGACTGTAAAGCATCCATTGGACTTGGCAATGAGTTGACCACTGGACACTGTCCCTGGCTCTATAACTAGATCATGTCTATCTGTTATTGGATTTTTAGCACCCCATCTCATGGTTTCTTAACACTTACCACCATTATCATCTGGCATTTATTTGTGTCCTTTGTATTAATATCTGCCTGCCCTACTAGATGGAAGCTCCTAAAGACAGGAACTACTTGGTTGTGTCCTCAACACCTGGTGTGCATGTGGCACATAGTAGATGCTCAATGAGTATTGTCCAACTGAGGCATGCATGAACAGTGAGAGAGAAGCTAATTTCATGAACTGGAGAGCAAATGGAATAAGGAAAAACAGGGACGACAAAAGTTGATCATATTTTAAAGAAAATATATGGTCGAAGGAAAGAAAATACAGTGAGAAAAGAGAATACAGAATGTCGAAGGGGTTTAGGAGGGGAAAGATTTGTTTATAGATTATAGGATGGAAACAGTGCCAGGTCAAGATCGAAGCTACAAGGTGGCACCAGGTCGGGGTGACAATATTGGACCAGCTTTCCAGAGGAATAAAATCATGTACCCAGGAGAAGGGCTTAGCCTACAACAAGAGAAGAACCTGCCTTTTCCTAAACAAGAAGAGGATACTCCACATAAAAAATTAAGTCTCCACAACATCCCACACTAGTGTCTTATCTGCCCATCTGCCCTAACTGTTGTGGGTTTTTTTTTTTCAATTTGAATTAATGAATGAGGGGTTATTTGTGTATTTTTTCAATTTTGCTCCCAGAGGAGAACAATAAAGAGTGTCTTTCTAGATGGCTTTGGTCCTCTATCCACTGTCTCATGGGACCCAGGCTACACCCTCCTCTTCCCTCCAGAAAACACCTGCCCTAAGGTCCTTGTTCCCTCTCGAATCTAGGATACTCTACCCTTGACCTTCCCACAATTCTCTGCATAGAACCATTTAAGTCTGACCCTCTCTGTGTCAGCTCATCTCTGATGTTTTTCCATGTTGCCCTTTAGGCTAATCTCCTTGGACAGGGTGCTGCAACACTAGATGTTTCAAATCTCCTCAGTGTGAGTCTCTGATCTCAGTTACTTGAAAGCAAAGCTCAGGGCTCCCAGAGGCCAGAGGTTTCTGGGCACTGAAAGCATCTGTCTTGACGTCTCAGAATTGGGTGGTGTCCTTGACCCATCCTCCTCCACTTTCACTACCACAGACAGCTGCATGAATCTGGGAGCTGGATCTGCATTGCTTGGCTTGGCGCCTCTAACAGAAAACCACTTCACTGCTTAACCAGGGGTCACTCTTCCAGCCTACACATCCAGCACCTTTTCCTTACTCCTGACAAGAAGAGAAGATGGATTCTTTGCTCAAGAGACTGGTAACCACGCTGATAGTCATAATCAAGGCAAGGAAAGAGGGGAGCTGGTGAAGACCCTTAGGGAAAGAGACCACAGGATAGAGCATCAGTTCTTTCTGTCTGGCAGCTCCACCAGCAGAAAGTCTAACAGTCTCCTCTCTATTCTTCTTGAAGACAGGACCACCACTGTGGCAAACCCCAGTGACCTCGTGCATACTGAAAGGGAAATTCACAGATTCTTTTTCTTTGCTAAATGATGGGTTTGAGAGTGTGGTTTTTAAGTGTTCATAGAGGGCTGCTGTTATCCTGGAAGTGAGCACAGAGTAAAGACAGGAGCATAGCCTTCAGAGTCAGACAGTTCTAGATCCAAATTCATACTCTGTTAGTAGTTGTGTGACTTTCAGCGAGTTACTTAATCTCTCAGCCCCCAGATTCCTCATATGCATCATGAAGGTAATTATGTCAACCTTGCAGAGTGGTTGGGAGGATTGGAACTAGCCTAGGGGAAGCACCCCACACAGTGCCTGGCACATGGCAGGTATTCCGCATGGAGGAACTTGTGACTGTCACTGGGTGTGCGTGAGAGTCCAGAAGCACAGGCTTCAGGACCAACACGATTTGTCACTGCTCTTCCTCTCCCCCACTGCCTCCCACCTCTCTTCCCAATTTGGCTTCATGCTAGGAAGGATGATGCTTACAGACAGCTGGGGGGGTCAGGAAGAGGACCAGTGGCCGAGGGTGGCAGAGGAGGGAGGGCATATCTCCCCAGCTCACTCTTCTTTCACTAACAGGAGCAGCAGCAATCAGCGTCTCCTCTTCCCTAACCTGTTTCCATGGTTCCCACCCAGGCTGCTTCTAAAATCTGTCACACTTTTAGCATAATGTGCAGTGAGCGCCACGGCAAATAGCTTTGTGTCACCTGCAGGGCCCAGGCCGGGCCCTTCCTCCTGTTCCCTGGGGAGGCTTCTGGCCTGGGGGGTCAGGTTGGGCACCTGCAGCATGGATCTCCTTTGAGTACTCCACTCCGTCCAAATTACCTGTGCTCGCCAGGTCCCTCTCGCAGGTGGACCCATTAATGGCATTGCATGTACAGCCTGTCAGCTCTCTAATTACACCCTTCAGTGGAAAGCTGCCTGCTAGATTTCCACGCTTTCTTGTTGGGTACCTTGATCCATGCTGTTGTTGTCAGAAAAGTTACGGTGCAGCCTGCCTGTCTGAGCGTAGCTGCCTGCCTCTGTTTTAGCTGGTGTTTTATTTGTTTGGGGGTTTTAAAAAAAATAGATAAACTGACTTTTGAAGAGAAGACAAAAAATGGCAAGTAGACCATTGAACTTGAAGTCAGAATGTAAAGCTCACTTTCATCATCTACTCGCTGAGGAATCAGAAGCATATCTTTCAGCCTCTCTAGGTCTGCAGAATGGGATGATAGTAATCCCCGCCCCTCCAGAGTTGTTGCAACAATCAAATGAGACAGTATGTGAGGAAGTCTTTCTTCATTATAAAGCAATAAATAAATGCTCATTATTCCTGCTGAAACTGGAATAGGGAGATGTGAATTTATTTGCTGAATGACTTAGGTAAATCACTTAACCTCTCTGAGCCTCTGTTTTCTTGTTAATCTATGAAACAAGATTAATACCATACACCTTATCTCATAGGATTGCTGTGAGGACAAACAAAGATAAAAGATATGAAATGACCTTGAAAAATATGAAGAGCTGCATGCCTGTAATGCATTGGGATCACTGAAAGAGGGCTTGGACATAAGAACAGAAGAGCCATAGGCTCTGAGTGTCTCACCAGCCCCATCCTCTTAGACATGTACCATTGTGTTTGGGAGGTGATGCCAGAAGGCAGTAGAGATATGAGCCTTAGAGAGAATCAGTGCAGCCCACACTTAGTATCACAAATCAAATTAGGTGAGCACTTGCCCTGTTCCAGACATTGTATCACATACTTGGTGTATGTTAACTCACTTAATCCCACTCATTGCATAAGGCAGTGCTATTAGCATCCTCACGCAACAGGTGAGAAGCTGAGGCTTAGGGTGATTAAGCAACTGCCCAGAGTACCACATTTAATTAGTGGCAGAGCTGGGACTCCAAACTTAGGTCTATCTGATGCCAAAACCAAATAATAGATAGATAGATAGATAGATAGATAGATAGATAGATAGATAGATAGATAGATAGACAGACAGATAGATGGATGATAGATAGATGATTGATAGATAAATGATAGATGATAGATAGATACACGATAGATAGATAGATAGATAGATAGATAGATAGATAGATGATAGATAGATGATAGGATAGAAAAATAAAATGAATCTGCTAACATTTCTTGAGTGTCTATTATGAACAAGGAAGGTCCCATGCTTCACGTGCGTTAACCCAAGTTATGGGTTCCACCTCTGTTATAGGTATTTTATTGTCTTATTTTACAGATGAGAACACTCAGGCACAGAGAGTTTAGGTAATTCTCCTAAGGCTTCACAGCTAACAAAACCACCATACCCTTGAATTTGGGGCATCCCTAATATCTAAGAAGCTCAATCAGGGAGGAAAGAAGCAAAGATTCTGGCTGCTCAGATCCTTCACCCCAGCGTGGAAACCACTCCCCACTCAGGACCTAACACTAAAGCTGTACTGTGCCCCCATCCTGCAAGAATAAGAGTTTGTGACTAACAAAGATCCATCATCTATGGAAATGGTTTTATTTTGTACTAACTACTACTACTACCAAGTTGAGTGATGATTTAGAGTTAACAACATCTTTTCTTACCCATTACATCATTTCGTTTGAAAATGGCCATCCAGACCCTTTGTTGAAGAGGGCTACAGGCGAATATAGAATTAGCTTAGGTACTGGGAGACTGACGCATAAGTGAATACCTTGTTACAGTCTGTGTCATGCAATCATCCCATAATAGTCCCACTACATGGAGAAGAAAGCTAGGGCTCAGAGAGATTAAGAACCTGGCCCAATGTCACGTGACTAGTAAGAAGCAAAGCTGAGATTTGAACTCATCCATGCCCTTTCCACTAAATCCTCAGGTGTACAACTGCAAGTATCTCTGAGAGCTCTTAGCACACTCACCTCAGGAGTAAAGGTATGATGCACTGGGGACAAAACACCAGGGATATGAGCTAGTTCCAAATGCCAGGGGAGACTGATAAATCTTTAGCAGAACACATTCCTTGCAGAGAAGCATCGCCACTCTCTCTAGGGCAGTGTCTGCCTCCTGTAACGTGTGTGTACATGTGCTTGTGAACACACCACACACAGCACACACAACTGCTCCTCTGCAGCCCAGACAGAAAGAATCCACTCCCACGTGACTCCAAGGGCCTAGCACCTGCTAGCTGCCTCTCCCAGATGTCACCATCAGAGCCATCGATCACCCGCTCAGCCCTCATCCTCCCTGACAGCAGGGCAACACTCTTCACTCACCTCCAAGAGGCCTGTCTCTCTCAATGGACTCTGCTGGACAGATACAAAAAGTGAAGTCCACAGCAAGCCCTTATCCTACTCAAGGATTTCCACTTTCTAAAGAAACATTTTTTAATGCAAAAAAGAGGACCATATGGAGCACCGCCCAGGAGAAAATGCACCGCTCCCTAGGCAGGTTGCTGCACCATCCTTCTATCACCAGGGATGTTGTTCAGCCACAGTATCTGGGAGGCATGGGAACAAAGCTACGCATTTAGGACCTAGAGAGCTGGGTTCAAGTTCCAACTCTGCTGTGAGCTCTCAAGCAGTCACTTCTCTCTGGGCATTTTACATTTCTGCAAAATCAACAGGTTGGACTAAATGTCCCTTTGGACTATAAGAGTCTACACACATCATCTCCACCAGAGAAGGTCATTTCCAACTGCCCTGCATGGAGTGCAAAGGAGCAGTCAGCACTGACTAGAACAGTGTAGTTCTTTCCTAAAAGCTGGGGCCCTGAGATCTTCCCATGCTGCAACTCCCATCTGCCAGCTCAGGTAACAATGTCAGGCACCTGCCACAGTGACTCGTGATAAATCCGGCTCCTGGCAAAAGCAGCTGGCTCAGAAAGGGTATTTCATAAGGGTTTGCTGGATGAGTGGATGGGTAAATGAGTAAATGACCAGGCATCTTTGACTCTCTGTTCCCTCCCTCCACTATCTTCTGGTCTACTACAAGGTGAACACCTCCCAAAGTCCATTTTAGACCCCACCTGGCCTGGTGGCCCCCACTTGGGTGGTGATTTGCCTACAGTGCTCTGGCCCAGGCTTTGTCCATGCTCTGGTGGATGAATGTCCTCGTACAATGAGTCACCCTTTATCTGACAGGTCATTTTCTATAGAGAAAGCCAATTAAAACAGAGACTGTATTAATAAAAGGGTGTGGGTATGTGTTTGACTACAGAGGTACAATGAATTACTTTAATTTGCAAAGAAAACTCATCTGGTCTGAAGAGCTTGTTTTGCTGCCAGAGAGATGGACACCTCCAGAAAATCAGACCCTACTCTTCAGGGGAGCTCAGTGGCAGGGAAAAGGCTCAGTGCGGGAAATGCTTGATGTACTTCTTTAATTGACATACCAGTAGGTGGAACATCTGTACAGCTGCCTGCGTGATGCCCAAGCAGCCCCTGCAGCACCCATGGAAAGAGGAGACCCTGGCTGCTGTCACTAGGCATTTATTTCCTCAGGCAGGGAGCAAAGGGGAGGAAGTGAGCCTGGGAGAATCTTACCTGGGGATGGGAGGATGCCTGGGATTTTAATTCTGTGCACTGTGCTATCAGTGTACCCAGCTGTGCTTTTGAGCTAGACAAGTCCAGTGTTTCTGAGCACTTAACTAAAATGTCACTTCTTCTGGAAATCTCCCCTGGCTGCCTAAGCCAGAGTGAGGAACTCAAAGCACCAATTCTATTTTTAGTTATTAGAAGTAGCTAGTGAGTAAAACACAAGCCTGGAGTCAAAGGACCTGGATTCAAATCCCTGCCTTATATAACTTTAGGCAAGTTACTTAGCTGCTTCATGCCTGGCTCCTGTCTTCTGTAAACTGGGCTAACAGTCTTTCCCTCATACAGTTATTATGAAGATTAAAGGAGATAATGCCTGTAAATCATCTAACAATAGTTTCTGACACAGTCGTGCCTCTCATCTTCATCATCTGCATTCTCTGTTTGCTTATTAATATCCAGTTCTGAGAAGGCAGGAACCACACACTCTCTGTCATAGCTCCATAAACATTTGCTTAGTGACAAGCCTGCTTCCTTAGCACCAGGTCTCCTTCCTGCCTCCCTCCATGCAGAGCTGGCTCCTTCCTCCCGAACAGGTTATATTTGATGCACTAAAACAAAGTGAGGATGAGAAAGAGAAAAGAATAAACAGCGAAGCATAAATGGCTGGGATATCCCAGCCTCCCCTGGAGGGTGGGGCTTCTGGGGAGGGCGGCATCAACATCTCCGTGCGAGACCCAGGAGGTGCTGGTGACATTAAATGCCGATTACCCCTGGGGCATGTGGTTACTGCGCTGCGGTAACCCACCCCCTGAAGCGCCTGATTGCTTAAGCATCTCTTTGCAAAATGTTCATTTTATTTATTTTTTCCCCATGAATGTTTAATCAGGTACCTTGACGAGGCGCACAGCAGCCCTCTCCAGAGAGCAGGCAGAGATGGCGTGATCAGCCCTATTTGTCACAGAGGGCAGCTTGGAGGGCGGCCACTGTGCCTCCACACTGCCTCACTGTCCCCAGCGCATGTCCCCAGGATCCCCCACCCCACTGTGCCAAGCCCAGTGTGTCCAGCTACCCTGGCTGGCAGAAGGGCTCTAGATGTGGTCACGTTTACCCCATACACTCATTCAGGTAGTAACTGGGGGTCCTTACCCCACCACCGCTACCTCCATCTGCTGCCTGCAGAGCCAGACCTCCCTTGCACAAATTGGAAACAGAGGGCACCTCAGCCAGCCCCCAGCCAAACTCTCTGCTTGGACAGCTCTGCTTCTCAGAGCCCAGACTGAAGCAGAGGAAAACTCAAGGCTAGCCCACTTGGGAATCCTGGATCGGCTTCTTAATCCTCCTTCTTCCCGGGCCTCCCTTTAATTTTCTTTCTTTCTTCAAAGCCATCTGCACAAACTAAAGGACTCTGTCCTCTCCACTCCTCCTCTCCTCACCCCACTTCTGGCAGAATGCCTTCCCAGGTGACGGCCTCTACATCTCATCCCAGGGGCAGGCCACTGGGGGAGTCTAGAACCTCTCTCCACAGGGGAGCAGCTGTTCCCCACTCCCTGAGCTCTGCGTCAGGCAGCCTGCTGCATTCCACCGCCCCTCACTGAGTCCCAGCCTCCTGGGATTATGGGGAAAGCCATTACCTCAGGATTAAGCTTCAGTTTGATTCTCATCAAAGACTCTGGTCACCGAGTATTTGCTTAACACCAGACCTTTCAGGCCCCATCAAATTTAACAAGGCCTGACAGATTTGGGATTAAACAGAGAAACCCAGACAAATCCATACTTTCATAGGAGCCCCCAGTGACTGCAGCAGGACAAGTCAGATCCTAGGGAAACAGCGACCCTCATGTTAGCTTCTGTGTAATGTGACCACCGCAGGGGCTTTGCTTCCCAGGCTGACACCCCTCACCACTGCCCGGCTGCCCCAAGATAGAATTTGATGCTTTCACTCTCTTGAGTGAGGAAGTTCAGCTCAGACATGGTCAATGAAGCATTGATTCAGGATGCGGAAGCTGTCAGGGGAGAACAAGGGGTGGGGCACAGTATAGGAAGAGCCCACCCCTCTGAGTTCCTACTCATCTGCCCCCACCAGGCCTTGCGTTATGCTCAGAGCTTCTCTGATCTCCCCCAAGGCCTCCTTCTGGTTTTCCCACATCTCATCCCTCCAACGGTAGGTGCCCATCATCCCCAACCCAACTCCCAACTCTCAGATAGGCCAGGCATAGAGTAGCAGCAACAGCAACAAGTCCTGGACAGCAGACCCACCACAGCTTTGCAAATCGATTTCAGAAATCACTGTGTTACCCGTGTAACTGAAGAGACAGCATGATGTGGTGGCAAGCTTGGAGGCCGCAAAGCAGGTGTCAACTCTGACTTACTGCCATGGACTTAACTTTGGGCCAGCTCTAAAACTCTCAGTTTCCTCATCTGTAATATGGGAGCTGATAGTAACTGCCTTCCTCGGAGAATTGTTACACAAATGAGAGAAGCTATGTAAAATGTTCCAGTGCAGTGCTGGGAAAGGTGGCAATGTTGATGCTTTCTTACTTTCTTCTTTTCTTATTTGTGTATGCAATTTGATTAATTTTAAAAATAATAATAAAATGTCTCCCCTTTCTGCCCCCCCATTGAGTATTTTATCAGAAGCAAGAGCTGTGCACTTTTCCCCTCCCAAGCTCCTAAAAAGTGCAGAGTTGGATGAAAATTATACACAATGAACACCAAAGAAGTAGCAATTGTTGCATTTCTTTGAGGTCTGTTGCCTGATTTCTCTCAGGCTCTCTGCCCAGTTCCTTTTGGCCCTGCCTGGCTGCTAATTTGCACAACTGTCTTTACGCTCCAAGAGCCTGGCTTGGGCTCAAACTTCATCTTTTAGAGCCGGAGAGTTGGGGGAAGGGGAGGTTAGAGAGGCTTCACTTTAACTTGTATTATTGATACAAAGAAAAACAATGGCTTGTGTTTACTGAAAATTAATTTTTTGGAAATTACTTTGTCATTTGTTTTACTCTTCTTAATTAAAATTTACTTGGTGAAGAGAACACCCCATAAATTAACTCAAATGCAACAGCAAATTAATTAGCATTTAGTTACTAGACATTACTCACAGACCGGACAAATTGTTTTCAGGCTGTCATCTGCATTTGGCATCAGAGGATGCGGGTGGGGCTGGCAGGGCCCTAGGGGTTATTTTTGCTGGTGCTGTCCAGATAGTCTCTGCCCGGATCCCTGTGTCACCTGCACTTTCAGGCACTCAGGCCATACTTCCAGACAACTCAGGCCACCCTATCATAGATGCTGGCCAGCCCTTTGTATTTTCACATGGAAGATACTCCCACCCTCCCTCCCTGGAAACAATCATTAAAAAAAAAAAAAAAAGACGTCATCAGGACAGCAAGGCTGTGCTGAAGGTGATCTTGCCTGGAGGCCAGAAGATGGGCTCAGTGACCTCAGGAAGTCCCTTTTAGCCAATGGCATCTTGGATTCTATGAAACACAGGCTTAGAGAAACCAATGCCAAGCACTTTCCATTCTTATTCTTTTTTTTTTTTATATATATACTTTAAGTTCTAGGGTACATGTGCACAACCTGCAGGTTTGTTACATATGTATACATGTGCCATGTTGGTGTGCTGCACCCATTAACTCGTCATTTAGCATTAGGTATATCTCCTAATGCTATCCCTCCCCCCTCCCCCCACCCCACAACAGACCCCAGTGTGTGATGTTCCCCTTCCTGTGTCCACGTGTTCTCATTGTTCAATTCCCACCTATGATGAGAACATGCGGTGTTTGGTTTTTTGTCCTTGCGATAGTTTGCCGAGAATGATGGTTTCCAGCTTCATCCATGTCCCTACAAAGGACATGAACTCATCATTTTTTATGGCTGCATAGTATTCCATGGTGTATATGTGCCACATTTTCTTAATCCAGTTATATGATGGACTCCTGTTGAATCCAAAGAAGAACTTACCAAAGGAAAGAACTGGAATAGTGGAAGCGAATGAATACAAGGAACAAGCTAGGTTGAACCATTTCTGCTGATGAATGATCCTTATGTCTTGCAAAAAAGAGATAGGACGCTTAGAGTGTGGTGGTGAAGGACAAAAGCAGGCTGCCTGGATTTCAATCCTAGCTTGTTTTGCTGCTGTGTGACCTTGGACAAGCTGCTTAACTTCTCTCAGCCTTGGTTTCTTTGGATACCAATAGTTCCTGTCTTCTGGGTATGCTGTTAAGGATTAAATAAGACATGCATGTAAAGCCCTGAGAGTGGTGGCAAGCACTCAGGGTGCCCCAGTGACAGGTGAGCATGCAGCCTCCAAAGCCAGATGCTTAGGCTTAAAGACCAGCCTGGCCACTTACCAGTAACTGAACTTCTCCATGCCTCAGTTTCCTCATCTGCATAGTGGAGACAAAGAGTTCCTATTTTGAGTAAATGATTTAATACCTGTAAAGTGTTTAGAATTGTGGATTAGTATCTGGGACATAATAAATGCTCATTTTTAAAGTAGTTAGTTTTTGTTGTTATTTTATCAACGTCCATTTGACATTGTGACAAAGTCAGGGTCATAGAACCATAAGCTCAAAAAGGGGCCAGTTCTCTGCAGCCATCCAAGGGGGAGCCAAGCTGCCAGTGCTGGGGCAGGCTCTTCCTGGGAAAGACTATCTTCACAATACACCAGGCCCTGCGAATGAACAAACAAGTCAGCCCAGCCACGACAGCCCGACAGCAGCAATGCCACCGCTAATGCAGCCTGATTCCCTTCTAGCTATGCAAAGCGGCAGCCCCATAAATAGTCCCCCTTCCCGACAAACAGGAGGTCCAGCCTGAAATGGACGCTCACTGATAAACGATGATGTATGGCAGCCTTCTTCGGTAAAACAAGTTCACTCCAGCAGGCTGGGGCTTCTCGGGGAGGAAGGTGGATGTGGAAGTGACTGGAGTCTGTGATCAGTAGAAGGGTTAGTATAAGGAGGCTAAGCCTAGTGTGACCCATCCTGTCCTCTCCAGCCACCAAAAGAAGGGTCCTCCAGAGGTGGCCCGCCAGCTCTTCCTACAGCTAGGCACCACAGGACAGGAGCAGGTGAAGGGAGGGGCAGCAGAGCCCTCTGCAGATAGGCAGTCCCTTCTTCAGTGGCCAGAGGACTGCTAGTGGAAGAGGACAAAGGCCAGGTTGAAGAGGGAGCTTTCCTGGGCACTGAATTAAATGCAGGAATCTGAACCACATGGGCTGATTCAAATCCCAGCCCCACCCACTTACCACCTGTGAAGCTCAAAGCAAGTTAGTTAACACCTCTGTGCCTCGGCTTTCTTGCCTGTAAAATAGGAATAATTGCAATGCCTGGCTCACAGAATTACTGTGAGAATTGTAAAGGTTAATACCTCTAAAGTGCTTACATAACCCAACACCAGTAACAGGAGGAGCACTAGGTAAATATCTGCTATCATTATTAAAAGTCCAATTTCTCCCATAAAATATGTGCCATTCATTCCCTTAACACATTTTTATGGAGCACTTATTATATGGAAAACAGTGCGTTCAGTGCTGGGAAGACGCAAACAAGTGAGAAACAGCCCTGGCACTCAGCAAGGGGTACCTATTACATAGTGAGATGCATCCAAGCATACTCATGTAAATGGTGTTGTCCTCATCAGATCTCTCATTCCTGTCATTTATTTCACTCACCAGATACTTGTGGAGCATCTACAATGTGCTGGGGACTGTAGGAGGCACTGGGGATATAAATGTGGCCACGCAGAAATAGTGTACAGTCTAATGATAACAATGACAGTTACACCATTTGTAAAAGGTACTACTGTTGCCCATTGATACAATTGGAATATATGTCCCTGTCAAATCTCATGTTGAATTGTAATTTTAAGTGTTGGAGGTGCAGGCTGCTGGGAAGTATTTGGGTTCTGGGGTCAGATCCTTCATGGCTTGGTGCTGTCCTCACCACAATGGTGAGTTCTCATAAGGTCTGGTTGTTTATTATTTATTTATTTAGAGACAGAGTTTTGCTCTCGTTGCCCAGGCTACAATGCAACCTCTGCCTCCCAGGTTCAAGCAATTCTCCTGCCTCAGTCTCCCAAGTAGCTGGGATTACAGGTGTATACCACCACGACCAGCTAATTTTTTTTCTTCTTTTGTATTTTTAATAGAGACCGGGTTTCAGCATGTTGGTCAGGCTGGTCTTGAACTCCTGACCTCAAGTGATCCACCTGCCTCAGCCTCCCAAAGTGCTGGGGTTACAGGTGTGAGCCACCACACCCGGCCTAGGTCTGATTGTTTAAAAGTGTGTGTCAGCTCCCCTCACTCTCTCTTGCTTCTGCTCTTGCCATGTGATATGTCTGCTCCCACTTTGCCCTCCACCACGAGTGAAAGCTCCCTGAGGCCTCCCCAGAAGCCAAGCAGATGTTGGTGTCATTCTTGTAGAACCTGCAAAACCGTAAGCCAATTAAGCCTCTTTCCTTTATTACCCAGACTCAGGTATTCCTTTATAGCAATGAAAGAATGGCCTAACACACCTACTCAGTGTCCATTCACCTGTCTTTATGATAGAGACTTCATATGAACCAATACCATCCATATGGTCTGGTACTAACCCTGCCCAACACTCATGGGCCTGATGGGTTCAAGGAGTCTCTTGCTATTGATTTTTCCAGAAATAGGCCTATGAACCAATTCCTGTAGACTAAGACATGGGGAGAAGGCTGCTAGAGAGTCTGGGAAAAGCTTTCTCTCTCCCAAGAGAGAGCTACAGGGAGAGACAGCCTCTCCCCCTTGTCAGAATAGTGCTGTGTCTGAGTGATGCCCAAATCTGCAGAGTCATTTTATTTGACCAGGCTGAAGATAAATCTGATAGCCAGGATGGCAGGACAGAGAGACAAAAACAACCTAGGTCCCTGGTGACACCCCTGAGACCCTGAACCCACCAACCCTGAAGCCTGATCTGCCTTTGGATCTCCAGCTACATGAGAGAATAAACTTCCCTCTTGTTAAGCCAGTTGGACTCCAGGTTTCTGTTCTCTGTTGCTGAAGCATCCTGTGGAATTATAGGCTAATAATAATATATATTACTATTAATAGTGAACATTAAAACATGCCTGACATTTCAAAATACACTTTCACATTTATTATTTTATTTGATCTTCAAACCAATACAGTCAGAAAGATATTCTTTTCATCCTTATTTTACAGATGAAGAAGTGAAGGCTCCAGGGGTTTGGGTGACTTGCACAAGGTCGAAGCTGGTTCTGTCCATCCAAACATGGGTGGGCTGAATCAATTTCTGTTTCCTTGCTCCTATTCTGACAAGGCTGCCATTGCTCCAGCATGTCTAGAACTTCTTTTCTGGAATGTACTGTAAACCATTTCAACAAATAATAAACATCTTCAGAAAGGGACTTCCTATTAACAGGAATCCAGGCAAGCTGGCTGGAACCTTAGGGTTTTTCTTTCCATAAGGCTCCAATAAATCTCATCAGAAATATGAAACTTTGAAACTATCAAGAAGGAAGGCAAAGAACCTTAATCTCTTGGACAGTGACCTCCATTGGCTTGGGCATTCTCCCAGTGGAAAGATGGAGTCTGATGCATAGGCACTGGTAGATTGTTGAAAAAGTGGGACAACTGGCTGTTGCCCTTAGCCATGATATTTATATTATCTCCCAAGATAGTTCCAGAAGGACTTGGGGCTGAGTGCAGGAAGAAAGACATAAAACAAGGAAGGAGGAGCCACATCAAAGACCTAATCATAGGCACCCACTCAGCGAGAAGCTGAGGACACAGCGGGTCCAGGGCCGGAGAGAGTCCTGGGGCGCTCATTGTCTGGAGCAGAACTGGATGAAACGCAGACCAGGGCAGAGGCCAGCACACAACTGTGTCAGGGAGGAACATGTCAAAAGAGCAAAGACCACGGATGAGCTCAGAGAACAGGCCAGAGCTAAGATGGGTCTGATGTCAGGGAATCTTACAATAGTGTAGCGGGTTCCACAGGCACAGTGGAGCTCAGACAAGACGCCGGGTAGCAAGGTGGTCTAGCCTAATGTCTCTTTGTCCATGCTTGCTCCTTGCTTTCTTCCCTGCTTCCTAAAGGAGCTGTGCACAGATTTTAAAGTTTTAAAGCAAGGGATATTATAGTTTGCCCTTGAATCATTCATCTTACAGGGGGTCGGGGGAGCTAGAAAGAAGAGAAACTCCACTGTTGGAATGGAGGACTGTCCAGGAAACAGAAGAGGAAACAGAAATGACATTCTCTCGGGGAGAGGCACTGGACCTCCAAAGTAAGATGAAGAAGGGCCATGGCGTGATGGCAACTGCAAACACCAAGAGGCTGGGGAGCAGGGAGATTGGCCCCATTGCGTTTTTTCTTTCTTTTTTTTTTTTTTTGAGACAGAGTCTAGCTCTGTCGCCCAGGCTGGAGTGCAGTGGCGCAATCTCGGCTCACTGCAAGCTCCGCCTCCTGGGTTCACGCCATTCTCCTGCCTCAGCCTCCCGAGTAGCTGGGACTACACAGGTGCCCACCACCACGCTCAGCTAATATTTTGTATTTTTAGTAGAGACGGGGTTTCACCGTGTTAGCCAGGATGGTCTCGATCTCCTGACCTCATGATCTGCCCGCCTCGGCCTCCCAAAGTGCTGGGATCCCATCACCTTTAAAAGAAGCCTAAATGGTCGCCAGAAAACACCACAGCTCAGTGGCAGTGGGAAGAGTAGGGAGCAGAAGGGAAGGAAGGCTGCGAGGAAAGACCACTTTCTCTTAAGACTGCCGGTGCCCTCCCCTCCATGCTGATGCCTGCTATGGAGTCTAATCCCCATTCTTGGAGCACAGATTTGGGATCTGCAGAGTCTTTTGGAGACAATAACGGTGAATAAAGTGGGCAACCAAGGTGGGTAATAGCATATTTTGATCAATAACCACTTTTTCTTGGTAACTCTGGCCATTTTCTTTTTCTTTTCTTTTTTTTTTTTTTTTTTATTTTGGAGACAGGGTCTCACTCTATTGCCCAGGCTGGAGTGCAGTGGTGCAGTCTTGGCTCACTGCCACCTCCGCCTCATGGGTTCAGGCAATTCTCCTGCTTCAGCCTCCTGAGTAGCTGGGATTACAGGTGCACGCCATCACTCCCAGCTAATTTTTGTATTTTTAGTAAAGACTGGATCTCACCATGTTGACAAGGCTGGTCTTGAACTCCTGACCTCAAGTGATCCGCCTGCCTCAGCCTCCTAGAGTGCTGGGATTACAGGCATGAGCCACCATGCCTGGCCCTGTTGCCATTTTCTAGTCAAAAAGCCTCTGAGTCTCAGAAAGAGTATATGACTGCCTAAGATCACATGACAAGTGCACTCTTTACATAGGTTCTCTCAGTAAATCTTTACAGCAATTGGCATGGTGGAGTGACGGGCACAAGCCTTAAGGTCAAATGATGCTTCTGTCACTTTCTATGTCTTTCTATGAAATAAAGATACAGATACCCAGCTTACAGCATTGCTCTGAGGGTGTCATAAGATGATGTGTGCAAAGGGCTTGGTCCCAAAGAGACCATACCAATGGCACAAAAGAAATCCATTCTGTCAACAATAATGTATTGTACAACATAATGTATTTGTTAAGAGAGTAGATCCCATGTTAAGCATTCCTACCACAATAGAATTTTTAAAAAATAAAGACCAAAACAAAACAACAATAACCAAAAGAAACAGCAGTTCTCCTTTTTTATCTATCCCAGAGACTTTCCAGAGCAAGGGATCACATTTTGCTCCCTTTTTATAGCACAAAGTCTCTCAAATGCTTCAGAATTTCTATATGGCAAGCCTGGTCAAGTGTTTGACCTTCTGGAATGAATTCTGTGTGAGTAACGTTACTGATGTCGAAGAAACAAGTCAACATTGTCTTCTGATCTTGACTAATGCTTTCTGTGGTCTAAGAAATATGGAAATTCTCTGTGACATGCTTGGGCTCTTAGCTTCCAGCTCACAGCAGAAATGGCTACGACAGTGAACATTAACTAGGCACCTATTATATGACAGGTATTAAGCCATTATTTGCATCTAATCTTATGTAACCCTCACAGCAGGCCTATGCAATAAGAATCGTAATCCTTATTTTCTAGAGGAGGAAACCGAGGCTCAGGATGTAACTTATCCAAGGTTACCTGGCTAGTAGTGAAAGAGACCAGAGTTAATTCCAGCTCCCTCTGGTGCTAATGTCTATGCTTCTCTTCAATACCATATGCCATCCGAAGTTACCATTTTATTTCAAAATGTATTGTTTCATCTCTCATCCTCCAAAAAAAAAAAAATCAGACTAAATGCCCAGACTTCATTGTTTCTCTTTATCATTCAGTGTAAGTTTAATTTAAAAGAAAACGGCACTTTCCTCCTGTTCAGATTTCATTCCAGAATGAATCTGTCCCTTTATCTAATTTTAACTCTTCAGTCATCTTTCTATCTGAATGTGTGAAATCTCTGACCTTTTCAATATCTCCACTGGGCCACTGGACAGCTGCTTCATGTATCACTGTGGACAGCTTGACTTTGGTCTCAAAAATGTGGGTGCCTTCCCACAGCCTTGCTTCTGGCATTCCTCCATCTGCATATTCCACTTTTAACTTGCCGGGGGTCTCACCTGCAGATTTATGCAGCTCCATCTAAAATGCAACTTTAAATTTTTACTTGAAACATCAGCTACTCACTCTCAGCTTCACCCAGGACAACACACAATTCTGGTCACCACAGTTATTTCTTTAAAACAGAATGACCTGCCCTATACCACATTTCAGTTACAACCAAGGATCCTTGGCTTCCACAAACCACTTGAAAATTTCATCTCCACATTCTAGATTCATATCACATAGTGATATTCAGATCTCTTCATAGAATAGTAAGACTACACTCTCTATCAAAATACAATCTAACAGTTACCCTTTGACCCAGTAATACCACGTCTAATAATCTACCTTAAAGAAATAATTGAAATACAGATAAAGATTTATGTGCTGCTCACTGCATATTATGTATAATAACCAAAAATTGGAAACCATCTCATATCAACAATGAGAGGATGGTTAAATAAATTATAGGGCATAACTACAATGGAATATTATGAAGTCTTTAAAGATTATGTTTTCAAAGAATATTTAAAGACATGAAAAAATGTTCATGATATAGAGTTAGATTTCTTAAAAAAAGAAAACAACTTTCAAATATATGAGGGGTTGATGAGTGGAGGAGTGAGTCAACTTATTCCAAGTGGCTTTGGGGAAAGAGACAGAAGGAACACCTAGAAATAAGAGAAAGCTACCTAGAAACATGTTTAAGGAGAATATGAGAAGATGTTTCTAATGGTTATGGTTGCCTAAAATTGTAAAAGATTTCCTGGGTAGGTAATGATCTCCCTGATACATGGGGAATTCAAACCAAGGCTGGGCAGCCACTAAATGGGGACATAGTAAAAGAGACTCAGGCACCAATATGATATTGACCCCAAAAACCCTTATAACCCTGAAATTATAATATTGTGCTAGTAGCTGTTGCATTCTAACCACCTATCTGAGCACGGTCAGTGTCGGAGAAATCTGAAAGGAGAGGTATGAAGAATAAAGGCATGGCCAGGGCACTTAGAAAGTCTGACCAGCCATAAAATTACCCAAGTGACAGCAGATGGATTCCCCAAGGTGCTGTCCTGGGCCATGTTTTATTGAAGGATGGCTGCCCCTCACTCAGCCCATGTAGGTCAGGTTCTGGCCTAATTTTCAAGGCTACCAAATGAGATTTTTTTTTTTTTCTCTTCCTAAGTGGCCTGGGATTTTTGGTTTTATTGTTTTGTTTTGTTTTTGTTTTTGAGATGAAGTCTCATTCTGTCACCCAGGCTGAGTGCAGTAGCACAATCTCAGTTCACTGCAACCTCTGCCTCCCAGGTTCAAGAGATTCTCCTGCCTCAGCCTCCCGAGTAGCTGGGATTACAGGCACCCATCACCACACCCAGCTAATTTTTGTATTTTTAGTAGAGATGGGGTTTCATCATGCTGGCCAGGCTGGTCTCAAACTCCTGACCTCAAGTGATCCTCCCACCTCAGCCTCCCAATGTGGTGGCTATACAGGCATGAGCCACCACACCTGGCCCCTAACTGGCCTGTTTTGCATGGGTGATCCTTACATCCACACATCTCTTCCTGTTTACTTGGAGCCCCATTCACCTTTTCAGTATATAGAGTTATGGTCTTTGGAGAGACATGAGACACAGAGTAAGAGGGACGGAGTGGGCTGTGATGACTGCTGCCCCTCCTCAAGACTGGGGCACAGTGCTATACCTCATCATTAGCCATAGATCAGGGCTATTCTATCTATGGGGACTTCAGAAAACATTAGATTGAGAGGCAACTTCAGTTTAATGACAAGCCACTGGGAAAGGATGGTGAAGTTACCTTGGAAATGACTAATGAGAAGAGATTTATGTGAGACGAAGGAGAACCTAAAGAGTTGAGCTTTCAGAAGGTCTAAGGAGGAATACCTAGTGCTCAGATCTTGGCACTAATCTTTCTAAAGCCATTCTCCAATAAAAGGAACCAGGTCTTTAGAGAAATGACTGATTCTAGGGCTGGGGTAGTGAATACACAAGATGAGCCCGGACCATCTTATAGTGGCAGCAAGTAAGGAAGTGCTCAAAAAATAAAAGGATGGGGCATGTCAAAGGGACATGGGAGCCAATTGAAAGAGCCTGCAATGGCCAAAGCTGGAACAATTTGAGCAACTGAATAAATACTGTAATATTATAACCCAGAATATAAAAGTAAATATCTATGAGTCCATATTAATATAAGTAAATGACTGGATAAATGAATAAATAGAAAAGAAGACACAAATCTCCTGGGCCAAAAAAAAATTCCTAATAATTTATGTAGCTAATTTGTCCTCAATGAGGGGTGTAAATGTAACTCCTCACATCTTAAGTGTGTGCTGCAAGTAATGACTTCCTTCCAAAGTGTACAGTATGGGAAGGGAGAAGAGGAGTAACTGCACAGTGGAGAAGCCCAACAAACACTACCTCAGCCAGGCATTCAAGGTCAACACCAACACACTAATTCATGTTGATTGCTTGTGCCCTTGATAAGATGCAATGAAAATGGCCCTTTACCTCTGTGGTCTTCCTCTCCAAATCCCATCACCCCAGTCTAACCATAAGACAAATCATAAGATTAAAACATTAGATAAATCCTAACTGAGATACATTCTATGAAATCCCTGAACAGTGCTCCTCAGCACTGCCAAGGTCATCAAAAACAAGGAAAGTCTGAGAAAATGTCACAGCCATCAGGAGCCGAAGGAGACACCTGGACTAAATGTCATGGGGTGTCGTGAATGGGATTCTGGAACAGAGAAGAAACATGGATAAAAATGAAGGAAACCTGAATAAAGTGTCAACTTTAATTAATAATAATGTGTGAATATTATGGTGTTAATTATGACAAATGTACCATACCAACATAAAATATTAACAATAGAGGAAATTGGGATGGAGGATGCGGGAACTCTCTGTACTATCTTCTAGTTTTTTCTATAAATCTAAAACTATCTTAAAATAAAAAGATTTTTTGTTTTCTTCTTGGGACGTAGTCTCACTCTGTCACCCAGGCTGGAATACAATGGCATGATCTCGGCTCACTGCAGCCTCTACCTCCCGGATTCAAGTGATTCTCCTGCCTCAGCCTCCTGAGTAGCTGGAATTGCAGGCATGCGCCACCACACCTGGCTAATTTTTGTATTTTTAGTAGAGATGGGGTTTCATCATGTTGGCCAGGCTGGTCTCAAACTCCTGACCTCAAATGATCTGCCCACCTCAGCCTCCCAAAGTGCTGGGATTACAGGCATGAGCCACTGCACCTGGCCTTCAAAGGTTTATTAAAAAAAAAAAAATTCTAAGAAAGAAGCTAGAGAGGCTTTGACCTGGGTTGACCTGTGTAAGCATTCTGTAGAAGTTGATTGAGGCTAAATGCTCTGAGAAAGAAACAAATTGGATGAATTTCCAACATTGGGAAACCAGGAGAAACAACCCAATAGGCCAGGAGAATTGGGACTCTTTGGGGAGAGCTAGTTTCATCTTGAACCTGAGGTTCTTGCCGGTTCCTGCCAGAAATCCTCCTGCCAACTCAAGCCTCCAAATCTGAAAGGGATTGTCTGCCTGGTTGACAGTAAAGCAAGCTGGAGCCAAGATCAGAAGGCTTTGCGTTAAGCAAGACAAAGCTAACCTCTGAAACCCTGCTGCATGCCCACCATTTGAAAGTCTTGCTATTTTCTGTAGTCTCCAACTCCTGGACTCACTCACCTGGAATAAAGCAGTTCTTTCATTTTTAACAAATAGCTGAGCAAGTCGATGGCTTGTACACCTTCCAACAGAGTAAATGCAGATACAGACCAAGAGCTGGGAGCAAGATTGCAGGTCCATGAGGCCTCATCTGGAGTGTAAACAGGCACATCTTTTCACAATCTTAAATTTGTGTTTCTTGGAAACAGAGAAAGTGGAAGTTAAAGAGGATGGTTTGATGGTGTTGCTGGCTTCTGCCATCTGAGAAAGAGGAGTCGCAGTGACAAATGCAAGGCTAGGAAGCCAAGCACATCCCTTTCTTTAGCAATCAGAAAATTGCACTTAAAAAGGGCAGAGCATGGCTTCTTGTGGCTCAGAACACTGTGTGCTTGGCCCCTGCCTCCTGGGTTCCTGTGGCTCGTGGGTCCAGCCCTGCTTCCCAGTTCTGTAATCTGCCAGGCCTTGGACTTAACTTCCACCCCAAACCTTGCTCCTCCTATAGGCTTTTCTGGGGACATCTGGTTCCTTCAACCCAGAGGGCGTCCTCAAACTGTGCCCACTTATTTCCCCCACTTGCTCACAACCCAAGGAAAAGTAGTAAAGGAAAAGTTTGGGGGGTCTTATGATTAAAAAATTGGCTGGGTGATGTTTTATGCATGCATCTGTTATGCTAAAATAACCATCCTTTCTAACCAGGCCCACCTGCTGTCTTTTTCAATTTTAAGTATTTCTAAGTAGCAATCAAATCAGTATAATTTGTTCTTTATCTCGGCAAAACCATTGTGAAAGAAAAATGTGACCATTATGTTACATCAGGGAAAAATACAAGCCCTTTATTTGCAGCCTTCTCTATATTCTATCAGATCTCACAGTTGTCATTATGCCAGTTGTATTTAATGTTGTTCAAATGAACAGAGCTTTCTTTAATCACTACAGCCTTCTTTCCCCTAAATGCTTTTTCCAAGGTTATGGTTTTCAGAGATAAATACATAAATACCAATGTTATGAATACGTTAAGGGTATCCAAGAGACAGCTTTCAGGATTTGTAGCAAGAACCTGCTGTCATTGGAGTTACACAATAGCTGGCTGATGTTTTGAGTATGAAGTTACTGGGTATTAGGAGAAGGCCTGATACCCCGCGAAGAGGCGTAAGGCTATTTTGAGCCGATCACAATAGACCACTCAGCAAATGCTGACTTTATAAATCTGGTATCTGGATCCTCACTGCTAATAACCAAAGCCAGCAAGTCCAGAGCTGCAGCCACCTGCCACGTGGAGTCAGGTCTTGGCGATCTGTCCTGCAGGTTTCCGCACCACACCTGCAGGCAGGGTCCTTCACGCCCACCTGCCACCAAAGGCAGGCAAACATGAAGACCTAGGTCAGGCTTTTAGAGCTAAAAGAAGTCATCTCTTGCAAAATACTTTATTTGCAAATTAGAAACCAGAGGTATAAAGAGGTTAAATGACTTGCCCAAACACATATGTCCAGCTAGCAGCAGAGCTAGGACACGAACCCGAGTCTGCTAAAAGTATATTTTTGCTTCACTCTCAATTCGAGTACTCAAGCTCTCTAGTAAACATTACATGGGGTGATTTCAACTTATAAGAATCCTACATTTATTGATTCAGATGTTCATTTAGGAAATATTTACTCTTTGCTAAGATGCTGAGAATAATAATTATTGTTATCAACAGCTAATATTTTTTGTGTACCTGCCACCATCCTAAGCAATTAATGTAAATTAACTTGTTTATCCCTCAGAGTAAGCCCAAGTTCTAGGCACTATTAGGATCCCCATTTTACAGATGAGACAAGTAAGGCGCAGAGAGGTTAAGTAATGTGCCTGAGGGCACACATTGAAGAAACCAAGATGCATACCCCGAAGTCTGAGTCCAGACTCAGCATTGTGAATCACTACAAAGGAAAAATGTGCCTATATCACTGTAAATGCTGAATAAATGTTTGTTGAATAAAGCATTGTATCTTGCCCCTGAGAAGCTTATAATACAGAGAAGAAACATTTATGTAAACAAATAACAGAAATGCAAGATATGATATAATGCATCAAAAGAGAAACATAAACAAGTACTAAGGAGAATGCAGAGGAGGGAGTGATGAATACCAGCCAAGAGCTTGGGAAGCAGGAGCATAGCACAGGGAAGGGTCCCTGGGCTCGGGCATAAGAACTGGGGCCCCTCTGGCTCAGTCTGTCATCAAGGTGTCTCCTAAAATGTATCTGCCCCTTCTCATATCTCGTAGGAGAATTGTGGTTGTATTTTCTAACTTAAAGGGTATGTAACGATTTAAAGGATAGCGTAAAGGCAAAAGTGTCTACAAATCCCCTTATTGTAGAACGACTGGACTGTAAGCTCCTTGAGGGCAGAGAAAACATCTTACTCATTTATTGTATAGTCTTGGCTCAGTGCAGTATCTGACATGCAACAGGCACTGTTGGAACATAGAAAGGAGTGGGGGGTGGAGGGAGGAGAGAAAAGACAGAAGGAAGAGTTGGGGGAAGAACAAGTCAAGAGGTAAGAAAGGATGCTGGATCAGTAACGGCTCTCTAAAGAAACAAAACACATAGGATACATATGTGCATGCAAACATACACACATATACTAAGAGATTTATTTTAAGGAATTGGTTCATGCAATTGTGGGGGCTGGCAAGTCCCAAATTTGCAGAGCAGGCTAGAAGACTAGAAACTCAGGCAAGAGTTAGTGCTGCGGTCTTGAAGCAAAATGTCATTTTGAGAAGGAAACCTTAGTTTTTGCTCTTAATACCTTCGACTGATTGGATGAGGCCCATCTATATTATCAAGTAGTTTCCTTGACTTAAAGCCTAATTGTAGACGCTAACCACCATTACAGAATACCTTCACAGCAACATCTAGATTAGTGTCTTAAGTAACTGAGTACTATAGCCTAGCCAAGTTGACACATAAAACCAACCACCACAGATGCCATTCCAAGATGGCATGAGAATTCTAAGATGCTGAGAATAACTACTGTTAACTACAGTTCAGTAATTATTAATTACTGAAATTGATAGAATAAGGCACAGAGGCAAGGAATAGATCCTAAAGTTAGAAAATTAAACTTGACTTTGGGATTTGGCCAGGGGTCTGGGTGGCAGGAGATCCGACAGACATTACCGTCAGCTGAAGGCAGCTGAAGAAACACTGATATTATGGGGTTATCTATGAAGAATGGGGTATTCTTCCATGTGGAGCGGAGCCAAAGAGTTTATTAAAACTGCAGATTCAGGGGCCCCACTCCAAATCTATTTAAAGAGAATATCTAAGGCGGGTCCAGCAATAGGCAACTGGGACCTCCCCGGTGATTCTGATAAAACCAATCAACACAGTTGTATAAATCAGAAACTGGGGAACCACAGAAACTGGGGAACCACAGTTTTCTGGAAGAAAAATGACTGAGGAATCTCAAAGACATAGGTTCAAATTCTAAACCTACCACTCATTAGCTGCGTGCCTTTGAGGAAGTTACCTTCCCATGTCTTGGTTTTCCTATTTATAAAATGGGCCTCTTTGTAGAACAGCTAGGGCTGTTGAGTAAGTGAAATAATTTATGTAAGGACTTAAAATAGTCATCTTGGGGCAGTTAGTACCTTGTGCTCGGATAAAGAGTGTTAGGAGGCCGAACTAGCCTGACCGAGAACCGCAGCCTGCCAGCTGTTAGCACAGAGCTCATTGGTAACGGGAAGGGATTTGGAGCCCACCGTCAGGTTCCTTTGTGTCACTGCTGGTTCAATGGTATACTGTGCACCTGGGAAGCGCCAACCCTGCCTTGTGGCTCAGGAGATGCTACAGAATTCAGACGTGGTTTCTGAGCTTCCGGAAGGTCACTATTTCTAAGGCTGACATTTGCATGCAATGGTTGTACTTTGCTGCTTCTGTTTTTGCTGTTTTTTGTTATACCAAATATGTCAATAATAAGCTTCCTCATCTACACTCCCAGCATGTTCTGATAACAGCTGTGGGAACTATTGGTTTTTCTATGGCCACCAAGGCCTTGGACAACTAAACCCAAAACTCAAATCTGGCTCTCCCATATCACTTTGGGATTATAAACAGTCCCTTTTACGTGACCTCCAGGTAGCTGATGGCTTTTTAGAAAGTGGCAAAGTGGAAGGCAAAAGTATAGGCTTGAGAAACAAAAAGCTTAGCCTGGCCTTGCTGCTTCCCAGTTCTGATTAAGGAAAGTTGCTTAGTCTCTCTGAGCCTCAGCTTTGCTCTATGTAAAATAGAGATGATAATATCTGAGTTAATGGGTTGCAGGGATCAAACGGAATAGCCTGGCACATGGAGGTGCTGGGGTTCCTCCCTTCTGCTCTTCTTTCCTCGGGCTAGTCAGACCCCCATCTCTGCCAACTGCCCTGCATCCTCCCTACTCTATTTCTCTGGTCGATATCACTTAGATAGGACAAAACTCATTATACTTAAAAAGTTATTCTCACTCAGCTGTGAATAATCCAATATATTTAAACATGATACGTTTGCAACGTAAAAGAGATACGGCCAGCCGGGCATGGTGGCTCACACCTGTAATCCCAGTACTTTGGGAGGCTGAGGCAGGCGGATCATGAGGTCAGGAGTTTGAGACTATGCTAGCCAACATGGTGAAACCCCATCTCTACTAAAAATACAAAAATTAGCCAGGCGTGGTGGTGGGCACTTGTAGTCCCAGCTACTTGGGAGGCTGAGGCAGGAGAATGGCGTGAACCCTGGAGGCAGAGCTTGCAGTGAGCCACTTGGGAGGCCGAGGCAGGAGAATGGCATGAGCCCTGGAGGCAGAGCTTGCAGTGAGCCGAGATGGCACCACTGCACTCCGCCTGGGCAACAGAGTGACACTCTATCTCAAAAAAAAAAAAAAAAAAATGAGAGAGATACAACGTTGAATACCCTGTCTTCTTTACACACTCCAAACTCAGCCCCACTCCAGCTAAGTCACCTTAGACAAGTCACTTAACATCTCTGAACTTCACATTCTTCATGTATAAAATGGATGTTGTCCTGAGAGAAGCAAATGGGATAATAAGGCATGTGAAACAGCAATCCAACAACAAATGTTAGTCAAGCCAACTGACTCTCGGGCTGTGGGAATGTGTGCCCCAAAGGGGCCTTCTCCAAGCCCTGGTCTTTTCTGCTCCTCTCTCCCCAGCAAACTGGGCTGCAAGTTGGCACCACTCTTCTCAGAGGTTGGCCTGGCTGCAGGATCCCAGCAGCGAGTCAGAGAGTGCTGCCACAGACCGACATCTCAAAGGCCCCTGGCTTAGTCTGTTTTCCATTGCTATAACTGAATACCTGAGACTAGGGAATTTATAAAGAAAAGATATTCATTTGGCTCATGATTCTGAAGGCTAGGAAGTGCAAGAGCATAGCACTGACATCTGGTGAGGTCTTCATGCTATGCCATAACATGGTGGAGGGCACGATGTGGCAAGAGAGTAAGAGCGTGCGTGTCCACTCTTGGATTACAATTCTTCTACGGTTTATCCTCAGATGCTGTTTCACTGTAAGAAAGCCAGTTCCACTACAGCTAAGAGTCCTTTGTCCTAGTCCTTGAGAGAAGAGGAAGAGGTCTCTCTTCCTCTTCTTATAAAGCCACCAGTCCCACCATGGGGGAGCCACGCTGGTGGCCTCATCCAATGCTAATTTTACCTCCCAGAAATGCCACCTCTAATCAACAGATGAATTTGGGGATTAAGTTTCCAATACATGAAATTTGGGGGACACATTCACACTGTAACAATTCCCAAGCTAAAAAATCCTCAAATAATCAAAACCAACTGTCACGAACTAGAAATTATTAATTAGTTTAAGAATTCAGCTTGCACACTCCTCTTCCCACACCCTCTTACCACATATGTATATACCTTTTGATTCTCAATTTTCTCAGGACAGAGGAAACAGTGAGCTGACAGGTGAGTGCAGGTTTTATTCTGGAATCCATCTTCAAGGCCAGGATATGCTCAGCGTTGAATCTTCTGCCCTTTCTATTAGTAGGACAGGGCAGTATTTGGAAAGGGGCACTGAGTCATAGACAGATAGCCTATTTTGTTTCCAGCCCTACTTGCTAAGGCAGGAAAATGGATTGTACTCTATTTTACAAAGATGTGTGACTGCCCAGGTGAAGACAAAGGGGGTTTTCTCAGTAACACTCAGTTAATCAGAGAATTCAATTCACCACTACAGCCGTTGCCACAAACCTTGTGTAATTGAGTTGTTAGGCCGAGTGATTAAACATTGTCTGGGGGTGAAAGAGGGGAGAGTAGTGGGATTTATCTAATTAGATGATTCTCAGGGCTGGGGTGGAATAGCAAAGTCTAATAATAGTTAAGAACAAAAGCCAGTCTTCCCTGAGTACGTAACCATGGGCCAGGTACCACGCAAACACTTCGTGGATAATCACATTGACTTCTGGCCACACATCTACTTAAGGACTCCCATTTTAAAGATAAGGAAACTGAGGCTCAGAAAGGTGATGTGATTTGTTAAAGTCCTGAAAATGGCAGAGTCGTCTGACCCCAAATTCCCATATTTTATCCATAAAAATGGTAATATCAAAGCAAAATAGCAAATTAAATCCACTTTTATTGAATACCACTGTTTTGTAAGAATGAAAGGTTGAATTACAATTCTTCTACAGTTTATCCTCAGATGCTGTTTCATGGTAAGAAAGCCAATTCCACTACAGCTAAGAGTCCTTTGTCCTAGTCCCTGAGAGAATGACTTGGTACCTGGTAGAGATTAAGGGGAGAAGAGCTGAAGAAGTCCAACTCAGGAGTGAGGAGGACAGGGAGATGGGCACGTTTCAGAAGAATGGAGGGGACCCTTCTTCCCCTCTTGTTCCCCAATCCCGTACCACACTGCCTCATCCTGCCGCTCCTCCCCATATTATATCTCAGGCCACAGTTCTATGAAAACGCCATCAGAACCCCCTGGTGGTAGATGCGGATCTAAGCCAGCTCTGGAGAAAATATAAATCACTAATAAACATACATAATAATGTCCAACTTCATCACTGACGGTGGGAAATGGGAATAAAAATAAAAACAAGATGCTTTGGAGAGTTTTAAATGGAAGAAGGTTATGATCAAAATGCTTTCTAAATAATATATCTTTGTTTGATTAGAAGTTTTAACGCAGCATATTTCTCCCAGTATGTCTCCAGACGTGAAATCATTCAGATTTCACATTTTAATACCTTAGAAATAATAGTATTCAGCATTTATTAGAATACAACAGTAATGTACTTTAAATTGTATCTATATTATATAAACATTATACTAGTAGGTAATAGTATAGGATAACATAAATTATAACAGTTAAGTCCTATTATTTTACTATTATAAAAATAACGGTATTTTGCACCAACAATAATACCGGTACTTTTATACTTAAAAATGGTATAGCACCCATTATGCTGGAATTACCAAAACCAGTAATGCAATCGTGAACTGTGTTCTTGTTCTGTGTTACCTCCCATGAGGCCAGCCAATCTTTTTATAGCTTTTCTTAAAGACCTTTCTCTACACATTGCATTTGCTCCTTGCCTCAATGGTAGGAAACAGGAATTATTTGTATACCCATTCTGCAGACAAAGAAAAAAAACAGAGTCTCAGTATGACATGGTCTGGAAGTGTCTGAGCCAGGACTTGAACCCAGGTGTGGGGACTCCAAATCCCAAGCGTTGAAGCTATTTCCTGTGGTGTCTTCTCCTGATGCTCTCTTCCTACACAAGCACGGATCCTTGGTTGGAGATGTTTGCATACCAGCTCTTGCTATCCAACCTGCTCCTTTCCCTCAGCCGAAGAGCTCTTCCTCTCTCGGTGGAAAGGAAAAGCAAGAAAGCAGCCAGCAGCCAGGACTCGCAGGCACTAGCCCAGGCCTGGCTGGCATTCCAAATCTGGAGGTCACTTCCAGCCAAGGCAGAAGGAGATCGCGGTTGCTGCCACGATGGAAAAGTTACAGTCATTTTCCTTGGAAGGGTAGGGTGATTAATAAAGTACCCAAGTCATAATTTTTCACTCTGGGAAACCTCATGACAAGAACCGGGGAGCAAGAGGAGCACACACAGAGAGGCAGCACATTCTCTGCTCTCTCCACGCCCTGCTTCCCAGCTGCACCTGCTTTGAGGGCTGCACCAGTGCAGAAACACAGCAGCTCCAACAGAGACTACTTCAAGAAGGGCAGGCAGAGGCAGGAGCAGCTGCAGCACCTGCCCCTAGGGATTCAGCCCAGGGGGCTCAAGGATGGGAAGACCTGGAAGTCATAGGAAGCCAGGGCCAGGTGACAGTGGGGTCACAGAAGCAGCACTCAGCAGAGCTGAAGGGCATGGCCTGTTTCATGGACGTGTGACCACTGTGGTCACACGTGGTGAAATCAGCTAACCTGTGGTCCTGACCTCCCACCTCCTGCCTCCCCGAGATGGGTTCTCAGCAGCCTGTTCCCCCAACCCTGCCCTATGACCACTGCCACCCTCCAACCTGCTGGGGCATGGGGGCAGGGGTGGGAGGGTGGCCCCAGGTGAGGGTCTGTGCTTTTTGGTAAGGACTATGTTCTCAGGAGAGCACATACTATATAACAATAAATAAATAAATAAATAAATAAATAAATAAATAATAAAAGAAAATCCAATTTTCCTCCTTTTTGGACAAGAAGCCCCACATTTTCATTTTGCACTTGTCCCTGGACATTATGCAGCTGACCCTGCTAAAAGAGGTAGATATAACATAGGGAATCTGAGACTCAGAGACATAACATCATCCCCATCAGCCACCTGCCACAGAAGGGGAACCTCGTGAAGGATAAGTCATTTATTCTAGACACCCCCAACTCCTCTGGCCACACATCCCCTCCTTTTTCCCAGGCTTCTCTTTTCTGTTTCTGTTTCTCCTCCTTTCCTCCCATCAAAGCCAGATCTCAGCTGATTCCACACTGAAAGAAAGATATAACAAGTTATACAAAGATGTTGATCATGACTTAAGATACTTACCCTCCCAGGGAAACTAGAGCATTTTATAGTAAATGATGTCTTAACTCAAAGGAATGGTTTACTAATAAAGGGATTTCAAGTACTTTTAAAAGTGAGTTTGGTTAAAGCTACTAATGATAATAAATAGACATGATTTATTGAATGCCTGTATTTCCAGAAATAGGAAATAAACATTTTCTCTAATCCTTACATCAACTTGGGAAGGAAGATAATGTTACCTCTATTTTACAGAGAAAAAAACTTAGGCTCAGAGAGGCCCCTTGCCTAAAGTCCTACAACCAGCACATTGTAAAATGGGATTTGAACACACGTTTTTCTGACCCCTGACAGTAATTTTGGGGCAGCATCATTAGCATCCTGCTGCCCCTGTGCATAAGGATGGCACTGGATTTCAGGACACCACGAGGGCCTTGATTAAGAGAAATGGCTCTTGTAGGCTTCCAAGCCCAGTGGTCTGTAGGCTGCAGCCCACATCCATTCAGCCTGCTTGGGAAGTGAGGGAAGTCTTGGCATTGGAAATCCAAGCTGGCATCATTCATCAAGGGTAATGGGACTGAAAGAAAACAGCCCGGACTTCCACCCTGGTTCTAAACAAAGTTGAAATTCTCAGGTGACAGAGAATTCATTCATACAATAATTTTAAAATTATTTTAAAGTCATACTTCGTGAAAGCCATGGTGCTAGGCACCAGCAGCGGTCCAGGATAAACAAGATAGACCTGGTCCCAGGCCCCACGAAATTTACTGTCCTAAGAGGGCTGTGCCCTCCAAAGGCTTTTAACCACAAGCCAAATTAAGAAATACATTTTACAAGTCATCCCAACACACAGGACTGATCTACACGCATATAACGAAACAAAAATTTCACAAAGCATCACAAATCCTTACTACATATTAGGAGATCCATTATGTTCTGTTTCATTTTTTATAATACTGGTCATGAATAACTGAATTGATTTTTAACACTAACTGATAGATCACCAGAAAACCTTGTATCAGGAGATAGAGTAAGTACTAACATGCTAGGAAGTACCAAGTTTCTGGAAGCACATGGGATGAAGAATCCTCAACCCAGAAAGCTCAATCAGGGAGGGCTTCCTGGAAGAAATGACCTCTAAGCTGAGATGTGAGTCTGAGAGATAAGCAGGAGCCAGATCATGCAGAGATTTTTAAATCCAGCAAAGAAATTTGGACTTTATTCCATGAGCAATGGAAAGGCACTCACTGACAGCTCTTAAACTGGTATGGTAGTCATTAGAAGCATTGACATATGTGCCAGGGTAGCAATGCATTTCCCTCTTCCTTTTGACGTTAGATGCAGTCGTGTGACTTGTTTGGTCCAATGAAATGTGAGTCAAAATATTGTGTGCTTCTTTCTGTGGACGCTCTAAGTGCCAGTGGACACTGTGCCATGTTTATTTCCTCCTGCCAGAGTGGCTGTGAGGATGCAACAACTGATCGGGCAGAAAGGGACATAGTTTATTAAAGTTAGTGGTGAGTGTTAAAAAAGAAAAAAGGCATAGAAGGGGGATAGAAAAGCAAAGAAAGAGACCTCATTCTTCAGCGAAGAATTGAAGATGAAGGGAGGAGTTTGCCATGCAGGTATCTGGAGGAAGAACATACCAACCAGAGGGTGAAGCAGGCATGACGACTCCAGACAGGAGCGTGCCTATCATGTTTGAGGAAGAAGAGAGGGACCATCTTGGCTAGAGTGAGTGGGTAGTATTTCCAGGACCCTGATTTCTTAGTATTTTTTCAAGGAGCACAACTTCTGGGATCGTTGACCACAGAACACTCTTTGGGAAATAAGACCCTAGATTATCTCAGTTCAGAAAAGGGCTGATGAGTGGTTGAGGGACTCCTAGGGGCATATTTCAGAGAGGTTCCCAGAAGCTCACTTGCCAGGATCAAGGCTCCTGGTAACTTCTGCAAAAGTGGGATTACCTCCTATGGCCGGAGAGGACTGTTTTCAAACCTCCTCCTTCAGCTTTCTTCTGAAAAGCAACTGGGTTTAAGCAAGGAAGTTGCACTGAGTTGTGGGATTTTAAATCTTTTCTTGCTAAAAATATATCTATTGTGGAAAATCCCAAAAGATGAAGCGCATCCCTAACCTCAGGGGGTTGAGCACCCCTCCCTCACGTGCATGGAGCTGGGCTTCCAGCTCTTATCATTAGCAGTAATCTGAGGTCAGGAGGGGTTGCCTGGCTGTTCTCAACTACATGGGTTGCTTGCTGATTTCCTGGGGCCCTTGAGAGAAAACACAAATTCTGCTTTAGAGCAGTGTCTGTGTTTATTTATCAGTAATAATCCCCCCCTTAAGATTCTTGAATGCACAGTTTTCCCTGTAGTCCTAACACCACCTCGCCCTGATCACTCACAATGTCAGCGATGCAGAGGAGCCAGGAAATCACAGTCTTCTTCACCCCCATCCCAGCCAGGACCAAAGAAAAACAAAGCTCTTCTCCAGTATTTCTAGACCAAAAAAGGGCAGGAAGCTTCATCTCCCAGAAGCAGTGTGCGGTGACAACGGGGCACAGACCACCAGGGACCACGTCATTCCACCCCTGCTCCTGCTAGCCTCTGGCTGAATGGATATTCCCCATCACACATACGCATCATAGGGCCCGCTACCCTGTGTCTGCTCTGCGTCTGGCTCTGTAGGAAGGGGTGGCGTTGTGATCTCTCTCTGCTTCAGAATCACACACTGATCCCCAGGTGATCTACCAGTCACAGTAGGGACTCAGAGCTGGAGTATAGATGGATTAGAACAACCCCAATCCCAGCACTGGAGAATGAACTCAAGGCACATGAACCACCAACCATTTTAGCCATTTTATCTTCATCTGTAACATCAATTGAGCAGCTGCTGGGTGCTGAAGACCAAATTATGAAAATAACACATAGTCTGTGCCCACTAGGACAGGTATATACATGTAGATATGCCATATATAGTCCAGTCATGTATCACTTAACAATGGGGATACATTCTGAGAAATGTATCGTTAGGCAATTTCATTGTTGCGTGAACATCCTAGAGTGTACTTACACAAACCTAGATGGTACAGCCTACTACACACCAAGGCTGCATGGTGTCATGGTGTAGCCTCTTGCTCCTACGATACAAACCTGTACAGCATGTTACAGTACTCAATACTGTCAGCAGCTATAATATAATGGTATTTGTGTATCTAAACATAGACAAGGTTCAGTAAAAATATGACATCACAATATCATAGGACCACTGTCATATATGCAGTCAGGTGTTCACCAAAACTTCATTATGTGTCACATGACTGTATATGTGTATGTATGTGTACATGTGTGTATATATGTGTGTATGTGTATATATATCTATGAATGAATGATACATATACATATATGAAGGAATGACTGATAAAATATGGCTCATGCCATGTGATACATACGTGAAAAGTGAGAGGAAGGAAGAGTGACAGCTAAGGGGATGTGTGATGGAGACAGGAAGTCAGAAAGTGCAAGGACAATAACATTTGATTGGGCCTTAAAGGATGAGTAGTGGAGGGCAGCTCAGATGGGGAGAGCAGCCTGTGCAAAGGCGCTGAGATGTACCAATACTTGGCCATGTCACTGGACAGCGTACTCCACATTTCACATAGCCAATTTCAAAGTTCCTGGGAATCAATTCATTAGCCTATGGGAATTAGCTCTAACTGCCTCAAGAAGGGTGGCTACTTATTCTATTCCTGTTCCATAGGACCTCTGTCATCATCATCATATATGTGACTCAATCACATATATGTCTGATGCAACCATGTTCAGAGCCTGTGTCAGGCAGAGGGCCTACTAATAGGTATAATAATAATAACATCAAAAAGGATTTCTTGAACACCTACTATATGTAGATACCAACGGGGCTCTTTATGCTTATTCTCTAACTTTTTATCCCAATAAACCCATGGCATGACTGTTATTATTCCCATTTTACAGATGGAGGCACTGAAGCTCACAGGCATCATCTCTACTGCAAGCAACTCACAATGAGTTGCAGAAACAGGACACATGCTTAGAAAAATAAGCAGCAATTAACAGCAATGACTAACTTTCATTGAGCTCTTACTATGTGATAGACATGGTGCCAAGGGCTTTATATGCATTTGTTCATGAAGTTTTGCAACACCCCTGTGAGGTCAGCACTATTATTACATCAATTTTATGGAGAAGGAAACTGAAACACAGAGAGATGAAGTACCTGGCCCAAAATTACACAGTTAGTCCAACTATAGAGCCCATAGTGTGTGCTATGCTCCATGGGGTACCAAGGGCAGGTGCTGAGGAACTTAGATGAGGGAGCACACACTGTTGGCCTCACCAGTGACAGTGGCTAAGCTGAGCCTCCTAAAAAAGTATAGGCTTTAGATAGGAGAAAGAAGCTGGGGCAGGCCAGGGTAGAGTGTAGACTGGTTTCACTCCAAACTGGCTGTCTCCAAGAGGCTGCTCAGGGAATATCATCCATTCCGTTTGAGAATTCACCCCATCCAGGGTTTGACTGTCAATCTTGCAGGCCAGAACGCCTGATTTTCTCAGCTCACCCAGGAAAGAATGATATTACAGAGGCTATCTAATGTTAACATTTAGTGTATGTAAACGTGGAATGCCAGTTTATTTATTTTCATCAGGGACTGTGTTGTTCCTGGACAGAGTAGTTCTATTTATTCAACTAGTACATCTTTTCCCAACTCATAATCAAAACAATAAAAACAATAGCGAATATTTTATTATTACTCTGTGGTACACGCATGAAGCATTATCTGAGCAATGGAAACCAAACAAATAAGTGTAATATGTGCTGGCATCACACTAAGATGAACTGATGTTTCTGTCTTCCCAACAAGGATGGTGAGGCCAGTGAGGCTGAATTACCTGAAATCCAATGGCCATCATGCCCACTTCCATCGCTATAACACGGCTGGCCATAATATCGCAGGTCTGTTGGCCCAAACACCCTCTACTTTGTATGGTCACCGCCTCTGTGACTCTTTTCTTTCTGCCTTATGGCTGAGCAGAGTCACTTCTGATTAACACATGCTTCCTGTAGGTGTGTTAATACATTCAATCAGGTTACTGTCAAGTTGTGCCGCTGAGGGAACCATTCTGTCTCCTGAAGGTGACTTTGCATATCTCTGCTCTGTACAGATCTTAAAGTTTAATGCTTAACAGACAATACTAGTTCCCTTATCTACAGATTCTTGGAAGATGCCTCACTGTAGTGCTCTGTACAGGCAACAACAAGAAAAAGATACCAAACATACTAGAAAGCAATGAGTTTTACTAGGGCAGAAAAATTGTGCAGGGAAAATAAAAACTGAAGAGGTGGGTTGGACCACGGAGCGCTAAATGCCAGAATCATCACTATCAAAATCACCCTGAGTCCACTACTGCGCTGGATACTGCCTGGGGCAAAGCACATACACAAAAACAGTAAATCTATCTATCTATCTAGACACACACACACACACACACACACACACACACACACACACAGTTTCCCACCCTTCATGAGCTTTCATTCCAGAGCAAACAGTAACACATTAGCGATAAGATCATAAGTTCATTTTTTTAAGTTCAGGCATTCATTCAGTCATTCTACACATATTTATTCAATGCTTTCTGTGGGTAAAGTACCATACTCACAGAGGCATCATCATTCTAACAGTTGTTCTATCTCCTCTCCAAGCCTTAACATCAGATGGAAAAGACTCAGAAGGCAGAGGGACATTATTTCCACCCAAAGCCAAAGCCCAGTTAGGATTAAGAAAAGCTGATGAAGTTTGAATCTGATTCTGGATTGGAAGTTTAAACTTGACTGTTTCTCAAGTAAATTAAAGACTTTGCCTAAGTGCCAAAGGGCAGAAAAGGAGCACAGTTGAAAGCAGACATTGAAAGATAAGAAATTTAAACCAAGCCCATAGACATTGAGATTTTTTTTTTAATTGACCTAAATCTTCCCTACCCCACTCCCTCCACTGTGGTTTGATTCCCCACCGTTCCTCACCAGGACTCCTGCAAAGACCTCCTCACAGACCCACCCACTCCTGCCATAACCCAATTCACCTTCCAGACAACAGTCAGTCTGATTTTTGAAAAGCCTTCTGCCCATATTAACCCCCTGCTTAAAATCTTCTACCGCACTTCCATTGCTATATATAAAGACAAATTTCAACAGTAGAGTTTCTGGTTAAAAGGACATATTTGGGAACCAGACTCACTGAGTTTAATCCTGGCTTTGCCATGTACTAGTTGTTAGCTGGTAAGGTGTTGGCACTAGCTCTGAGCCTCAGTTTTCTCAGTAAAAGGGGTTTCTAGTGGAACCACCACCTCACCAGTTGCTGTGAGGATCAAGTGAGTAGGTATGTGTGAAGCTCTTAGGATGGTGCCTGGCACACAACAATCTCTGCCTGGTGCCCCTGTTGTTATTACCTTAGGGCGCTGGATAGCTAGAGCTTTGTTAACAAGGACTAGAGCAGGCTGCCAGGTAAGACTGGAGAGATTCCTTATTCCTTATTTCCTGGCATAGAGTCCCACAGGTAGGAGCCTGGCACATAGGAAGTTTTCAATAAATATTTGTTGGATGGACGGATGGATGGATGAATGAGTGAGATAAAATTCTCCTCCTAAACAAAAGCATTTGGCCCGAGGCCTTGAGTACTGCTTGTATAGGACCATGATGCCATCTGTGCATCTCCCCTTCCTCAGCTCTAACAGCTGCGTGGAAGGGGCTGTGGTAACTTAGCAACAAGGGCTTCTATAGAGACGAAGCTGCAGACAATGAGAGCAGTCACCCGGGCCCACCCTTCTCTTGAGTGCAGAGCATGTGTAAAAACGAACCTGTACCTCTGCCCTGGGCCCCTGCAGGGCTTGACACTGCTGTTAGGAGCAGGCCTGGCACACATTTACTCAGGGATAAGTGTAAGGAGTATCTTTAGCAGGCAAGCCTGGTCTTTCTGGATGCACAGAAAAGCACAGCATGCTCAGGGAGGTCAGCGGCAGGGTGCCCTTTGGGATGTCCTGCCAGGCCAGGGAGGCCTTTGGTAGTCCCGGCTCCGCAGTGAGAAAAATGCTGAATGTAGGGGAATTATAGGGGCATCCTCAAAAAAACTATATTCTAGCCATATGTGAGGTCCTAGGCTAGTGCCCAGAGGAGAGCTCAGCTCCTTCACAGGCCACAATGAGACAGACAAGATGCCCTCAGGAGGAGAATGGGAGAGGCTTGTTAGGGCATGGAAGACAGGGACAAGCAAACAAAGACATTAGACTGAAATATGCATAAAAGGTGCCCACCCCCAAAGAGCATTGCTCTGGACTAGAAGGGAGGAGGCACACATTGCTCCAGGCCTTGAGCTTTCCTTTGTAAAATGAGGAGATACACAAGGTGATCCCCAAGGTCCCTCCTAGAGCTATTGGCCATAAATCCATGCCAATTTCCATCTCACCCCAAAAAGCGACTCACTCATTTATATTCTGTAAAATCCCAAGTTCTTTATCCCAGCTCCATTCTTCTCTGACCAACCCAATTTTACCTATAACTTGCTTGGAAGACACAGATATTGGCATATTCTGCCCCCGCTTATCCCAACCTCCCACCCCCATAACCTGCAAATTCCTAAACTGCTCACCAGAATGTGAGATGTGTTAAAAATTGGTCTTCTGGAGCACAGGGTACGGATGTGAGACTGTTAGAACTAGCAGGCATCAAGGTGTCCGGAATCCAAAGGACACTAGGCGGGCCCTTTGAACCAAGCACCTGAAGCCACCATACATATGAGAGGTGTGGGGACTGGGGAAGCTCCAGGAAGGGAATCAAATGCTGAGGAAACTCCTGGAGGTGCCTTGGCCATTGTAATGGAGACAGGAGAAATGAGATGGGGGTCTGTTAGATGGCAGGGTGCAGCTCTAGTGTGACCCACCCAGCCCAGCTAGGCGTTAGTGAAAGCAGAGATTCAGGACTTGGTGCAGGGCCAAGAGCAGGCAAGGGCAAGCGGGATTGGGTGAGGGTGCAGGAGGAAAGTGCAGTTCAGCACCACCGCCACAGCAGCAGGGCCCAGCAGGCCTGCCTGCTCCCTTCCCGGTGTTAAGAAGCCTGTGCTGGAGAAGAGACCTTCCCAGGGAAATGCCTGCCAAAAGGTGGTCACCCATAATGAGGCAATAAATGGGGTAATTACTGGGTAATTGCTGGACCTCCAAGTGTCTGGGAAGCCGCGGGTGAGAGAACTTGGCCAACACAAGACCTCATGTCTCCCATGAGCTGGAAGCCCAGCTGAAAATTAGACAGTGTGGATGGACTAGGGAGAGGCTGCTTTGTGAACATGCACTTTATCTTTTCTTTCCTCCTTTTTTCTTTCCCCCTCCTTCTGGCACCATTTCAAGGCTGTCGGAAAGTGTCTGAGGCCTGCATTTTGGCTGGGAAGCAGAGGCTGCAGTGGTCTCCTGGTGTCTTTGAAGCTCAGACCCAATCCTGCCACACCTGCGCCTTCCCACTCCACCCTGCTCCACCCCACAGAGCCTAGACCTGCACCTGAGAGCTGTGATGGAGGCAACACCTTACAACAATCCTAAATCCAGGACCAGCATTGAGACAGGCCCTGCACCGCCCAGTCTATACAAGATGCTGATTTCATTGTGTTCCCGCTAGCTAGTGATTTGGGGTCCATATGCAGCTTCTTTACACAGGCCTTCTTCTCCATCCTCCTTTGAACTCCAGGGGCCTAACCCCTTGTAGCTTCCTTCTTCCAGTTAGAGAAGTTGGACTAGTTAAAAAGATGGGAGTGCTTAAACATGCAAAATGGAATCATTGAAGGGATCAAATAAAATGGGTTATTTTGCTTTGGCTAAGGGCAGGGTGGAGATTTGGGTGGAATGTGAAAATGAACACAATAATTTTTTGAGTATCTTTTATACGTTGTATGTCATTTTGTTAGTTTAGGAGCATTAAAAATGTATAACATAGAGCTTGTTCTGCTCATAAAATGATCCACTTTGGCATATTAAAATTTAAAGTATAGTTTATTCAGGCAGTAATTACACTTTTTACTAATTGAATTTACTCTTAAATATTTCAAAGTTTTGTAATAAATTGAGCTACAAGATACTGAGCCTCAAGGTATTTGCATTCAATGGTGTTTGACAAATAGGTAAAACCTCTAGAACAGAAGAAATCACCAGCATTAGAGTAAGATGGAAAGAAGATTTAGTTTTTTTATGTATTCTAGTGCCAAGAAGCACAATATTACTCAATGTGATCATTTGCTATTTATAAGGCTCTTTACATACATTACCTTATTTGATTTTCACAATAAAATTCTAAATAAAAAGAAAGGTGTGTGCACTTAAAGATAAGGAAAATGAAACTCAGAGAAACTAAGTGACTTGCTCAAGGTCACACAGCAAGTTGCCCAAGGACACGCAGAACTCAGGCGTGTCTATGAATCCCAAGCCCACTGTCAGAAGATTCCCTGACGTGCAGTATGTATATACAATGGAATATAATTCAGCCCTAAAAAGGAAGGAAATTCTGACACAGTCTACAACATGGATGCACCTTGAAAACATGATGCTTAGTGAAATAAGCCCAACACAAAAGGACAAATACAGAATGTGTCTACTTATATGAGGTATCTAGAATAGGCAGATTCATAGCAGTGGTTGACAGAGGGTGGGGGAAGGAAGGATGGGGAGTTATTCATGGGTACAAAGTTTCAGTTTGGGATGATAAGGGTTCTGGAAATGGATAGCACTGATGGTTGCACAGTATTGTGAATATAGTTCATGCCATTGAATTCTACACTTAACAATGATTATGTTGACAAATGTTTTGAAGATTATTTGGATGTAACTCTTGTCCCCAGGAATCTGTTTTATTTGCTGAGCTACTCCTTTCAGTACTTTCCACTTTTTCTAAATCTTTCATTTCTTTTTATTCACACACTTCTGAGAACCAAAACTCTGCCTTAGTTACTGTAAGATTCTCTTCTGTTCTGTACCGACCTACACCAATTGTGTTCTTTCTGCAGACAGTTAAAGGCGATGCTCTCATTCCCAGTTGGTATGTTACAATAAGAACAAGTTTCAGGCTGTATTCTCCCATGCATACAAATATTTATTAGCAAGCTGGCCCCAAACACATAGCCTATCCAGAACACTCAATGGAATTCTAGCCTTCTGACCTTTTTAGTCTATGTGATAGCACATTGCATGAAGATGTAGCAATATTCTAGTGGTGGGTTAGGAGTCAGGCTTTAAAATTCTCTGATTAGTGTCTATAAATAGGACTGGTTTAAAATCTTAGGGCACCATTGCAAAAAGCATCTGTTGCCACTGGACTTGCTAAATTTATATACCTTTCCGCGCAAGGGCAGGGAGAGCTCTTGTATCTGATACTTCTGGCCAATACACACATCTCAAACTACTTGTTTCACCCAAGAAAATTATTTCTAACATCCATTATGCTAATTAGCAAAGCTCTGGTCTTGATAGGATATAAAAATAGCTGGAGGTCTTCCAGGAGCTGCCTAGGGAATGTATCTTCTGCTTGGAGTCTTTCAAATGTTAACTAACCACCCTGAAGTGTGTTTTCCTGATTAGAATTCTTCACATGTTAACTAATCACCCCCTAGAATTTGGATCAAAAGAATATCTCACAGTTAGGGTTGCCAGATAAAATATATCTAATATTTGGGACATACTAAGAAATTATTTGGTATTTACCTGAAACTCACATTTAACTGTGTTCTGTATTTTATTTGCCAAATTTGGCAAGTCTACTCACAGTCTGTACTGTACTGAGGTATTTTAAAATGAACTACAGACAATATAACATATACCTTTTGGATTAAAAAAATACTTTTTTAATGGAAATGTCTTTTAGTACAACTTTTTTTATCATGTATTTCTTTTTAAATTTTTATTTTAAGTTCAAGGGTACATGTGCTGGATGTGCAGGTTTGTTACATATGTAAACGTGTGTCATGGGGGTTTGCTGTGTAGACTAGACGAAAATAATATTTTAAGTTATTGTTTCCCTGATTTGACTGTGACCATTTCCAAGCATGACTTTTCTCCTGCTGCAGATTTAGACAGTTCTGAGCAGGTGTAACAATAAGCTAGTTGTTTTAACATCCACAGAGATGAATAGATGCTCCTGCCACAATCCATGGTCCATCACTCCCAAAGCTTACATGCCTACCCACTGACATTGAAATCAGAATTCAGCAAGAGCAGACCCACAAGCAGAACAAGAAGTTCCTGAATCTCTTTTGTGTGTGTGTGTGTGTGTGTGTGTGTGTGTGTGTGTGTGTGTGAGAGAGAGAGAGAGAGAGAGAGACAGAGAAAGAGAGAGAGAGAGAGAGAGAGAGAGAGAGAGAGAGAGAGAGAGAGAGAGAATGGTATTGCCCCTGGATGCAGAACAGTGCTTTACTCTTGCATGCGAGAATAATACTGTACTGCTTGTTCCTGGTGGACAGGAATTACAATGATCTGATATTCTAGGTAGTTTCACATTAAAGTCTTTTCCTTGCATAGAGGGATTTAGAATTCACTGGTGGAGGGTGGGGAGAGAGCGGAATAATAAAGACAGGATAATAGCACCTTATCTGAAGGATTTTCGTCATCATCCTAAAATAAAATAAATTTTATTTTCCAGAATTTTTCTAATTTTAATTCTTAACATTGTTCAGAGAGGAAATTCTCAGAGCAAAAATAAAATAACATTGCCCTCCCTCCATTCCCATCCCTAAGTATTTGAGGAGGGGAAAAAACAGGAGGGAAACCTTTTCTTTTCTATTTAGTTGGAGATTAAAGGGATCATCTCAAATGTCCCAGAGAAGGTGAATAGTTAAAAAAACAATTAAATAAGAAAATAAGAAGGCAGCGTCCAGGCCCCACCCCTGTACCCCAGAGCCTCCCAGGAAAGGTCACCAAGCAGGTCAGATCCCCTGCAGTGGGCCCAGGGAGGCCGGGCTCCTGCCACCTCACTCCCTGGGCTGCAGCTTAATAAAGCTTAATAAAAGGTGTGATTACCATGGCAACCTCAGAAACACTTTCAAATAGATGGCCAATTATTATTCACTCATTTACTGTTTATTGTAGCGATGCCAGTCACAATGAACTCCAGGGGTGCATTAATGGAGATGTGATCTGGGCCTGGGGCCCTTGGGGAATGACATAGTAATGCTTCATTCATTAGCATAGTGCGTTCAAGGTGGGTGGGCACACTGTTTCTCCCTTTGGTGCCTTGCCACCCAGTACAGCCACAGAGAAAAGTGTACACACACACACACACACACACACACACACACATATATACACGGTGCCCCCAGTATACACCCAGGTCCCCAGACAGGCAGAAGGACGGAAATCTTTGCTCAGCCCTGGCAGGAGTTTTAATATTTCTCACCCTTCCCAGTGGACCTTTTCCCCATTTCAAATTCGATAAACAAATACATTGCCTCCTTAAACCTGGGCTCAGCTCCCAAGGGAAGATGTACCAAGCCTGTTTTCCCTTCCGGAAGGCCTTTGAGGTAGGCGGTTGAGAAGACTGGGAGGGAAGAATATAGTGAATGAATGTTTCTCGTTTTATTAAAACTCTCAACCCCACTCCCAGCCTTGCCCCTGCTGTTCCTCAAGACCTGGCAACCTAAACACACATTCTCTTCATCCCAGAGAGTCTAGAGGCGCAGGCAGGATGGCTTGTGGAGATGTTCCTGTGTGTTTTATTCCTCAAGTAATTTTCTCTCCCTCTTCAAGAAGGTAGCAGGTCATTTCCTGAACTGTAAGGGATGGAAAGACAGCTTCCACCACTGGCTTCTCAGATGGATTGTACCAGGCCTTCCCAGAGAAGCAGAGGAACGGGGACTTTCCAAAGTGAGATGGGGATGGGGGGTTGGGAAGTGGAGGGCTTCAGAGGGAGTGGCTCATGGCTCTACCTGAGGAGCCTCAGCAGATTCCTTTCCCATCTCTAAGTCTGATGCAAAAGCAACAGAACCATCCACCCTTCGGGTTCAAGGAGGACGGGAAATGATTATGTCATTGGGGACCAGTGAGTACCCAGGATCAAAGGACTTCTCTAGTGCTGGCTCTGTGCACAACCTGGCCCAAGGGAAGGGGGAGGGTGGGAAAGCGTCCCTGACACCTTGGTGGGATGGAAACTCAACACCAGATTTCATTTAATTTAATCAAGTAGCATGACGTTTCCTGTATACCAGAATGCATGGTAAAATCCAGACCAACTACTCGCACCAGCAGCTCCAGATGCCCGGCAGACCCCACCTCAAGGTGGCCTGTTCTTTTGAGGGCAGCTAATTATTGCCCTGCCTAGGTCATTCTGGGGTCCTGAGGCTCCAGGCCCCTACCCTGATTCCTGTAGCAAATGCCACTCAGTGGTACCAGTCAGGCCCAAAGACAGTCGGGGGTGGGAAGACATGAGAGTGACTCACTTGTTTTTGCTTGTCTCTGCCTCTGCCCATGCTCATGATGTGGGGGCAGTGTTGAAAAGACTATCCTGACACTTGTTAAAATGGTAAGGAAGACTTTCTGCAGGACTATCACCATAGGCAGCAAGACTATTGCAATAGGGGAGAAAGATTGGGCTTGACTCTGAATACAGCAAGGACAGGTGGGGATTGATAGCCAGTGAGCAGAATGTGGGGAGTTGGTGGACCAAGGAGAGGAGAATTCTTGCTAAATCAACTTAATGGGATTCTTGCTGAAGGCAGACTAGGGTGCTCAGATATCAAGGGTGGAAGGATTCCTCCTAAATTAGCTTTCTGGGAATTTACTAATATTAGACTCTGCAGAGACAGACAGACAAGGAAGACCAAGGCTAAAGACTAGTAGAGAAGAAGGCTCAGAGGAGCCAGACTCAAGTTTGGCCAGTCAGAGAATCTTCATCACTAGTCACTGGAAACGGGCTCTAGGGAAGGAAGAGCAGAACGAGAAATTGGTCTGGGAGGGGGTTATCTTTGTTTTCTGGCAAAATCAGACAGCACTCAATGGGCAGCCACTTGGGAAACAGTGTGCTTATCAAGCAGAGCTCTGCGAAGCCTGGGTAAGGCTATCAGGGAACTGTTTTCCTGCACTGGGTTTAGGCTAGCTGCAGGGACCCTTGCAGCCAGCATGTTAAAAAGTCAAGTCATTTCGGATATCCAAGAGATTTTTCTGCCCTAGGCCTTTTCTCGGTAGCTAAGTGCTGGCCAGGGAGGGATTCAAATACTGCCTTTACTAGTTTTGCTCTCTGTTGACCGTGGACACAGACACAGGGTGTCTGTACACAACCCCTTGGGAGTTCCGTTTCTTCTTTGGGAAGGTGCGGATGATCATGTTTCCCCCCTCATTCATTGTAACAATGTTTGTAAAGCCCAAGAGAAGTGCTCAATCAATGCAAGCTCCCCTGCCTCACCCAATCTGGGAGGACCAGTTGAGGCAAAGGCTCTTCTGCCCATCTCAGAGTCCCGTAGAGAGACCTACAGCTCTCCTAGAGGCACAGCGCCCTGCTCTCTGAATGATCTTCTTCCTCCTGACTTACATCCCACCTGTGGATGATGCTTATTCCATCTGGCCAATTCCTGCCTTACAGGAATTCCTGGGAGCTCAGTCTACCTTCTCCAACTTTTTCTTTTAATGGTGGTGAGATGCTAGAAGCAGTGGCACTAGGGCCTAAATGTAAGTGCCACCTTCAAATTCATATGTTGAATCCTAACCCCCAAGGTGGCAGTTTTAGGAGGTGGGGACTTTGGGAGGTGATGAGGTTGAGAGTGGAGCCCTCAAAAATGGGATGAGTGGTTTTCTAAACAGGACCCAGAGAGCTAGCTTGACCCCACCATGCAAAGACATAGCAAGAAGGTGCTCTCTATGGACCAGGAAGTAAGCCCTCACCAGACACCAAATCTGCCAGTGCCTTTATCTTGGACTTCCCAGTCTGCAGAACTGTAAGAAATAAACATCTGTTGTTTATAAACCACCCAGTCTGTGGCATTTTGTTAGAGCAGCTCAAACTGGTGCAGACAGAGGGGGAGTGGCAGGGCAGCAGGGACGTCAGGAAGCCAGAAACCTGTCTGTGATCCCAGAGTGAGGTGATGGTGGTGCCAAGAGGTTGTTATGACTCTTGGCTCTCAGTCCAAAGATCCTGAAGCCATGAGAACCAAGAGAGTTTTCGAGGGGTCAGGGGTGGGCAGGGGTCCCACAAAGAACAGTTCTCAGAAAGCAAACCCAGGTGAGGAGTATGTAGGGGGTCGTCTCTGGCACTTTGGCCTGACTTTCAACAATAGCCCTAACTTTAACTCAGCTCAACAAACACTTATAGAACATTATTTTATGTGCCATACACTGACTGTACAAGACATTAGGAATACAAAGATAAATAAGAGTCACTCTCTGCCTCAAGAAATTTACAGCCTAAGGAGAAATCAGGAATGCAAACAAATAAATTCTAATACTCTCTAGGATAGGTGCTGGAACGGCTATCTAAGGCTGATGCTGTGGGACCACAGGATAGGACTGTGGGGTCAGCCTGGAGGGTCAGGGGAGGCTACACGGAGGAGGTGAAAGTTTATTTCCCCATTCAGAGAATGGAGTAAAAACCGTGTGTGCAGGGCACAGAGGTGTGCAAACACATGGCCTGCTTGGAGAGGCAAGTGTTTCGGAGGCAATTGTCAGAAGATGAGCTGGAGAGATAAGAGAAGGAAGCCTGAGAAGGTCTTTGAAGGGCCACCTAGGCTGTTGGAATTTTAGAAAGGCCACTTTGATGGTGGCCTGGAGGAGGGCTTGGGTGGGGAAGGGTGAGGACACCCCTGCGGTAGCCTTAGAAAGAGACAAAGCCAGTGTGGAGAAGTAGAGCTGAACCTTCTCGGCCAGGCTACCTGGGCTTCAGTTCTGGTTCCCACTCACTGTGTGATGCTGGGCAGGATCTTCAGGCTCACTGACCCCCAGGATGCCGTGTGTAAAATGAAGATACTAGGGAATATACCTTTGTGATTCTGGTGAGAATTAACAGAGATAATATTATCAGCTGCCTGATATCAGGGGTCCTGGCTCACACTGCAGGCACTCAATTAAACAAAGGGTCATCTTACGGCAAAATCGCAGGAGGGATGAGTTCGAAGTGAAGCACATAGAATAGCGTCTAGCACATAGTGGGCACCCAAATCATATTTGCAGTCTAACAAATTGAATCAAGGAGAAGAAGAAAAAAGGAGTCTAAGATAATTCTGAAAGCTCCAGAATGATCTCTGGATGGTGCTCTGACAGCCAGGGGGAGGTGCATGCTCAGGGATGGGTGGATGTGGCTTCCTTGGGATCTTACTTTTCTGGCTCCCATGTTCCACCACCCATTCTCCCCAGGTCCTGCAGGTGGCTTCATCCCTGACATCACAATCAGATGACTTTCTCCCTGGGGAAGGTGCTGCTCCTAGCTATATTTAATTCTCTATCCCATTTTTTAAAGGAAAGAAAAATAGATATTCCTGCGGGTACAACCCTGCAGCTTTCTGTGGGTGGGCGGCCATTCTGATATCTGGTGAAAAGGGATAGAAACAGGAGTCAAGCTCAATAGCAGAAAGGGAGCGAATCCATACTTATTGGGTACCTTCCATGTGATGGGCTCACAGCATTATTTTATGTAATCCTCGCAATCAGCTTGTGGGTTTTGGAATTATTATTATCATCCACATTTCACTGAAGGGGAAAATGAGGCCCAGAAAAAATAAGGAATTATTGTAAGGTCACACAGCTAGTGAGTAGGGAAAACAGGGTCCAACCATATCTACCAGGCTTCAAAATCCATGCTTTTTTTCCACTGCACCTTTCTAAAGACCCAGGGGCTAAGATAGTAAAAGGAAAGGACAGTAACACAAACACTAAAAGAAAGTGTCAGAGTATGAAAGAATAAAGAGTGGGTGGGGTGAGGGCACCTTTCTGGTGGGTCCCACCCTCTAGCCTTGAATGCGGCAGCACCTCTGGGCTAAAGCTGGTGCACTGTCTCCTTGGATGGCAGCTACGGGCCCAGGTCCTGCACTGGGCATCTGCCTGGGTCACTCACTGCCCTCTCCTCTTAGATCTCTCCCTCCACCCTCCTCCCTGCCCCAGAGCTCATAGGAAGCTGGCTTTCTTCACAGAGGCTCTCCTTGTTGCCAGCTGCTCACTTAGAGTCCTAGAGGGGCTGAGGCCAGCACACCAGGGACTAATCCCCAAAGACAAACAGACTGGACTGGTTAACCCAGACCTCTTCATGCACAGATTTAAACACTGAATGAGCTCCTGGAACCTCAGAGGCCCAATTAGGCCCAAAGAGACCCAGTTAAAGAGGGCCCTCTTCTGAGAGGCCCTCCCTGACTGCACCATCTGGAACAATGATTGTTGTTTTTATTGAGGGCTAACTATGTACCAGACAGTATGCAGAGCACATTACATACATTTCCTCATTGGATACTCAAAGCAATCAAGGTAGGTATTACTGATCCCATTTTAGAGATAGGGTGACTGAGGCTTAGATGGGTTAAATAATTTGCCCAAAAGCCCACAGCTAGGAAAGGAGGCAATGACAACATCTGAACCCAGGCCTGCCTGACTCCAAAGCATTCTTTATTTTTGTACATTATGATACGCTCTGTCTTACAAATATCTCCGTGTCCCCCACAGTGATGAGCCATATGGCAGGTATTCAACAACGTCTGATGAGCGACCAGCTGATTAATAGGGCATGAAGATGCTGGAGCAGCACCACCCACAGGAAGGGTGATTGGGTCCCACTAAGGAGGAGGGGCTGTGTGGACAGATCTGGGGAGTCCTACCCGGCCCTGCCCCGCCCTGCCCTCATCTCATTTACTGCTGAGGATGCGAGGAGGAAGGACAGGTCCTGGAAACAGAACCAGGTGATACCTTTGTTCTTTATCTCGATGGGCTCCCTCCAAGTGTCATCTGAAGCAAGTCACTTTGACTCTCCAAGCCTTACTTTGTTCATCTCAAAAATGAAAATGACAATTCTCTGCATAAGACACAGGGCTTCCTGGGACTTAATGAAATAATGGATATGAAGTGCTTTATAAACTGTAAAGCACCACACAAATGTGAGGCTTTGTGCTTAATTATAGGTGAGTGCGCACATGCCCACACACCCACATCTCTAGGCACCCATGCATTCATTCACACTCACAGGCTCTTGCTCCAAAGACAAATTAGCATCACGATGCAGCCCCTTTGAAAGTCCCATGCTGGGACCTCCCTGCACCTTCCCTCCTCCCTTTGCCATTACCCACTTAGACTGAGTGGGTTTGGGAAGATTGAGGAGGGGCTGAAGAGTTTCAAGGAGAAGCAGGTGGGTCTGGAACACAGACTGCTCGACCCACACCTGCCTGCTTTCCCTGCTGTTTGCGTTTGTTTGCATTTCCTTGACACACAGGCACCTGGGAACCACAGCGGCAGTCTGCTCCCTCAGAGGATGCTCTGTAGAGCAGGACTAACTCTGCATGGGAGGTTCAAATCCAGCAGCTTCCTTTGGCGCCTACAATTCATTCATTCATCCTCCCATTCAAAAAAAATTATTGAGCACCTACTATATTGGCACAGAACTGCACCTTCATGCTGGGAATCCAAAGACAAGGTAGTCAATTCCTGTCTTTGAAGCTCACAAAGGCAAACAAAGGAGCCGAGGCAATGAGCTGTGGAACAGCAGGCACATCCCGGAATGGCAGGAGGCTCCACAGGCTATGGAGTAGATGGGCTAAGCACAGCCAGATGATGTGACACTGAAGAGGTCAAAGGCAGGGCCCCAATCCCAAAAGACTTTCATGCCACACCCACAAGTTTGGACTTTATCCTTTGAGCAAGACTTTATCCTTTGAAGGAGATTGGAGAAGGGAGTGGCAGGAGCGAAGTGGATTTCCTTTCCTTTTTCATATAATTTTTTCCCTATTACCATATTCCCCTTCAAAATTAATAGCAGTTACGTAAATGTACTAAAGCCAGTGAAATAATATAATTGGTTTTATAAAGAAAACTTTCATAATTTCTCCCACCCCACTTCTAATTGCCCCAGTAATCTCTATACCAGTGGGTCTCAAAGTGCATTCCCTGGAAGAGCAGCGTCAGTATCCTCCCGGAGCTTGTTAGAAAGGCAATTTCTTGTGCCTCACTCCAGACCTATTAAATAAGAAGCCTGGGGTGTGCCCAGCAATCTGCTACTGTCCTTCAGGTCATTCTGACACTTATAAAAGCTTGAGAACCGCTGTCCTAGAGCACCCCAGGTGCCCAGTCATTCATCAGGCAAATATGAACATGTAGACATATATGCCGTTTTTAAACTACTAGTTTCTTGAAAAAGGCATCATATCCTTTATTCAGCAATCTGCTTATGTCATGTTGTGATACTCCTTCTAGTCAATAGACACAGAAATATTTGTAAATATATGTATAATTTCCCAGCGTATGGTTGTAGTAACATTTATTCAAACATTTATGGTTGGATATCAAGGTTATTTACAATTATGTCAATACCTAAAATAATGCTACAATAACTCACATAACTCACGTAGTCTTACATACCAGTGCTTTTATTTCCATAGGATAGACCACCCCCCAAAAAAGTAGGACTGCTGAATCAAAGGTTATGGTGTTTTGAATTTTAATAGATTGCCATCTTACTATCCCCTAACATTGTAGGAATATACCGTCCCATCAGCAAAACAGAAGATGCCTGTTTCATCACATCCTCACCAACTCTTAATCTTGTAGCTCTTCACATCTGCATTTTAGAAAGATCACTACAGCAATTCAGTGGAAAATAGATGTGATCCAATGGGGGAGAAGTACCACTGGAGGCCAAGAAACCAGTTAGAGGATTATTGGATTAGCCCAGGTGAGCGATGATGAAGGCCTGGATTAAGAGAGTGGCCGAGGATGTGGAGAGGAGGGGTCAGATCAAGGGAAGCACTTTCACTAATTGGTTCATTTCACCTGCCTGATAATGTGCTTTACAGATGAGGAACCAGGAGAGTTTGTTGTGGAGATCTTGTGACTTGCCTACATGTCCTAGGATTGCTGATCATTTACTAACCCATCTAAAGCTCATTCTAAGGGAATCCACCCCACTCCAAGCCCCCTGGGTAGCACATGACTCTGTTTTTCCAGCCACAGATGACTGATGAGGGGCGGGCATGGGACCTAAGAGTAACTGATCCATAGAAAGGCTAGTGACCTATGCTCTTGGAGGCTGAGGACGAAGATCAGGCTCTTTCTGGGTTTTGAGCAAAAACATTTAGAGGAAAATTGCCACTGGTGGTTGTATTAGTCTATTCTCACATTGCTAATAAAGACATACCCGAGACTGGGTAATTATAAAGGAAAAAGATTTAATTGACTCACAGTTCCACATGGCTGGGGAGGCCTCACAATCACGGTGGAAGGCAAGGAGGAGCAAGTCACATCTTACGTGGAGGCAGGCAAGAGTGAGCTTGGGCAGGGGAACTCCCATTTATAAAAAAAAGTCTCATGAGACTTACTACCATGCGAACAGTGTAGGGGAAATCCCCCATGATTCCATTATCTCCAGCTGGCCCCAGCCTTGAAACGTGGGGATTATTACAGTTCAAATTGAGATTTGAGTCAGGACACAGCCAAACCATATCAGTGGTAGTGGATGGTAAAACAGAAAGTTTGCGCAAAGATAGGGCTAAGGATGATGTGGGCACAAATAAGGTGAAATTATTAGGTGAGTAGAAATGAGAAGTAAGCAATGTAAGCTGACAGAATGGAGACAGAATAGAGCAGATGCACACAAAAAGGCCAAAATGCTGAGAGCGAAAACCCAGGCTGCCCAAGGGAGGCAGAGAAGCTGTTCCCAGGGGCTACTGTGAAACTAGACTCACCTTCACTTGTCTCCCACAAGGCTCGCGGAACCACAGCCCTGCACACCTACGAGACTCCACATCCTTGACGGCCCCTCCCTCCCCTTTTAGGGGTCTCTGTTCCTTACAACCCACAGCTCTGGCAAGAACAACAGGGCCACAGGGTTCTTGAGTATTAGAGTTCACATTTACCAAATCTAAAGTTCTTTTGACTCAAGCTACCCAAATTAAAAATAGTACCTTGGTATATCATTTACAAAGTGCTTTTTGTCTACATTATTTATTTTAATCTTTTCCCCATGAGGAAACAGAAAGTCAGAGAAATTAAATAACTTCCACAAGAGAACACGGTTAATAAATGGAGGGGGAAAGACTTGAATCCCGGCCATCTGATTCCAAACCCCACCAGCATTCCACTCCACCGTGTGAGATGCACCAGAGCCACAGGCCTGCTGCTCTCCTCCACTCCACTCCCCACCTGTGTCCCCTTCATCCCATGGCTGTGGTTCCAAGACCTCCTGCTCTGTGCTTCAGCTGGGGGATGAGAGTTCCAGTTCACATAAGATTTTTTTTTTTTTTTTTTGAGACGGAGTCTCGCTATGTCACCTAGGCGGGAGTGCAGTGGCGCAATCTCAGCTCACTGCCAACTCTGCCTCCCAGGTTCAAGAGATTCTTCTGCCTCAGCCTCCTGAGTAACTGAGATTACAGGCATGCACCACCACGACCGTCGAATTTTTTGTTTTTAGTAGAAATGGGTTTTCACCATGTTGGCCAGGCTGCTCTCAAACTCCTGACCTCAAGCAATCCACCTGTCTCTGCCTCCCAAAGTGCTGGGATTACAAGCGTGAGCCAACACGCCCGGCTCCAGTTCACATGAAATCTTAACAGATCCAAATTTCCAACTCATGACCCACACCTGGAGCCTGAATGTTCTCTGAGGAGGTCAGAGAGAGAGACACCTCCACCACTCTAGGGGGTCCTCCCTAAGTGTGTGACTCAGGGACTAAAGTCTCCATACCTTTAAGGCTTTTCCTCAATTAGATCTCTGTAAAAACACATCTATTTTCTTGTTGAAGTGAGTCATTAGCCTCCACTGAGACAGGAGCATGAATAGGTTTAAAAACTAAAAATAACTAACATTTATTGAAAGTTTATTATGCTTCAGGCATTGTGCTAAGTTCTTTACATAAATTCATTTAAAGCTCCCAATAACCCTATGAGGTAAGTATTATTATCCTCACTTCTCAGATAAGGAAACTGAAGCTAAGAGAGGTTAATTAACTTGCTCAGAGATACAAGGCTCATATGCAGTGGAACCAGGATTGGAACCTGGGCAGAGCACCCTCCCTAAGCCTGTCAGATTAGTGGGATCTTCTTACGGAGTGTGGGCCCTAAGGAAACGGATGGTGAGAGAGGGAAGTCTGCGGGTGAACAGCGAGGGGTGGGGGACACCCACAGTGTCTGGATCTCCTCAGGAGATAAGACATGGGCCAGGGTGTTAGGAGGTCCTGAGCATCTGGGGACAGGCCAAGGGCACTAGGTGACCAGCTTGGAGAGGCAGAGCAGAAAGAGGGATGAGATTCCACAAGGAGGAGAAGGGAAGGAAGAAATGGGTCCGATGAGGCAGAAACAACCCCTCTCCACACACTATTAGCTGTGGGCCAATTGTCATCCCTCCTAGTTGTCAGTCACTCTAAGGCTGCATCAGGACCAGTCTAAGGGACAAACAGGTACCACATCCCCAGCAAAGCCCAGGGGCAAAACATCCCACCTGGCCCCCACCAATCGCCACCCCAGCCCCTTCCCAGGGAAACTCTATAGGATTCCTGGTCTTCCTTCCCTGGGACTTTGCCAGCATGGCACTTACCCCTGGCTCGGGGATCAGGAGACCCTGGGTCTTGACTGTAATCTACCACCTGTGTGGCCATATAGCCCTGTGGAAGTCAGCTCTCCTCTCTGGTCTTGAGATGCCCCTCTGGGAAATGAATGCATTTAATGATGCTGTGATCCAGTTCCAAGTGCCCTGAAAAGGGAGAAGATCCTTGGCTCCAGAGCTAAGAGGACGTAGGTTCAAGTCCAACCTTGTCACTCACAAGCTGCATGACTTTGGGTGAGTTACAGACTAGCTTAGCACCTCACTTTCCTCTACTGTGCAATGGGATAAGCTGCTCTGCCTTTAACCTAGGCTTGCTTAAAGTGATGAGAACATGCTATGAAAACACTGTGAGATCGGTAAAGTTCTGTAGACACACAACCATGAGGACTAGATATCTGTGATTTCCTCCTTCCCCAGCCTCGCCTGAAGTTAGACCTGCCGGGATCTTATACCCCACCTCCAAAGCAGGCAGAATCCAGAGGATGGGATGGAGCCAGTGTCACCTTGTCCCAGGCCAAGGTCCACTCAGAACTTCACCCAAGGCAGGTGTACTCCCAACACAAGAGGTGGCTCTCCTTTGCCACAATTCCCAGAAGACTCTATGCCTCTCCTCTATCCCAATATTTGCCACAATTCCCAGAGGACTCTATCCCCTTCCTGTATCCCACAATTCCCAGAGGACTCTATCCCAATGTCACCTCTGAAAGTCAGTTCTGTTCCGTGGGCTGTAGTCACCTCCAGGTTGAACTCGGGGCCATGTGGGTTTGCAACAGGAGGTGCCCAGCCCCATCTGTTCTGGAAAGCAGAAAGAGCTCACTTCACAAACATCTCACAGTCCATTTTTCAAAGTTTGACGTAAATTTGCAGCCTTAGATTGGTTTTTGTTTCTCCGTACTTTGTTTTCTTTTTCGTGATGAATGGTTATTGTCAAGCTGGCTTAGAAGAAGCGATAGGCAGAAGGTGGGGGCTGGGGTGGAGATAGCACAGTGGTGGGTTTCACGGTTGGGTTATTGTTTGCATTTCTTTTTTAGGGACGAAAATGGAGTGGGAGGTACCCGAGGTCACAGCTGGGTCACATGAGATGTATACCAGGGTCATGCTGTAGCTCTCTTTCCCCTTCGTCCAGGCCGGGAGACACTGAGACCTCTGCCCCTTTCTGTCCCCACAAGTACATGCTGGTCTGGGAGACAGGCGGCATGTCACGGCTGCAGCGGCTGATGCTGTCAACTCCAGATAAATACAACCAAAACAGACCCAGAAAATTATTTCCTCTTAATGGAAAAATTATCAGGCCCTGAGCAGCCTGATCTAAGGGCTTTTAGAAGTGCACAGAGAAATATACTTGGGGCTTCTCTCAGCCCTCTCCTCCCCACTTCCCCTTTGGGGAGGGCTGTGCAGACACCACCTCCTCCCAGACTTCTCTGCTGGGGCAGGGCATGCACCACTGGCTTGAAGACAACAGCCTCTCAAAGATCTTGGATTAGGATCATGAAGACTGGCTTTCTTAGAGTCTTCAGAGGTGTGAGTTTAAAAGGACATTGGAAATCTTCCTATCCATCTCTCTCATGTCCCAGATAATTAAATTGAGGCCCAGAGAGAAGTGACTTGCCAAAGGCCACTTAGCAGCTGGACAAGAAATGAGATTTTTTATTCCCAGTTCTCCCTTTCCATTATCTAAAACAGCCTGGCCAATCCTAGAAGCTTTATGAAGCCTCTGACACCATTCAAACAAACATAGGCCTACAGGGGCCCAGGGCATTGGCTTTTAGGCAAGTAGTTGTCTTATTAGAGATGGTACCTGTGGCATATTATGTGATTTTCCACAGTTCTCCCTTCCTTCTTACCCTGCCATGGCTCCTAGTATGCAGAGGAAATATCTCCACCCTATTGACTTTGGGCTTGTCACTTGCTTTGATAAATGCAGTGTTAGTGGATGCACCATGAGCAGAAGCTCCAATGTGCTTGTGTGGCTTGGCTGTGTGGTGTGTGCTTCTGAAGCCTGCTATGAGGCTCCTGACCCCAGAATCAGCAGCACATGGAGAAGATTTGAACACAATTCTCAACCTAAAGCAGAGCTGCCAGCCCAGTCAACCCACAGATTTGTGAATGAGAAATATAAATGCTTGTTGTTGTAAGCCTTAGTTTTGCATCAGTGTTGTAGCAGAAATATAAATAATACAATATTCCAACGCTTCCCCTTGAGGCAAGGTCTGCCTAGGTTTCTTCTTCTAAGTCATCGGGATCTCCTTGGGGTTACAGAAGAAGAGAAAAGAAGGATCAAGAGATATTGGTAGGACTAGAAGTGGCCTTACCCTGGAGGAACCTTCACTTGCCTTCACTATACGGGCTGAGTGTGGTCCAGGTCTACCTGCTTCTTTTTCTCCTAGGGGTCCTCATGACAGGATGCCTATTATATTAGTCATGACAGGCTAACTTCTGTCTCAAACAATCCCAAAATCTTAGTGGCTTGACACCGTATGTGTTTATTTCTCAATCATGTCACAATCCAATATGGTGGTGGGGTTGGGAAGAAAGGCTGTGCTCTACAGAGTCATTCAGAACCTGTGGATCCATCTATCTAATGTCTTTATCATCCTTTAGATCCTCCACTAGATCCACTCCATCCAGCCAGGTACTGAGCAAAAAGAGATAACATAGAAGACCTCTTAGGGGATTTTGGCATGCATCCCTTTCACCTATATTTATTTGCCAAAACTCAGTTAAATGGCCCCATCTATCAGAAAGGGAAGAGTGAAGTGAATGTAGTTTGTGTGACAGGACTAAGAGGAGAAACACTGGTATTGGTCAGCAACCAATCTTTGTCACATAGATAATGTGATTCAATCTATGGCCATATGTAATTCTATCCATGGTTTATTTAAACACTCCCTCTTCTCTGCCCAGGGCAGCAGATTACTCTATAAATATTCCCTGTGGCTTACCTCTCATCAGCTCATGGAATTCCTCTAGGTTTCTCCTTCAATTGAAACTGCCTCTCTTCTAGTCTTCTCAGAGTCCACTGTCAAAAATCCAAATTCCTCCTCTATACCTAGACTCTTCAAAGCAACTTGTTGTACAGCCTGCCTGACTCTGGTCTAGTTTCCCCCTGGGGAGACTTCTTATTGGATCCACCCAATCTCACCTTCTTCTCCAGGCACTATAGCCACTCCTAATCTTGACTAGTCTTCTGAGATACCATACTCTGGCCATGCCAAGGGGAAAAACTTGCATTTAATCAGAAAATTGAAAGCTATTTTGAATTCTTGATCAGGGGAATGAAAGTAGTGTTTTAAGAAGTCATTTAGCCGGATGAACTAGAATGAACTGAAAGGGATTGAGACTGGAGAGTGGGAGAACAAGTCAGGGATCAACGTCATAATCCAGAAGACAGATGTTGAGGGCCTGAACTCAAACTAAGGTTGTGCGTTGAAGAGAAACGAGGCATTCAAGAGATGATTATGAAGGCAGAACCTATGGTTAGAGGTACATTTTGGCTTGGGGGATGGAGGGAGTTGGGAGGCAGGTCCACATCCCAGGTTTCCAGCCCTGGGCTGGCTGTGCATTTCCAGCATCTCTAATTGCCTCAGCCCACCTGCCGGCCCCTCCCAACTCAGCTCCACCAAGTAGCAAGACTGCCCAGCCCTTCCAATCTACTTGGAAGGAATGCGGAGTTACATTTAATTAAAAGTATCTACACAGAAACGAGATTAATTAAGTCTCTTTTACCCAGGAGCCCTCTCTTTGTGTTCACTTAAATGAGGTTTTAAATGTTGTCTCAATGTTATATCTGGGCAAGATTTCTCCAGACAACACTTCATGTGGTTCTGAGGCTCCCGCTTAGCTGGCTGGAAATTGTTTAGTGATGAGAACAATCCAAGGACAGTCTTCTCCCCCTCAGTCAGCCGAGCTCAGGCAGGTGGGGGACCTCAGGCCATGGTGAGTGGAATTCTGTAATGAAATGGAGGGAAGTTCTTTCAGACAAGAGCTGCCTCCCAAGACCACCTCTCAGTGCAGAACAGGTGGTCTGGGATGGTCTCTTGAGTCATGTTTCTGGAGCACTCACCTGATCAAAGTTGTTCTGAATACAAACATGGCCTCCTGTAGTGAAGTGGTGGAGGCAGCACCACCTACAGGCAAGATTCCTCTTGCAGTCAGCGTTTTGCTGGGACAGCCCAGTGCTGACGTTGGGAAAGAGGTTGAGAGAGTGTGAAGCACCCCAACCACCCTCACCATCCCTTAGGCCCCTAACCTTAACCCTTCACCCACAGATATTGCCACTATCTATGTGGCAATACCCTAGAATCTTTCTTAAAACTAGTTTTCCAGAAAAGTTCATGCAGCTGGGCCATTTTCAGAAGATTCCAGTGTGGTGCATTACGGAGATTTACCATCATGTAAGCCAAGTGTCAGAACCCACCGCAATGCTAACTGGGAGAGGTGGAGACAGGGCAGGCTTAGCTGCCATCATTACCTTACCCCTCAAGAAGTCTTAGCTAATGACCAGCCATAAGGCCAAAAGAAGCATAGCAGTCCCCAAGCCTTGAATTCAACCCTGAACTTTTTCAGCCTAATTATGACAGCAGTCTGTACATGCCCTTCCATTCCTGCCTGTGATGGTTAATTTTATGTATCTACTTGACTGGGCTAAGGAATGCTCAGATATCTGGTAAAACACTATTTCTGGGTGTGTCTATGAGGGTATTTCTGAAAGACATTAGCATTTGAATCAGTAGACTGAGTAAGAAGATTGCCTTCACCAATGTGAGTGGGTGTCATCCAACTGGTTGATGGTGTGAATTGAACACAAAGGCAGAGAAAGGGCTAATTTGCTCTCCCTGCTTGAGCGTAGACAGCCACCCTCTCCTGCCCTTGAACAACAATGCTCCTGCTTCTTGAGCCTTTGGACACAGAGGGAATTATACCTCTGACTTTCCTGGCTCTCCAGCTCACAGACAGCAGATTGTGGTACTTCTCGGCCTTCATAATTGTGATTCCCGTAATAATTCTCCTCATAGATAGGGAGGTAGGTAGCTAGACAGATAGAGTGACAGATTAGATAGATAGATAGATAGATAGATAGATAGATAGATAGATAGATAGATAAATATATAGATGATAGAGCGACAGATTAGATAGATGCAGTGACAGATTAGATAGACGACAGAGTGACAGATTAGATAGATACAGTGACAGATGTAGATAGATAGATAGATGATAGATAGATAGATAGATGATAGATAGATAGACAGATAGATAGACAGATAGATAATCTTATTGGTTCTGTTTCTCTGGAGAATCCTGACCAATAAACTGGCTCTAGGTTTATCATTAAAAAACAAAGGTGGCTGGGCACGGTGGCTCACACCTGTTATCCCAGCACTCTGGGAGGCTGAGGCGGTGGATCACTTGAGCCCAGGAGCTCGGAGACCAGCCTGGGCAACAAGCAAAACCCCGTCTCTACTAAAAATACAAAAATTTAGCAAGACATGATGGTGCATACCTGTAATCCCAGCTACTCGGGAGGCTGAGGGAGGAGAATCACTTGAACCAGGGAGGCAGAGATTGCAGTGCAGTAAGCCGAGATCACACCACTGCACTCCAACCTGGGTGACAGAATGAGACTCCATCTCAAACACACACACACACACACACACGCACACACACACACACACACACAAAGGTGATCTTTTTTGGATAAGACGGTCCCTTTTGCAGTGACAAACAAATATTCCACTTCATCTGTATTGCCAAGACTTGAATCATTATTAATTTCATTTGCTAAGCATTTCTTGAGCACCGAGAAGCATGAGGCATTGTGTTAGATGCTAAAGTTATAAGACCCCATGAGACAAAAGCCTCATTCTTGGCCTCAATTAACTTAGAGTCTCTGGAAAAGAAGATGACAACCAGGATGATGGAAGAACAGGATCGGCACTAGGAAAGACTTCTGCTCAGAAGAGATCTCCACACCATAAGAGTAGAGAAGAGGGGGCATAAACTCAGCCCTGGGGGTGCAGGATCTTGGAGAACTTCCTGGGAAAATTGTACGTCAAGCCTTAAAAGATGAGTGGAGATGATCTGGAGAAGGAGGTGCTCCACAAGACGAAACCTATTCTGCTTCGCCAGAGCAACTGGAGCAGCGTGGTGCAGTGCAAGACTCCAGACGCGGAGCGCGGCCACCTGCCACTTACAGACCAGCCAGCACTCTGAGCCCGAAGCTCCCTTAACTGCAAAGTGACGGGAATCATTTACAGATCTTGTGAGTATCAAATGGCACAATTTCTGAGCCTAGCTCACACCAGGCTCTCCAGAAATACGAATTTCCTTCCTTTGCCTCCTGTTCTGTCTGGTAAAACATGTTGTTTAAGTCAGGTGTGTTTGCAATAGAAACCAACTCTGGCAGATCTAAGCAGAAAATGAATTTATTTAAAAGGTGGCCGGGCACAGTGGCTCATGCCTGTAATCCCAGCACTTTGGGAGGCTGAGGCGGGTGGATGACCTGAGGGTGGGAGTTTGAGACCCAGACTGACCAACATGGTGAAACCCCATCTCTACTAAAAATACAAAATTAGCCAGGCGTGGTGGCGCATGCCTGTAATCCCAGCTACTCAGGAGGCTGAGGCAGGAGAATTGCTTGAACCTGGGAGGCAGAGGTTGCAGTGAGTCGAGATCATGCCATTGCACTCCAGCCTGAGCAACAAGAGTGAAACTCTGTCTCAAAAAAAAAAAAAAAAAGTGTCCGGTGGTCCCCAGTTATGTGGAAGGTAATCAGCAAATCCAGACTTGGAAAACAGGCGGAAATGAAGAGAGCCTATGAGGCCAGGAGTGAACATTACACCTGCCCCCTTCAGATGGTGCCACCAGCCTTGCCAGCACCCATCACAGGGATGAGGCTCCCCCAACCACCAGCATCAGAGAAAACTCTCCCTGGTCCCTGCTGCTTTGCCTCCTGAGTGGGTCAGCTTAGAGTGGAAGGTCAGACTGGCCTAGCCTGGGGCATGTGCCATCCATGCTTGGAAAACAGTAGCTGGAATTTCCTGTTCCTTTAGAGGAAAATCATGCTCTGCCTCCCACCAAGACTCAAATGATGGGGGAATCCCCATACACACTGGGCAGCTCAGATGCTGTAGATCCCACCCTACAAAAATAACCCAGCAGATGTCCACCACCACAGCCCTCCACCCCCACGTCCTCTCCTCCACAGCAGCCTTCCCTGTGCTGCCCACAGGACGGCCCGGTGGCAGGTGCTCCTTCCTCTTCCTGAACTTTCTCCCCTGCATTCACCATGGGCCCCTCCCACCCCAGGGTGGCCAAAGCATGGACTCCATGAGGATGAGATTCTCCAGCCCAGAGATTCCACAGCCATATTGGTGATGCTGTCCCTGTTTCCTGTTCCCCATCACACTCTGGAGCCCAAGCCCCCATTGATATGGTGAGCACGAGAGCTGCCTATAGCTAAAGATTAATTGGTGGGGGATTGGGAGATCTCTCTTCTTTAACAATGGGCTTTTCTGCTTGTATTAATAAGATGCCAATTAGGATATTGACATTTTCGGTTCAACCTCAAGTTATGCCCACTTTCCCAGAGGTAGGCCAGAGGGTGAGGCCCTCCTAACTGGGCTGTCATCAGTATGGACATCAGAGTGGCCTCCAGATGTGTGAGCCCAAGCCACTCCCTGAGACACTGGGAAGGCTGCTAGCTCTGGGAGGAAATTCAAATGAAGCTGAGCCCCTCACCCCATTTTTTTAGTTAGGTTCCAATTCCTTGGAGTGGCTTCAGGCAGTATCTTATTACATATGCCAAATGTTCTTTCAAAAAAAAAAAAGACACAGAGAGAAAATCTCTATTAGACATGAGAAATAAATTCCGTTTTAATTTATTTTCACTCTCCTCTGTATCTGCACCCCCTGCCCCACCCTTCTCGAGATCACATCTAATGTCATTCTCCCTTCTCCTCCAGTGGAAAATCCCAGCCCAGGAAGTCTGGACATCCTGGCACTCAGTTACTGGTCCTGCCTGGGCATGGCCACTTTCATTCTCAGGACAGGAGGAAAGTGGCGGAGTTATAGAGTACTTTCACACTAATAGTACGCATAAAAGGCAGGGGCTCAGAGGCACTTGGGGAATACATTATGTCTGCAGTTAGGTCCTCTCCCTGGGCCACCTGCAGAGAAGCCAGAGCATGCTGCAGTCTGTGCTAGAAGACGGACAAACTCAGGAATTATGGTGCACATCTTGCAGGCAGGCACTTCATCACACACTGCACTGTTCCACTTGCTAATTGAGTCACAGCCAGCCTGCGAGCCTCTTGAGGGCATGGATCCAGCTTCTAATTCTCCCCTAAGTCCACCGCTTCAAACACCATACTGAGGGCTCAGTCAATACCAAATGGTTGGCTGAACCCAGGAACATCCCCGCCAACCTGATCCTCCTTGGAGGCAGAGGCCCTTCCCCGGGCTGGTAGCTTGGTGAGTTTTGGGGGTGGGGATCTGAGCTTGCCTCCCCATACACATGGGCTTACTTCCCAGCTCCTGCTCCACTACCTGTGTGAGTTTCTGTGGCTGTGGTGACACAGGACCACCAACTGGGTGACTTAGAACAATAGAAATGTATTCTCCTACGACTCTGGAGGACTGAAGTTTGAAACCAATCTTAGGCTGAAATCCCAGGTATCAGCGGGGCCACATGCCCTCCCGAGGCTGTAGGGGAGAACTTGTGCTTTGCTCCCTGCAGCATCTGGGGGCTTCTGTGATTCATTGGCTGGTGGCTGCTTCATTCTAATCTTCAAGGCCAGCATCTTCGCATCTCTCCCTGCTCTGTCCTCACCTCACCTTCTCATGTGTGTGTATGTCTGTCTGTGCAGTGTGTGTGTGATCTCCCTCTGCCTCTCTTTTCTAAGGACACTCTGAGTATGATAACATTAAGGGTTCACCTGGATGATTCCCCCCATCTGAATGTGGTGGCATCGAAGGTTCAACCTAGATGATGCTCCTCACCTGAAGGTCCTTAACTCAATCACAACAGCAGAGTCCCTTTTCCCAAATAAGGTCACTCTCCCAGGCTGCAAAGGCTAGGACCTGAGTCCTTTGAAAGGGCACTACTGAGTGTGCTGCACTGCTCCTCATTGGCTCCTCTGGTCCTGAACTTCTAGAGAAGCCAGCCCTTCTGCAACTCAGTTATCCCTTCTGTGGTACAGGAATGATCTTCCCTGTCTTCCCACTTGTTCGAAGAGTGGTGGTGGAGAGAGAGGTTTTATATATACACATATATTGAAAGCATTTTCTGAGCTGTAAAGCCACACGCACATGCATGAAAATATTATTGCACTGGGAGAGTGGCAAGTTCAGCACTTGAGAAAACTATCAGATTTTAAAACATGTGAGGGAATAGGAAACCAACGTTATTCGAAAACCTCATTTGCACCCCACACCAAAGCCTCCCACCCTCCCTGCCTCCACTCTCCCCTGTGGCTGGAGGGTTGTGACAAAGGCCTGTCTTGGGGGTAGCTTTGTGGCCTGAAAACAAATCATCCTTCACAGCTTGCTCCCAAGTCCAATAAGCCAGAAGGAATTGGTAGAGAGATTTAATGATATGTATTTCAAGAAAAAGATGAAAATGTGTCTACTTTTAGGAGATGCAGTAAAAATGCATCAGGCCCACAATAAACTTTTCAGTGAAGATGCATAGAGGGGAAACATATAACGCAGTCATGGCAATAATGTCTCATTTATAGGGAAATCTTCTCAGAGATCTATTAGAATGTGCACCCCCAGCCCATACCTTTAGCACAGCCTCTGCAAACTGTGGGGTCTCACTCCTCCAGGTGCCTTCAGCCTCTGCGGGAAGCCTGTTGGCTCAAAGGCAGCCTGCCCTTTGGCCTCCCTTTGAAGGTCCCATAAGACACATAGGCTCAAACAATTTGCAGATCAATTACACTAGGTGTGGGCAACTACAACCCCAAAGACCAAATCCAGACCACCCCCTGTTCTTATAAGTTTTATTGGAACACAGCCATATTCATTCCATCTGTGGCTCCTTGGTGATACTACAGGAGAGTTCAGTAGTTGTGACTGAGACCATACGACCTGCAAAGGCTAAGCTATTTACTTCCTGGCCTTTTACAGAAAAAGTTTGCTGGCACCTGAGTTAGATTATTAGATTACAGATTGTCTTTAGGCAAAACTGCTCATAAAATTCACAACCGAATAATAGCTAACTTTGTTTAGCCTTACTGTGCGCCAGGCACGGTGTCATGCACCCGCTATGAATGCTACTGGATGTAACCCACATAAGCAGGTCTGCGAAGTAGTGCAGATGAGAAAACTGAGGCTTGGGGAAGTCAAGGAGCTTTCTCAAGGTCTCAACAGCTAGAAACCGATAGCACTGGGATTCAACCCTGTGTGTGTCTGGCTGCAAAGCCTCACTCTGACCACTGCTCTACTGCTCTAAGACCATCTTTCATGTTTCCAGGTGTGCAACTCCCAAATCCTCTTCCAGTTTTCAGCAGCTTCCAGTTGTTTGGAATATTATTTCCTCTACCCAATTCAGCACTTCCTGCATCATAGCCCACATACCGTGTCCCCTCTGATAAAATGTAGAGAAAAGGAATTCTTCCCTAGCCTGCTTTCTCATCTTTTCCCATCCTCTGCTCGCCACCAGGCTCCCGCCTTCCCATCAACTGCTGCTTGCTGGCCCGGCTGATTTTGTTGCACGTTTCTGCACGATCCTGCTTCCCAGCTGGCCCCCCTGCTGGCCCCACTCCTGGGTGCATTTCTGATTCTGTTCTGAGTCTCCAGCCTGCCCAGAGTGGGCACCAGTAGAGCTGATGGGAAGCGAGGCATTTGCATTCCACTTCCCTGGGCTGTTCCGATCTTACCTGCAATTCTTCTGACAAATCCTTATCAGCGATGCCCATGGCAGAGTCTGTGGTGACTTTGTTCATTCTTATTAGCTCTGCACAGATTAGCTCTTCACAGCGCTTGGCTGGTTCATACCGATTTCTGATAAATGTTTTGACTGATTTTCCTGACTTGGGAACAATGGGGGACTGGGGCTGGGGTGGAGGTGGGGGACGTGAGGAGAGGGGTGCTGGACAGGGGAAGGAGAGGGAAGCTTGGACGGGATTACATCTGGGCTATGAAATATTCATCACATGCCCGCAAGAGCAGGGTCAACACTGCTTCCCAGGAACAGCTTCTCCATCCAGGCAGCGCTTTGAAATGCACCAGCCCAGGCAGACTGGAAACACTACAGTACAACTCCCCTGCCCCGCCTCGACCTGAGAAGCTTCTGAGAGAAGGGGCAGAGGAAGTTAAAAGGAAGAAAAAACAAACCAGCTCACTTGGGCTTTGCTGTCCTCCTTGGTTCCTCCTTTCTTACCTGCTCTTCAAGAACAGCTTTTGATGGTGGAATGCTGATGTTCCAGGTAGACTGTTGCTTTTCTTTGTTCGGTTCCTCTTCTCCCTCTCCACTCCACAAAGCCTCCCTGGAGCTCCAGCCCACCCTTCCTCTTTTTTCCATGAGCTCCTCCAGCTCCCTAATTGTAGACAAACACTGAAAAGAGTGTTTTATCATGGTTTCCTGTATTTCCCCAATTTGAGTGGACTCTGCTAACAGACTTACTTACACTCACCACTACACCCAAGTTCCTAGCACAGAACGGGGCACATGTCAGAGATGTTCAAAACATCTTTGCTGAATTAAATATGCTCCATTTCCTTGGCAGGGTTGGCTAGCAGATACCACTACGTAAGCTGTACCAATGCGGGCATCAGGAAACAAGTTCTACACTTTCTTCCTAAGCCTAATTGAAGCTCTCTGTTTTGTGTTTTGTTTTTAACACAAGGCTCCAAGAGGCTACTTCCAATCAAATGGAATTGACTAGGAGGTTAAAACCTATTTGTCATCCTGGTTCTTTGGTGTCCCTCTGTAAAGTTCCTTGAAAACAGGGATCACCTTTAAATTCTAAGAGCCTGGTACCATGCCCAGCAGAAAATTAGTGTTTGATACATATTTGGAGATAAAAAAGATGACTATTCCCCTGCCTAAACATGCGAGTGAGTGTGCATTCTAAACTATCCCTGGGTCTACAAAGAAAAGCTCTTGCACAGCTTTCCATAAATATCTGGTCAAGGCCTACTGTCTGAAAATTCCTTCAGCTGTCTACCCCAAATCCTTCCTGCTGCCATGTAGGTGAACTGCCAGGCTTTTCATGCATGGCAGATAAAAGCTGTATGTTTTGAGAGGTGGAGATCTCCTTCCCTCTTCCTTCCCCACCGCCCAGAAGTCTAAACTCCAGTGCCCAGCTGCTGCAATCTGGAAAAACCCAACTCATACCAACCATATGCCCTCTCACTCCAGTCCCCAGAAGATGACCCCCTCCCTGCAACTAGAAGGCCTGGAAAGTCTTGGAGGCCATCTCTTGCTGCAGCCACCTGCAGCCACAGTTCACTCATTAGCCTTTTGCCAGATTTATCTTCTCCCCGGTAGCCTGCAGGGCTTTGATTTGTCCTCTTGTCACCAGGACTAATGTTGATGGCAGCACCCCCCGGGGGCATCCGGCTCTCCAGCCTCCTGCCAGAGACCTCAAGGAAAATGGATGAGCAACTGACCTGCAAAATAAATACCAGGCTTCTAGGTTCTGATAAAGATTAAATATTGGAGGAGTCATTTCAAATGAATATAAAAAAGCAAATGGAGGAAGCCTCTTAGACACCGCCAGAGTGAAATACAGGCAAACAAAGAGAGATGTCTTCGGAGAAGCTCAGTGGCAGGGAAGTTGGAGGCTCAGGATGCCATATCTTCACAAATACCCAGGCTTCAGGAAAGATTCCAGAACCGCCATCTCTGCTTCCCTCCCACTTCCCCACCCAGATCGTGAAGAAGAGAAAGTGCTAAGCTCCAAAAGCCTCATGCCAGCCTGACGCTGAAGTCAGCTCTGCTGACGCTGGCCCATCCAACCAAGGGAGAAGCCCCATTACTCAACACCATCTGCCTTTGGCACAGGGCAGCCAAGAGCCAGGATTATTGGCAGGGATGGGGTTCTGAGGCCCCTAAGGAGATAGATGCTGGGGAAGCGCAAGGTCAGGCATTGCTGAGGCAGAACGGGGAGCGGGGAGAAGCCAGTGTCGGCAGATGGAACCAGTGCTCCTTGGGCCTGGGGCAGAACTTGGTTCCTTTTCAGAAACTTATGCAGATGGATTACATATCCAAGAACCCCAATTAACCAGAATGTCATCTCCAGAATCAAAGGATGTTTGAGCTGGAAGGGAACAAATGGGGAGACAGAGTACACAGGAGGAGAAAACCTCAAATTGCCTCCTGCCTGCTATGGGCCTGGCATGTGCCAGTGTCTCCTTTAGTCCCCATGACAGCCCTAGGAGATGGGTATTGTTACCTGCATGGAATGCCCAGGCTAATGGGATTAGTGGCCTCAAGGTGGGGCAGAGAGAGAAAAGAAAAACTGCATTGACTGAGCTCTTACTACTGGCTGGGCGATGTGTAGACTCTTTATCTCTTTTTTTAATTTAAAATTTTTTAATTTGAATTTGAATTTCTCCTTAGAGACAGGGTCTCACTTTTCTGCCCAGGCTGGAGTGCAGTAATGCAATCATGGCTCACTATAGCCTCGAACTCTTAGAGTCAGGTGATCCTCCTACATGAGACTCCCAGGTGGCTGGGACTACAGGTGCTTGTCACCACACTCTGCTAATTCTTTTTTTTTTTTTTCTTGTAGATACAGTGTCTTGTTATGTTGCCCAGGTTGGCCTTGAACTCCTGGGCTCAAACCATCCTCCTGCCTCAGCCTCCCACATGCTGGGACTACAGGCGTGCTTTAACTGTACCTGGCCAGACTCTATTTCCTCTACTCCTTACAACCCTGTGTTGTGGGCAGAGTGACCCCATTTTACAATTAGGCAACTGGGACTCAACTGAGGTTGACAGTATGCAGTTTCAAAGCAGCGGTCCCAACTGTGTCTGGTTCCAATTTCCATTCTCTAACAGGGATGATTTGTAGACAGCCTTAGGAAATGGGGAGATATATTAAGTGTCACTGAGTTTTATGTGGAACTTCCAAGTTGGTTTGAGACATAGAAACTAAGCTTTAAATGGGTTTGTGTGAGGGGGAAAATTGTGGAGGGAATAAAATCTCTTCATCCTCTTCCTCCAGCAATGGTAACAGTCCAGCCAGCCTCCAGGGCCCTGACTCCCCTGGCCCGAGTGGTCACCAGGTGGTAGGACTATAAGCCCAAAGTGTTTTGTGGGTGAGCTTCTCTCACCATAGTCTCCATGTCTTCTCTACTCCACCCAAAACTGGGCTGCCAGACATGCTGGTTGCACAACTCCAGGGACACTGTTCACATAGGATACAAGCTTGGGGACACCGTGGCTGCCCAGACACAGCCCAGTCCCCTAATCTTTCCCCTTCAAGGGTGCCACTCTTTCCTTGGATGTAGTAAAAGGGGAAAGGGGTGTCCAGTAACAAGGGCCCAAAGGGCAACTTGCAGTGCATTCCCACCTTTGGGGATCAGGTGATCCTGTGATGGGCTGGCAGGGAGCAGCCTTAGGGCATGCAGATCAACCAGTATTGGAGAGTAGCACACTCTGTGCTGGCCACTGAGCACACAGAGACCAGCAGAAAATTCCCTGCCCTCAAGAAGCCTCTCACTGTCTGGTGAGGGAGAAAGATGAAGAAAGATCATGGGCAGCGTGGTCTGTAATGAAAATAACTTCGTTATCTCTGCAAATCAAATTACCCTCCCCAGCACACTCTCCCATCCACTTTTCATTCCATTCTCCCAAAGAGTCGATGTTGTTTTTTCCATTTTGAGTCAAGGAAACAAGAGCCTAGCGAGGTTGTGGGACCTGCCCAAAGCTAACCAGAAGCTGGTGACAGAGCTGGATGAAATCTGGGGACATTTCTTTCTGACCCTCTGTGACTCCATCCGCTGCACCGGCCATGCCTCTCTGGCAGACAGCAGGCCTGGTTCCTCCAGAGAGCCCAGAGCCCCCCTCTCAGGCCCCTGGTGGCCTTGCTGGCTCCAACAAACCAGGTCACTGGTCTGGCAATCACAGCAGAGAGGTTCTATTGAGTCAGGGAAGAATGAAGTGTCCAGACCAATTCCCATCTCCTGGCCTTCACTTCCCTTCATATTACTGTGCAACTGTTTCCTTGGGCACCAGGGCAATTTAGCAAGTGTATTTTGCATCAGTCCAGCAATTTCTGCTATTAACTCTCCCCAGACTTTCTCTGGGCTGCCTCTCCTGCTCTTACATGACCTCTCTTGACTGCAAGAGGCAATGGCAGCGCCACCTGGGGCCAACCCTGCTCTCCTGGGAGCCGGACCCACCTCAAGACGTCTCTTAGGGTGAAGCCGCAAGGCTCTGATGGCTGGCCGGGACCTTTGCTAATACAATTGCATTGCTTCAAAGCACTTTTACAGCAGATACAAGCAGGCCCATTTTACAAAGGCAGAAACTGAGTTGCACAAACCATACTTGACCTGCCACACTGAGATGCTGTCTACTGATTTCCACATCCAATTATGTATTTTTTCCCTCTTTCCATCTTCCTGCAAACGAAAAGCAGCCTCCTCCTCCGTTTTTCTCCACGCTTTGGCCCAAGGTGATATTCAGAACATTTAACATTTTCTAAGGCAAAGGCACCAACCAAGCAGAACAAATGCCTTAGGACCCAGCATAGTTCTGAAAAACCCCCTGATATGCCACGTTAAATCCTTCAGTGTCTACCTTTCCAGCTCTATGGGGTCTCAGCAGAGGGGCTGGGCAGACGGAGCTGGGGACCTTATGGAGGTGAGTCCATATGTATTTCAATATTTGATTAACTCGCACAGTCCTACTCCTGCAATATCAGCCCTAGTTGTGAATGCTAATACCATAGCATTCAATTTCAATCACTCTTTCCCTCTCCCTCCCTCCCTCATCTTCTCTCTCTCTCTCACTCTGTCCCCTTTTCTCTTTGGCCCTTTCTCTTTCTTTCCTTTTAATATAAAGATGAAAGTAAGGGGTGGGTTCATTCTAATAATTTGAGATGAGGACACGCCAAGATTTTCCGACGAACAAAAGGGAAAGTTAGAAGAGGCTGGAAATTACCGCATGCCTATTAAAAATCAGCCATGCTGAAGTAGTCCTGACTAGCAGGCAGGGCCTGCAGCTCCAGGGAAGTGGTACTTAAGGGAATCTGCAATTAAGAGAAGCTTGGATCCTTGCCACAGATTGCTTCCCTTGCCTTTTTTTATTTAAAAAAGAATCACAAAGCAGGAACGTAAATGGAAGATGACAATAATATAAGGTGACAGATGTTAGTTTGGCAGGGAACACCGGGAAGACCAAGTCACTTACCTGTAGCATCCATGCCACTGCCACGTGCCCAGCACTCCATCTCAGTCTGGAAGGCAGCAACTTGGTGGCTGTCCAGGGACAGCTGTCTAAATTCCTGAGAACTAGGCTCAGCGTCCAGGTCCCTCCAGCCCACCCTGGATAAACATGGGCATCTGCAGGCGGGACCCCCAGCCCCAGCGGGCATGCCTGCTCCAGGAATCCTGCCCACCACAGCTGTCCGGCGGGGTGGGGAGGATGCCACCACCCACAGCAGCCTTTCCAGGGACTTGGCAGCCCAGCCTGTCAGGAGCCCCATAAATCTTTGGAGAAGGCTCATTTCTGTTTTCAGGAGCAATTGACACCAGGTCCTGGGAGAGACCATTTAGCGCTAAGGGCTGGGACACTCGGGAGAAATAGATGGCCAGCTTTAGGAGCTGGCAGCTGCTCCATGCGAGAGGCCAGGCTGAACTGGGCATCATCACCACTTGGGGTGCTCACGAAACATGGACTTCCAGGACTCACCTTCAGATATTCTGAAAGTCTGGGTGGGACCTGCGGATCTCACACTCGTACATGAGTGTGCCAGGCAGGCAGGTCTGGGAACCAGTGGTCCCCGTGGCAGGATTTGGAGGCTTTTTCTTTCTAATGGCCACCCCATTGCTGCCACCGCTGCCTCAGTGCCTGCATCTATGGTGTGCCACCCTCAGTTATGTATACAAGGGGGGGCACTAGGAAACCTTAATTAGCCTGGTAGCTCTCACCATGGCACCTGGTTGAAACTGGTATTGCTGAGGAAGGGGTGTGTGTGTGTGGTATGTGTGTGGGATATGGGGTGTATGTGTGGGGTGTACACAGTATGGAGTGTGTGTGGGAAGGGTGTTGATATGGTTTGGCTCTGTGTACCCATCCAAATCTCATCTCTCTTTTTTTTTTTTTTTTTTTGAGACGGAGTGTCACTCTTGTCACCCAGGCTGAGGTGCAGTGGCATGATCTCTGCTCACTGCAACCTCCGCCTCCCAGGTTCAAGGGATTCTCCTGTCTCAGCCTCTTGAGTAGCTGGGATTACAGGCGCCTGCCACCACTCCTGGCTAATTTTTGTATTTTTAGTAGAGACAGGGTTTCACCATGTTGGCCAGGCTGGCCTCAAACTCCTGACCTCAGGTGATCCACCCACCTCAGCCTCCCAAAGTGCTGGGACTGCAGGTGTGAGCCACCACGCCCAGCCCCAAATCTCATCTCAAATTGTAATTCCCACATGTTGAGTGAGGGACCTGGTGGGAGGTGACCAGATTATGGGGGAAGTTTCCCCCATGCTGTTCTCATGATAGTGAGGGAATTCTCACGAAATGATGGTTTGAAAGTGTGGCACTTCCCCTTTGCTAGCTCGCTCTCTCTTGTAGCAGTGTAAGACGTGCCTCACTTCCCCTTTGCCTTCTGCCATGATTGTAAGCTTCCTGAGGTCTCCCCAGCCATGTGGAACTGTCAGTCAATTATACCTCTTTTCTTCATAAATTCGTCTCAGGTAGTATCTTTACAGCATTGTGCACACAGATGACCACAGGTGTTACGTGTGTTTATGTGCATGTCTCTGTGGTGTGTATGTAATCTATGTGCATGTGTGGTGAATGTGAACGTCTGTGTAGTGTGCGTGTGTGTGTGGTCTGTGTGGGGTGTGGAGTGTATGTGTGAAGTGCGTGGTGTGGTGTGTGGAGTACATGGGTATGTGTGTGGAGTGTGTGGTGTGTGCGAAGGGTGGAGAGTGTGTGTGAGTGTGTGTGTGATGTGTCTGTGTGGTATGTGGGGGATGTGTGGGAGGGTGGAGTATGCGTGGGGAGGGTGGTGGGTAGAGTCTGCATGTCTGAGATGTGGTGTGTGTTGGGTGTGGAGTATGGGTGGAAGGGTGGAGACTCTGTGTGTGTGTGGGGGGGTGGTATGTTGTGTGATGTGTGGAGCATGTGTGTGAGCATGTGTATGGAGTATGGAGTGTGTGTGCAGTGTGTGTGTTTGTCTATGAGACAGAGAGAGATAGTGAGAGATGTGGTGTGTGGGGGATGTGGAGTGTGTATGGGACAGTGGAGTGTGTAGGGGTGTGGAGTGTGTGTGAGACAGTGGAGCATGTGTGGGGTGTGGACTGTGTGTGGGGAGTGGAGAGTATGGGGGAGAGTGGAGTGTGTGTGGGGCGTGGTGCGTGTGGGCGGGTGGAGTGTGTGGGGGGTGTGCAATGTATGTGGGAGTGTGGAGGGTGTGGGAGGGTGGAGTGTGTGTGAGGTGTAGTGTGTCTGCGGGGTGTGGTGTAGGGGGGTGTGGAGTGTGTGTGGGAGGGTGGAGTGGGGGGGTGTGGAGTGTGTGTGTGAGGTGCGGAGTGTGTGTAGGAGGGTGGAGTGTGTGTGGGAAGGTGAGGTGTGTGTGGGGGGGTTGGGGAGTGGGAAAGGTGTGCAGTGTGTGTGGGAGGGTAGAGTATGGGGGGTTAGGAGTGTGTGCGGGATGTGAAGCGTGTGTGGGGTGTGGTGTGTATGTGGGGTGTGAAGTGTGTGTGGGGTGTGGAATGTATGTGGGGTGTGGAGTATGTGTGAGAAGGTGGAGTGTGTGTGGGGGTGTGGAGGGTGTGGAGTGTGTGTGGGGTGTAGAGAGTGTGTGTGAGGTGTGAAGTTGTGGGGTGTGGAGTGTGTGTGGGGTGTGGTGTGTGTGTGGGGTGTGAAAGTGTGTGGGATGTGGAGTGTGTGTGGGGTGTGGAGTATGTGTGGGAGGGTGATGTGTGTGTGGGGTGTGGAGTGTGTGGGGGGGTGTGGAGTCTGTGGGGTGTGGAGTGTGTCAGGGGTGTAGAGTGTGTGTGAGGTGTGGGGTGTGGAGTGTGTCAGGGGTGTAGAGTGTGTGTGTGAGGTGTGAGGTGTGTGTGGGGTGTGGAGTGTATGTGGGAGGGTGATTGTGTGGGGTGTGGAGTGTGTGTGGGAGGGTAGAGTGTGTGTGGGGTGTGGAGCGTGTATAGGGTGTAGAGTGTGTGTGGGAGGATGGAGTGTGTGAGGTGTTAGTGTGTGTGGGATGTGTAGTGTGTGTGGGAGGGTGGTGTGTGTGTGTGGGTGTGGAGTGTGTGTGGTGCTGTGGAGTGTGTGGGGTGTGGAGTGTGTGTGGGAGGGTAGAGTGTGTGTGGGGTGTGGAGCGTGTGTAGGGCGTGGACTGTGTGTGGGATGCTGCAGTGTGTGAGGTGTGTAGTGTGTGTGAGGTGTAGAGTGTGTCGGGGGAGGGTGAAGTGTGTGTGGGGTGTGGAGCGTGTGTGGGGTGTGGAGTGTGTGTGGGGTGTAGTGTGTGTGTGGGTGGAGTGTGTGAGGTTTGGAGTGTGTGTGGGAGGGTGTAGTGTGTGGGACAGTGTGGAGTATGTGTGGGAAGGTGGAGTGTGTGTGAGGTGTGGAGTGTGTGTGTGAGGGATGGAGTGTGGGGTGTGGAGTGTGTGTGGGAGGGTGGAGTATGTGTGGGATGTGGAGTGTGTGTGGGAGGGTGGAGTGTGTGTGAGGTGTGGAGTGTGTGTGGGAGGGTGGAGTGTGTGGGACAGTGTGGAATATGTGTGGGAGGGTAGAGTGTGTGGGGGGTGTGGAGTATGTGTGTCAGAGGTTGAAGTGTTTGTAAAGTGTGGAGTGTGTGTGGGAGGGTGGAGTGTGTGGGACGGTGTAGAGTATGTGGGGAGGGTGGAGTGTGTGAGGGGTGTGGACTGTGTGTGGGAGGATGGAGGGTGTGTGTGGGGTACAGAGTTTGTGTGGGAGGGGTGTGTGTGTGTGTGTGTGTGTGTGACAGAGACGCTGTGTGTGGGGTGTAGAGTATGTCTGCAAGGTTGGGCAGGAGAAGGGTACTGACCACAGGGATGGAGCCGGGCACTGACCCAAGCTTGCCTCCCAACTCTATGGGGCAGCCTGGCCTCCCTGACATCCTTCATCATCACTTTGTCAGCCTCAGCTGGTCACCACCCAAGGCCACTTCCCTGTAGAGCAGGCCCAGTTGCCTCTCTGGTCTTGATCTGTAATATCTAATGGCCTCATATAGCACTTTATGTTAATAAAGTTTAGAAACATCATTTCATCTTTATGGCAACTTGCATATCTTCATCTCCCAGATGAAGAAACAGGTTCAGAAAGCACAGGAGACTTCCCCTGGGCCTCACAACTTGTCAAGATGAGGCAGGGTGTGGCCCCAGGCTTGATCCCAGACTCTAAATTCCACGTTTTTTCCAAAGTCTTGTGTAGCGTTCGGTGAGCAGGGTTCAGGGTGCCAGCTATGTGCAAGGTGTGGGAGCCTGGGTTTATCAGGGTCAGGCTTGGCATTTATCCCTTAAGTAACTGGAGTAAGATCCTATGCCCTCTTTCAAGAGGACTAAGAATCATAGGACCGTTCAGCTCTTGCATTGCTCAGAGGGGAATGGCTGTTTCTCAGGATCCGTAACCCTGAACAGTGTCCTCAACTTGCCTATTTGTGATCTGAAACCATGGGGGCGGACACTCACAAGTGCACACAGTCCAGTCCTCTGGGTCACAGACACCAGGCCCCTTCCCTCACCATGCAAGAGCCTCTGCAAAGACAAAGACACTCCTCCCAAGCAGATGCTTAAAGAGACTCAGGTTGCTGGATTCTCCATGTTCCGGGAATGGGGCCGTTGTCCTGGACAGGTGTAGGAGACTGGTTAAAACATAGTGCAGCTGGCTCCACTGCGAATTCAGGGTCCTGGATTCTGGCCCACTGTTGTTGTTGTTGTTGTTGTTTGTTTGTTTGTTTGTTTGTTTTGTTTGTTTGTTTTGAGACAGAGTCTCCCTCTGTCACCAGGCTGGAGTGCAGTGGCACAATCTCGGCTCACTACAACCTCTGCCTCCCAGGTTCAAGAGATTCTCCTGCCTCAGCCTCCTGAGTAGCTGGGACTACAGGCGCCCGCCACTACGCCCGGCTAAATCTTGTATTTTTAGTAGAGACAGGGTTTCACCATATTAGCCAGGATGGATGGTCTCGATCTCCTGACCTTGTGATCCGCCCGCCTCGGCCTCCCAAAGTGCTGAGATTACAGGCGTGAGCCACAGCGTCCGGCCTCTGCCCCACTTTTGTAACTAGTGAGCGGAGTGACTTTAGAGTAGCTGCTTAACCTCTTTTTGCTTCTATTTTCTTAACTGAAAAGTGTCATGGCCACACCAAGCATCCTTTCAGGGGCAACACTGTGAGTCTGTGATTTCTCTATAGTCTCCTTCTTAAAAGTAGCAGTGAATATTTCTTGGGCCTGTACTATGTGCTAAGAGCTTTGTGCACACCATGTCATTTAATGTACATAATAAGAAGCTTTTATTAACCCTAATTAGTAAACAGAATACAAGTTCAGAGAGGTTAAGCAATTTGCTCAATGTCAAATGGCTATCAAGCGGCAGAGTGTGGACTCTAGAGCCCAGGACTCTCTCAGCCACCTTGTCATACTTTTTTTTAAAACCACTTAAGAAAAACATTTCTTTCTTTCTCTTTGAAACAATATTCCACTTCACAGAAATAAAGTCATTTTGGGTAAGAAGCAGAAAGATTGTAACATAATGAAATTCAATGCTATCTTTCAACCAGGATTATTGTTGAAATACACAACCAGAATAGTGTCATAGGTGACATCTTGTTATACTTTTGTCCCACAGAGTCTTCTCCTGGAGTGTGTAGTGGGTGTCTTTTGCTTTTACTAATGGGCAGCCATTTAGCCTTTTGCAGGGTAAAAGAATTCCAGTTTCTCTCTGGGGAATCACTCTTCCCCCTGCTTTGGATGTTGTGGGCCCCATGAGGTGTGGGGGTGGTAGGACTGGCCAGTCCTTTTCCTAGTACAGTGATAGCTTCTGGGATGCTCCTGTGATCTAGACAGCTCCAAGGAGATGCACAGACATTATTTAATAAAACAAACCTATAGGCCTGTTGAGAACTATGTTCTCTTTTGTTGGCATTGAATTTAGCCCTGGGCTTACAGCTGAGTCAGCCATCTTGCTTCCACCTAAGCCCTGCCTGAGAAAGAAGCTGACTTAGAAGACAGCAGGGCTGGCAGATGAAAATGTCACATACCCTTGACCACCCCACCCGCTGCACTCAGCAATTCCTGAAAATCAAGATCTACCCCCTGGAGTTTTCAGTTATCTATGCCAATAAAATCCTCCATTGATTTCAGCCTATTTGAATCCTGTGGTCTGTCACTCACCAACAGAAAAGTCCTAATCGATTTTTTTTTTAAAGCAGAGTGAAAAGAGTAAAAGTCCAATTATCTGGCTTCAGCCCCCCATCCTGGTGGGAGGGTGATCCACTTCCAAGGTGAGATCTCCATTCAGGAGCAGACCACACTCTCCTCAGCATTTCTGGAAATGCCTGCTCCTCTGAACTGAGTGAGCATGTGGATTTTATCCAAGAATAGAGGCTGCTTCTGGGGGCTGCCAGAATAACCTGGCTGCAGAGTACCAAGCCCTGAGTTAGCTGTGGAGAGGTAGCCCTTCTCCCTCCCTTTCTCCCACCCTGGGAAGAGCCAGTGCATCTGCAGTAGTGCTCCCTCTCCCCAAGCCACTGCTCTTTAAGGCCAAGGGCTATGGAACCCTCTGGAAGGAAATGTGAAATCAATCAATACATTTATAAATGAATGTAAAATCATATATGTTATGCGTTGAATTGTAACCCTCCAAAAATCTATATGTTGAAGTTCTACCCCTAATACTTCATAATGTGGCTGTATTTGGAGATAGACTGTGTTTTAAAGAGGTAAAATGAGGTCATGAGGGTGGGCCTCAACCCAGTATGACTGGCATCCTTATAAGAAGAGGACATTTGGACAAACATATGCATACAGATGGAAAACAGTGTGAGGGCACATTGGGAAAGGGGCCATCTACAAGACAAGGAGACAGGACATGGAGGAAACGAACCCCAGTCGCATCTTGGTCTTCAACTTACGGTCTCCAGGAGCATGAGAAAATACATTTCTGTTGTTTAAGCCACCCAGTCTGCGGTACTTTGTTATGACAGGCTTAACAAATAAATATAATATATGAAATAAATTGTACAAATAGCGATACAGGCTGGACATGCCTATAATCTCAGCACTTTGGGAGGCCGAGGCAGGAGGATTGATTGAGGCCAGGATTGATTGATCAGCCTGGGCAACATGGCGTGACCCTATCCCTACAAAAGTTAAAAAATTAGCCAGGCATGTCATTGCTTGCCTATAGTCCTAGCTACTCAGGAAACTGATGTGGGAAGATGGCTTGAGCCCAGGAGTTTGAGGCTGCAGTGAGCCATGATTGTGCCACTGCACTCCAGCCTGAGCAACTAAGCAAGGCCCTGCTTCTAAAACAAACAAACAAAAAAAGTTGATATAAATATACACTTTTTTTTTTTTTTTTTTTTTTTTTTTTGAGATAGGGTCTGGCTCTGCCACCCAGGCTGGAATGGAGTGCAGTGGCGTGATCACGCCTCACTGCTACCTCTGCCTCCTGGGCTCAAGCCATCCTCCTGCCTCAGCCTCCGGAGTAGCTGGGATTATAGGCACACACCACCACGCCCACCTAATTTTTGTAGAGATGGGGTTTTGCCATGTTGCCCAGGCTGGTCACGAACTCCTGAACTCAACCAGTCAACGCACCTTGGCCTCCCAAAGTGCTGGGATTACAGGTATGCGCCACTGCACCCAGCAATATATTCTCTTTCGGTCTATCATATATGTGTCTGTGTCTGTGTGAGCATATATATACGTGTGTAGATCTATACCTATCAGATTCATCTATATTCCCACATCTCTATCTCTGTCTTTGCATGTATATTCTTGCCTGGAAACTTCCAATGCTTCTTCATTGTCAGAGAACGGGATGTGATGCCTGGCGCTTGAGGCCCTACTTTCCTCTTCAGTTCCCACCACTCCAGTCCAGTTACCCTCTTCCCCCAACGACTGGGCTTCCTCAACACCCGCTCCTCCCCATTTCCCAAAGGGTCCCCTTCTTGGCACAAGCTGTTCCCAGCCGGGATGCCTTCTCCACCACCCCACCTAATGAACTTCTGCTTACCCTGCAAGGATGCAGAAATTGCACCTTGTCTGTAAAGCTTTCATCATCTTCCCAAGAGAAGATGAGTCACTTCCTTCTCTGTTCTCTCTGGCATTTTGTACACACCTCTATTAAGACGTTTATTTCATTGTGTGGTAATTATTCGTGTATGGGTTTGTCCCCCAAGCAGCCTGCCAGTTCCTTAAGGAAGGAACTTGTTCCCCCTCATCTTTGCAGCGGCAGGCACAATGCCTGGCACACGGAGGACGGATTTCAGGTCAGACGAAGAAGGCACAGAATCCAGGTGGGTGGGAGGGGCGCAGTGGGGGATGCCTGGGCTCCTGAGGCCGCCCGCTTGAGGGTGAGGGGTGCAGTGGGGGACTCAGCCCGCGATCGCCCTCGTGGGCTGTTTTCTCCCACCCCCTCCACCGCAAGGAAAGCCCGGCTGATTGGACAAACAAAAGCCTTGAGTTAAACGTCGTTGGCGGGAAGAGAATTGCAGGAGCTCTCGACAGCAAATTAGGTAACTAAAGCCAAGCGTGGTGGCTTTCGGAGATTAAATGCATTATAGATTTGCTAAACCAGAGGCAAGCCAAAGAAAAGGTAGTCAGATCAATGCTACCCTTCAGGCAGCCGGGGCGGCCTGGGGACGCGCAGCGTCCGTCGCGCAATCGCTCCAGCTTGAATGCGAGACACGCGGGTTTAATTTTTCATTTACAATCAAGACCACATCCCCCACCTCGGAGTCCCAGAAACACGGTCCTTCCTCGGGTTCTTTTCACAGGCCGCATCGCGGAGAGGAGGGAAAATTATCCAGAGATAATGGTGCTGATTATGGGACGGCAAGTGGCTGGGAAGCGCAGCGGACGCCTGTAGATGAGGAGTTGGGGAGGCCCGGGGCGTGCGCTGGGCAGGGGCATAGGCAAGGCCAGCCCGGTCCCGCGCTCCCGTCCCGCGGATTGCAGCCCCCGTTCTGGTGCCTCAGCCCTGAACCCAGGGGAGATGGCCCAGTTCAGGAGGCACGTTTAGACTTCGTTGAAAGTTCTTTTTTTCAACCCCACCCACCTTTTCATTCAGGAAAAAGAACAAAGAATTTCAGAATGCGAAGAACTCGGAGAAGGCTGTGGCCCAGAATGCCTGGGTACAGGAGACAGGATTATGGGAGCAAGATTCAGACAATCTGAGGACCTGGGTCCTGGTCCCTGCCCCCGAGGCAGACTCTCTTTCTTGCGTCTGGGCCAGACAGGGCCCCTGGTCTCTAAGGTCTGGACCTCAGAAGCAGGACCAGGAGCAAGTGAGCACGATCGTTCTCTCTGCTCCACAGCCTGGAGAGGAGAAGGTTAAAGTCCTCATGCTCCTGAAGAAATACCAGAAGGGGAGCGGGTGATTCTCAATCTCTTCTGAAAAGGAGACAAAAGAATATTAACTCGAGTTGCAGCTTGAGGGACTCAGATTCGACCTAAAAAAAGGAATTATCACAGAGGGGAGTTGTTAAAACATGAAATTGGATACAACAGGAGGTTTCAAAACCTCTTTTTCTATAGAACTTTAAAGAATCACAGTATTGCCTGAGTCTGAGATGAGCCATACATGGGGCCTCCTCAGAGGGTGGATGGACCCCACCACGCTCTGAGCTTCCCGACCTGATTGAATTCTCTCTACTGTTGATTGAGTTCCTTCTGTGGGCCTGGCTCGCATCCGGGCACTCTGGGCATGATGTTCCACTTAACCCCTGATTCAGACCTAGCAGGTGGGTGTTGTAGCCTGAAAACGAGGACACAGAGGAAGGTCACCAGGAGCTGCACATGAGCGTTGAAAACAACCCGGAGCCTGGCTGGTTTCAAAAGGCACACTCTGTCCAAGCAACACATCCTCTCTCCTTGGAAAGAGGCAGAAGGGGAGGTGAGGGAGTGTTGTCTCTGAGGGCATTTCTTTTTTTTTTTTTTTTTTTTTTTTTTTTTTTTGAGACGGAGTCTCACTCTGTCGCCCAGGCTGGAGTGCAGTGGCATGATCTCCACTCACTGCAAGCTCAGCTCCGCCTCCCAGGTTCATGCCATTCTCCTGCCCTCTGAGGGCATTTCTACACAGCCTCACAGGGGTGACACCCAAGAGGCGAGAGGCGTGATTCACGTGCTCCCTTTGCAGAGGTGGCTGCAGGGCCCCAGGCTCGGGCTACGGACATGAAGAGGGGCCTCACAGGACTCCTAGCAGACAGGAAGCACCCGACTCTCAGGACTTCAGAGACAGCAGCGCTGACAGCAGCCACCTGTGATCAAATATTCCTTTTGCTCCTTTTTCAGGCTTGGAGAGTCACTGCCAGAAGGCCACGTGCTTCCTGACAGCATAGTGGCACAGGCTGTTAAGTCCTGGGAGAGAGAGGCAGGGCTGCCACCCCTCAAAGGACAGAGGGGAGGTGGCCTCAGAGCCCCACTCACAGCCCTGGGAACTTGAATACCTCAAAGGCTGCAAAGACCTAGGCCCACACCCTGGCCACTCAGCCCCTGACACAACAGAAGCCCTCCTGGTCATATGGCTTTCAGAGAAAGGAGCCCAACTGCCACTGCTTTTCCCAACCCACTGTCCCCATAGGAATAGGAGGCTGAGATGCTCCTGGGTGCTGAATGGGAACCCCAGGCTAAAGGCGCAGAGGCAAGGCTGCAGGTGAGTAAGGAGAGAGGAGCCACTAGAACCAGGCACAGGGCAAGCAGCACCCACCAACTGTGGGCTTGGCATCCTTGGACACAGGGAACCTTTTTTATCCTCAGTTCTCTCATCTGCAAATGGCAACAATAACAATACCTATGTCAAAGGTAATTAGGAAGGTTAAAGGAGTCAGGGTCTCTAGAGTGTTTGGAACTGTGCTTGCAACATAAAAAGCACTCTACATGTGTTAACTGTTATTATTACCCCATTATCACTACTAAAACTACGACTATGAAAAGATAAGGAAGAAGCAGTATAAACACAGGAGCAGGAGAAACAAAGAAAAGGTCTTTTTTTTTTTTTTTTTTGGTAATATAATCCCTTACCAGAATCCTGTCCCTGGGCTCCTTCTGGGCTGTTAGAACACAGCCTTACTCTAAGGCTCAGGCTGCAGGGAGATGGGACTGAGCCCTCCATAGTCACCAAGTGGGCCCAGCCCAGGTTTTGGCAGTCAAAGTCTCCGGTCCCAGGAGCCTCCTTATTCCTAGCAAACTGGGATGGTTGGTCATCCCACATCACCTCTGAGAAGACAGCAGTGAGGCCCCACTTTCACTCACTTATGCAGTTGCTTAGTATGCACAGTACTGAGTTGAACATACTCCCTCCCTCCCTCTCTTCCTCCCTCCTTCTGTCTTCCCCTCCTTCTCTCCTTCCTTCCTTCTCTTATTTTGTTTATTTAGCTTAGATTCTGCTCATCCCCTCTCCCCCTTCATTTGCTGACCAGCAGCACACACATCTGCAACAGCAGAAACTGTGGCCAGCTATTAAGGGATGGGGTTGCTTGGGGAGCCTGCCAAATTACCAGGCAGAGTCCGGTGTCTGGAAGGGGGTCCAGTCCAGCTCTATTGCTTATTGTCTTAGTCAGTTTGGGCTGCTTTAACAAATACCATAGATTGACTGGCTTAAACAACAGACATTTATTTCCGACAGTTCTAGAGGCAGAGAAGTCCAAGATCAAGACAATGGCAGATTTTGTTGGTGGTGAGGGCCCTGGTTTAGAGACTGCTGCTTTCTTTCTGTATCCTCACAGGACAGAGAGAATGAGCTCCGTTCCCTTTATCCCCTTATACGGGCACCACCTCATCATGGGTTCCCTATTCTCATGACCCCATCCAAGTTCAATTACCGACCAAAGGCTCCATCTCCAATACAATCACATTGGGGATTACGACTTTGATGATGAATTGGGGTGGGCGGCAAACATTTAGTCTGTAGCACTTATTAATACAAAGGCTTTTGAATATTTTCACCAAGTCCAAACTCTCTCTGGATGGCCCTGGGGAACTAGCAACTGGATGCCCTTCGCTCCCTGAGGTGGCAGAGAGTAGAGAGGAGCTGCAGCTCCAAGCTTCCAGCCCTGGGTCCCATTCCTTCCAATGTGGGCTTAAGTGGCTGTGAATTTTCTAGGCTTCCTGGCAAGTTGGACAGACTGTGCCTTACTGTCCGGGTGTCTGTGTGTGTTTATTTAAGAGAAAGTGTGGAGGCCAGAGAGCAAGCAAAGGGCCAGAGTGCGGGAGAGAGCAGGCTTGTGTGTGCACAGGCAGGTGGGCAGGTCTGATTGACAAGATCAGAACAGAGCTCCTGGATTCAATCAGTCTCCCTCACCCTGGCAAACAATTCTGAGAGGCAATTAGGTGAGAGTGGAAGGGGGACTGGGGAGGGAAGCCAAGAAAGGGGTGCTTGGGGAGGGCTCCTAAGAGATGGGGCCCAGGGCTCTGGCCATAACCCTTTCCTGCTATTCCTGAGATCAGAGATTAGGACATGGAGGGGTGTCACAGTATCACATCTGGGATCCACAAAGCCTCTGTGCTTCTGTCCTGGGAAGCTCTGACCCAGACCACAAGGTATGGCCAGTGAAGTTCAGGTGGGGTGCCGTCCTCTCCTGGCACACAGTATGTGCTTCTAACATGGCTGACGTTCTGGCCCTTTATGCAGGGGCTTTGGCTGTTTTTCCCGCCCCATCCACCCTGATGGGGACTTGGTGAGTCCTAGGGAGTGGGCAGCACAGTTGAGCATCTCTCCCCTGCAGTCCTGCTCTGCATTGCAGATGGGAATCAGGAAGGAGTTCCGGAAGGACATTTCCAGGATTGCAAGTGTTGCCTTTCATTGGCTGTATTCTCTGACCTCCTCCTGGAGTTCACAAGGTACAGGGGAGGAAGGGCTGCTGACCACCGTCCGCCAGAGACAGCACTCTGGGTAGCAGAGCCCTGGGCACTGGTTCTCTGCCATCTGCAACCCTCATTCTGGATGTGAGCTGAGCAGCAGCTGCCTTCTGGAAGCTTCAATTGTAGCCCACGCCTCACAGAGGGAAGCAGTGCAAGAGTGGGGATGGCTCAGCGCTGGACAGTCCCCTTCAGGACTGAGGCAGCAAAGCAGTTCCAGGGACTCCCTGGGTCCACTGCCTGGGAAATCAATTGGGTCACCCTTGGTTTTGAAGAGGCGTGAGCCTGTCATGAGTATCCCAGACGCAAGCACCCTACCCTTGTCTTATTTATTTGTTTTACTTTCCCCATGAAAATGTAAGCTTCCTGAGAGCAAGAACTTCTTTAAAAACAAACAAACAAACAAAAAACACTCTGTCTCCCTAGCACTTAGAAAAGTGCTGGGCACAAAGCAGATTTCAATAAAATCATTCACCAAATGAAGGCATGAATAGGGAAGCATTATTATTCTATTCCAGCCTCATTTTACAGATGATGAAACTGAGATAAAGACGGGTTCATGAACTCACCCTAAGGATCCCTCCTAGCCTTAGGCTTTTGGGGAAGATGTGCTTACCAACAACCCTTACTCCCTGGAAGTTCTTCTGCTAGTCTGACTCGCTTCCTTCCTAATACAAGCATGGCTCATTTCCACCAGTGAAGTTCAGCTGAGAAACACATTCATCTGGAGTCCCTTGAAGTGAAGTGAACGTTTCCAGGTGAGGCTGCCATCTTGGAGGGAGGTTCCTCACCCCTTACTGGAAAGTCGCTGGTAGTAATAAGAACTGCCTCCACTATACATCTGTCTTTTTCTGCATGGAAGGGGAGGGCGCCTTTAAATTACTTTAGCTATAGATCTCACAATTACTTTCCCTCTCTCTAATTTGGATGTTAATGTATTAGCTGCAGCTTTGCCTTCTAGGCTAGAAATTGTTTTTCCCCCGCCCTGAAATTATACATCCAGATAGAGTAGTGTTCATTAAAGTAAGATTAGGAGAGGATAATATGTGAGAGGTATGTAATCTTTTGCAAATGGTTAGTAAATTGGAACTACCCCAATTACAATCTTGTTCATCACACAGGGCTGAATTACTCTGCCTGGGACGGGAGTCTCAGCCACAGCTCTGCTCAGCTCACATTTCATAAATATTGTATACACATGATATTCTCAGCCATCTGCTTCGCAGGTCGCTGGGCACGTTTTCTGACTTTCTGGTTGACTGCAGAGAGTGACAGGGCAGGGCGGCCATCCTGTGTGTTTACCTCAAAGCCCAGTGAGGCTGGCCTTCCCCTGGGGCTCTCCTGATAGCATATGCCTCAGGCTCGATGCCATGGACACACACCAGGCTCGAGGGCATCCTCTTTGCCCCCACTAAGGCCTTGCCACGGCCCCCAGGGTCTTCCCAAGCAGCGACCTGGGAGGTGTGCCTTGGGCTGTCCCTGAAGGGTCCATCTCTAGAAGGAACTTGGAGGCGGATAAAGGTGATTTAGAGAACCTGCCTCACTTCCTGGCTCAGGGTGGCTGGGAACTGGGCAGTGCCCTGGGTTGGCTGTGAGGTCCAGCTTCTGCCTCTCATGGGCAGATGGTCTGAGAGCATGGAGGGTGCGCCCTGCTTCTTACAGGTGTTCTGCTCAGCATCAGTGGCTGGGTCCATCTCTTCCTCCTACTCCTTGGATCTGACCAGAGCAGCTCCCTCTAAACACTTTGTTTCCCTAAAAGCTCATTTCTTTCCAAGAGAGAATGAAAGATGTGACTAAGAGCGAGGACCTTGGACTCAAAGTATCTGGGTTTAAATCTCTCCCTGCTATTTTTTTTTTTTTTTTTTTTGAGATGGAGTCTCGCTCTGTCACCCAGGCTGGAGTGCAGTGGCACGATCTCGGCTCACTGCAAGCTCCGCCCCCCGGGTTCATGCCATTCTCCTGCCTCAGCTTCCCATGTAGCTGGAACTACAGGCGCTCGCAACCAAGCCCAGCTAATTTTTTATATTTTTAGTAGAGACGGGGTTTCACCATGTTAGCCAGGATGGTCTCAATCTCCTGACCTCGTGATCCGTCTGCCTCGGCCTCCAAAGTGCTGGGATTACAGGCGTGAGCCCTGCCCTACTATGTACCAGTTGTGTGGTCCTGAACAAATAGCTTAGCCACTTTGTGCTTGGGTTTCCCCATCTGTAAAATGGGTAATAATTGTATCTATCCCATAGGGTTGTGCTGAGTTAATACTTAGAACTGCAACTGTCATACTGTAAATGCTCAGTAAAGGTTTGTCATTATTTCGTTGCAAAGATATCTTGGCTTTCTTCCTGCTGATTGCAGCATCTCCAGAAGACAGCATGCCAGAGAACGTGTGCTAGATGCGAGCTCTAAGCAGGAGGGAACCAGACAAAGACAAAGGGCTGGATCATTTTAAGTGTTAACAGTGTGCTCAGCACCATGTTTAATGGAGGTTACTTTATCCCATTCTCACAGTTTTTTGAAGCGTATATATTATTATGCCCACTGTACAGATGAGGAAGGTAAGGCTCAAAGCTTTTTGAAAAACAGACTTCCTGCTTCTGCCTTGTTTGAAATTTCCAGTTTGCCATTTGTTTTAGGATAAAATCCCAAATCCTTAACCTGGCCCATAAAATCCTCCATAATCTGATTCTAGCCCACCTTCTTGTTCACCCCTGCTCACTCTCGGCACTCCTATCTTATCGGCCTGTTCGTCAACATCCTACACCCTTCCACTTCCAGGCCTTCGCAGAGGCTCTTTCTTCTCCTTGAACCTGACTTCTCCTTCCCTTTTTACCTAAACAATTCGTATTCATCCCTCAGGTCTCAACACTTCTCCAGAGAAGTCTTCCTTGAACTGACAACCTCCAACACCCCCATCCCCACCTCCTAGATAAGGCTCCACTCACATATGACTTCACAGTAACCCATGGCTTCTTCATAGCACCTCTTACAACTGTAATGAAGTGCTCAACTGTGTGTGTTGTTTGTCTTACTAGAATGCAAGCCCCATCAGGACAGGGTCTGTGTTAGTCAGGAGAGACTGGACTCTGTGGTGGAAACATAAATCCCAAATCTTATGTTTCTCCCTCATGTAACGTGTCCTGTGGGGTTGAGCAAAGGCTTCTGCTCCACCTTGTCACTCAGAGATCCAGGACAGGGGAGGATTCAGTACCTTGTGTCTGCACCGTGTGGAACATTGACATTTTCAGTGGCTGCAGCAAGGCAAGGGAAACATTGGGGAATCATGTGGGCATAGGTAAAATGCAGGTGCAGCACAGAAAGGAGGCACGCACTCTGCCCAACTGCAAGGGGGCTGAGACCTACAGAGGAGCAGGTGGATTATTTGATCCGCCATAGGGTCTTAACCAACGTGTTCCCTTGTGTGTTCTCCATGTCTAGCACATTGCTTGGCACATAGTAGGAGCCCCAGAATATCAGCTGAATGAATGAGCGTGCCAACATAAGTCTATCCAGATCGCGTAGCCAGCACATGGTGATGGAGGTGGGCTTTGGACCACGATCCTCCTATTTGCAAAATCTTTGGCCTTTGCACTCTACCTTGTAGTCACTCCTGATTTATGGAATGCCTTTTTTCCTCCCCATGTAGAGAACAGAATATCATGCATTTAGCCACTTAATAGATTTGTTTTTCCTGATGAAGGTGATGAAAGTTGCATGTCCTCCAATCAGCCTTGCAATCAGCCATTCATCCACTCACCCAAGACAAGTGGCAATTCAAAAGCAGCTAACATTTCTTAAGTGCCTACTGTGTGCCAAGTGTGTGATTCCAGCTAAGGCACACAAAAGCTTGGTGAGGTGAGTGCTGTGTTTCCTGCTTTGCAGATGAAGACACTGACACTGGGAGTGAAGCCTGGACCCAGATGCAGGTCTGCTGGCTGAAGTCCAGAGCTCTTCCCCCAGAGCAGTCAGTGGCTGTTACAGTGGAGCAGGCATCGGAATCACCTAGAGGACCAGAGCAAATGCAGATGGCTGGGCCTTGCTCTAGTTTTCATTCAGTAGAAGTGGCGGGAGGAGGGGGGGGTGGCCTGAGAATCTGCATTTTTAATGCACTCTCAGGTGACACCAGGTGGCAGGCCCAGTGCCTATGTTTTGAGAATGGCTTCCCTACAGCATGCTGCCTGGGGAGGGTGAGGAGGGTTTCCTCTGTTAACTGGGCTCTGGTGTCGTGGCTGGAGGAGCTTGGGGGTCAGGAACATAACATCTCGGGTGGCTGGTATTTGGTCCTCCTCTGTGAGGCTGCCTGCAATCGAAGTCTGTAAAATGAAGGGGTTGGACGGGATGAGCTCTGGGGGTGCTCTGCAGATCTGACAGGCTGTGTTCTGTGATTGGATGAGCGAAACCAAAGCTACAGATTCCATTTAAGTCTCTTCCTAGGTGGGAAGTGCTACAGACTAAAGATTTTATAACAATAGATACCCAGGGAAGTCAAGGAGTTATCGAGTAGCCACTGTGTGCTCAGCATATTGGAGGGCTGTGGGGAATCCAAGACAAGTGTATGATATGACCCTGCTACTCCAGGTACCAACAGCCTGGTTGTGCAGACAAAACACACACTGGAAACAATGAGAGAAAAACGTGTCAGTATATAACCAAGTGCTAATTGGCGTGAACCTGGTTAGGAGCTACCTATGGGGTTTAGGGAGCCCCAGGGGGAAGGTAAGCCTCCTGGAACCTAAGAGTTTGAGAACCTATAACTAATATTTGTGTACAGCACAGTATTTTAACCCACGTGAGCCCCATGGCAAGGTGTGAGGTGGACATTTTAAAGATGAAGAAACAGACTCAGAGACTTGCCCAAAGTCAACTTTTATTAAGTAAAGAAATTGGGATTTGAACCCCAGCCTGCTGATAACAGAGCCCTTGCTCTGCAAAAGGTATGGGAGGTGAAGCAAGGGAGAAGGGAGGGACAAGCAAAGACGTGCCAGGTGCATTCCATCTAGGCCATGTGCAGAGGCTTGGGTGAGATGAGTTGGCAGAGAGGTTGGGTGAGCAAAGTGAATGTCAACTTGATAGATCTGAAAAGCCGCCCTGGGATCCTTGAGTACAATGAAAATACTAAAATCATGGAATGGGTACAAGGAGTGTTTTATTAGGTTGGTTCAAAAGTAATTGTGGTTTTTGTCACTTAAAAAATGTCATGGCAAAAAACGCAGCTGCTTCTGCATCAATCTAATACACCGCTAACACTTTCGTCTCATCCAGGGATGTTTGTGGGGAGTGGCCAGTGTTCAGATACATCCGTGCACAGTAGCAGAGTTACTCCAGATCCTGGAGGCTCTGAGTCTCCACCACATCTCTCCAGGCCACTGATGGTCCAGACATCTTTGTGTGAATTAGAAAAAAAGATATCCCTTCCTCCAAGAAGTTGCAACTCCATGTCAGGACACAAAGCTTGGCTAGAGGGTAGGCTGGATCAGTGTCCGCATCCATCCCTGTGCACCCCTTTGATCCTGTAGCTTGGTCAATTCCTAAGTCTGTACCGCTGCATCTTGTAGGCTTGTGTCCCTACCACTGTGTGTGCATGCACGTCCACACCACACACACACACGCACACAAAGGAGTATGCATAAACCAACACCCTCTCCTTGCCCCAGGGAATTCTTTACTTGTGGGGTAGGGATACCAGAAACCTGTGTGACTTCAAGCTGTTTCATTTCCTACTTCCCAGAAGGCTTTTTAACAGAATTTCTTCTAAGAGGGTTTGCTGGCTGGGCTGGAAGCAGCTACAAGAATGAAATCCACAAGGTCAGGGAGAAGCAGAGCAGGTGATGCTGTATGTATCTGACTCTAGGAATACAGTAACAAAGGAGATGGTGCAGGGAGGCACCAAGTCAAGGGCAGATGAGGCTTGGGAGGCTCTCCCCTCCCCCATCAGACTGTTAACATGGAATACAAAGCTCAAGTCTTTATTACCAGAAAAAAAAAAAAAAATAACAGTAGGAGAAGAGTGGGAGCCAGTAAGAGGGGAGAGAAGAGAGAGCCACATGCTGAAATCAATACCGCCCAGGACAAGCATTATCCCATGTGGAACACCTCAAGCCTCTGCCTAGAAAATTTGATTGGATCTTCAGAAAAACCTATTAGTGTGTTGTCAGGACCTTCTGGTGATAACTGACCAGCTCTCGCCAATCGATGCTCTTCACTTGTGGAGCTCCTGATTTTTTAACAGCATAATAGTTTTTTTAATAATGGGCTGGCTCACCCACTCCAGCAAGCAGGGAGTCAAAGTCAGACTCCCAACTTAAAATATAGAGAAACCCGATGCTCCAGCCACTTCTTCCTAATTGCACAATTACTTTATGAAGCACCAGGGATGGAAGGCTACAGTGGGGAGGGGCGGGGGGGGAGGTGTGTGGCTTTTTTTCAGTGAAGCGAGGTTGTTAAGAAAAGTCACAGAAGTAATTACACAAGTCAAAATTATTTACTAAATGAAAGCCATTCTTCACCAAGGAACCTTTATTTATTTTTTTATAAAGGAAAAAGGCAAAAATTGGATGATCCCAGGATGGTGAGGACATCATAAAGCAACAATGGAATTAGTCATCAATTATTACAGCTTTTTAATTTTCAACTCAAGAGAGGGCAACCCATACTTTCCTTAGGGTTTTAAAACAGCAGTATTTTTGCTCTTTACCGCGCCTTGGATCTGAGATGTCAAAGTACTTTACAAACAAATACCTCCAAACACTTTGGGATTGAGGCTTTTTACAGATGGAGAGCAGGGCCCAGGGAAGAAGCGATTTGCCCAAGGTCACGGCTGAATCAGAGGCACAGCTGGAAACACTACTCATGAATACTGGCTCCTGGAGTCGGAGCTCATCAACACCAGCCTGCCACCTCCCACACACACCAAAACAAAACCCCAAAGCCGGAAAACAGCAGCAGGAAGAAAAGTCACCTGCCCTCCACAGCCCAGGGTGTCCACACTGACAATTTGCTGTACACATTGGAAGCTGGGTGTGCAGGTCAGATATCTCTACAGATTGCCATTGCTGGACCCAGGAGAATCAGTCATTAATGAAAGCTGAAAGTGCACTCTGCATATTTGGGCAGATCAGCTTTCCATCCTGAACCCCCAGGTGTATATGTCAGAATTCTGGGCTTCCAGGAGGCGTTGATGGTTCATGCGACAGTTTGCTCTGCCTACGTGGCAGGTCTGGTTCTTTTCTGTGGTGGCTCCCTCCAGAACTTGCTCTACGTGCTCAGAGTTGCAGTGCAAGATTCAGAGAAGACACAGTTAACAAGAGAGGGAGAGAAAGAGGAAAAGAAAAGAAGGAAGACAGAGGAGAGACTGCTTTGAAACCTGTGCAGGCCCTAGAACCTCTTTTTGTGAAGCCTCCATTCCACACTATGTCACATACATTACAGTCCCACGTTGAATACAGTTTCTGATTATTTACCAGTTACGTTAGGTTGCAGTTTGCTGATGACAACGTTATGGTTTTGTAGATATTTAATTAAACATTTAATACATTTGATTTTACAGTTTTCTTGCCTTCCCTGGATTTTAGAGCTCATATATATACATTTTTTTCTTTCCAGGTCTCAGATATGTTCACAGGCTCTTGAAATGTTTCTATGGCATAGGCACTGTGCTTTCTGACCTTAATGGATAAAACAGCTTAGAGAGATAGGAGAAGGGAGACGTGGGGAAAAAATGATGTTGACGATGACAGAGCAAGAAACAAAATTTTAAAAACCAAACCCAAACAAAAATTTAACGAAGCATACAGAGGGAGTTCTCAAAACTTTAAAATTGCTGGTTAGAAAGAAAAAGGAGACCCAGGGCTTACCAAGATATTTCTAGGAAAGAGACAGACACTTGAAAGACCCATCCAACCACGGATGAAAAAAAATCTCTCTCTTATTATTCAATAATTTATTGAGCACAGGGCCAGATACTGCACTTGGCTTCGGAGATACAGAGCTGGATCAGATACAGTCTCTACTCTCAAGGAATTTACTGTTTTTATTGAGGGAGACAGAAAGGTAAACAAACAGTTCAGATATGTGATAAGGACACAAATTGAGGTAAGCATGAGGAATTGAAAAAGCACAGAGAAGCAACCCGAAGGATGCAGAGACATTCTCAAAAGGAAGAGGACACCCCTGAATATTCAAAGGCACAGAGGTGGGATAGGGTAGGGGCCAGGGGCCAGGGGCAGTGGAGGATCACGGGGTGACACTGAAAGTCCAAACTGAATTGATGGCAGATTGTGAGGATTTGGATTTAGGCTGCAGTCAAAGGTTAACCAGGAGTGGTTCCCTGGCAAGGGAGGGACTGGTGATGGGGCTGGGGAAGGAGGAGGGGAAGCCAGTCCAGAGGCTGCCACATTCTTTTGTTTGAAGGTAAAGGGCCTGGACCAGGTGAGTGACATGGAAATGATGCATTCAGGTCAAGTTTGATAAGCATTAGGGGGGCAATGGGCAGGAATTGCTAACCACTGGAGGCAAATAACCCAGGTTTCCAGTTTGGGAGACTGATCATGCTATTAAATCAGATGGAATATAAAGGAAGAAGTAAGTTTGGAGGAAGCTTTTCATTTCCCCAAGCCTCAGGATCCTAAAGCGGGTGCCATGCTAGGGGGGATGATGTCCCAAAGATTCCCCCGAAAAGTTGCTGGGAAAACCCAGCAAACACTTATTGGGTGTAGGGACACAGAGTCCGGATAGGTTACGAGTTTCCTTTCGGGTCCCTCTAGCCAAGACAGAAACACAGCTCTAGAAGCCCAACACTAGAAATCTGTTCATTCTGCCTCAGAAGAAAGGGGCTTGAAGTGAATAGAGACAGGGAGGGGGTGTGATAGATACTGCTAAGGCCACGTGGAGTGCAGGGCGGAGGCTCTGCTGTGATTCATGGTTGAAGGGAGTTTATTGGAAGTTAGCTAATAAAAGCTCCCAGCTATACTCAAGCATCTGTGTTCTCCCTGGCTGGCAACACACCCTACATAATAGTTGGTGTGATGGCAGAGTCGAGTGGAGACACAAATATCTATCCATCACACCAAATTCATTGGGTTAAACTCCCATCACCCAGAGCTGACCCTTTCCTTCCGGAGGAAGTAATGAGCTAGAAATAAGTGCTATCGGAAGCTGAGTCTAAGTAAATCTGTAATCACAGACATTTCAAACGGTAGCTTCCTTCAGTTTGGGCTTTTCAAACAGATGGATACTCTACCATGAAATTGCCAAGATTAAAAAGAGAACACTAGTTTAACACACATGGCTGGGGAAATGGCCGGGGCCATCTACAGAGCAGGATTCCCACATCTTGGCCAGAGACTTGCTCGGCATTCATGGGAGGTAAACAGCCCCAAAGAAAAGCAACTGCATTTCTTTCTTGGTCTTCCATGTTGGCAGAGGGGAGACAAATGAGGACACTCTGGTTTGGGGATGGCATGAATGAACCACACATGTCCATAAATAAACCCGGAGCCCTCCAAACACACTGCTTGTTTGTTCACACAAAAGCCAGCCTGGCAGCCCTCTGGCCCAGCCATGTTCACAGTTGGATCCTTAACGCACTGTGAGTGTTCAATCAAACTTTTAGTGGTGAAACTCTGGGAGCAGAAAGCCAGCTAAGCCCAAATGGTCCCTTTGCTTTTCCATCTTTTGTGGCTGCCTGGCTGTGCTCTTACGGGTTTTGTTGTCAACAAACTCCTGGCTTGCCTTTGAGCACTCCAAATTATTGAAAATGACTACAGCTTAAGACTGGCAGGATGATTGTTAAAAACAGCCCTGGCATTAATCATAGCTTAAGAGCTTTTGGAAAATGATTCTAATTCAGAAGGGGTGGCTTACAAAGAGCCTTGTCGAAAGTGAAGCAGACATCAAATTCTGAAAGGCAAAAAGCCTCCTTGGTACCCACACCTGGCTTCTTCTGCAATCCAGTTGGCAGAACTGCATGGGGGGCACGGCTTACCCCACCAGCTCACCCCATCTGAGACCACCTTGGGTTTTGCCCACGAGTCCTGTATCACCCCTACCTCTGATATGGGGACCTTGAGATGGGAGAGACTTCAGGGAGCACCAGCAGTTACAGTCTTCCTGGCAGTCCTGGGACTAAGGAAGAGGTGGCCTTGTTTTCTGTCAACAGTTGGCATGCCTTAGACCAGTGCTAAAATAAGCTGTGTGCATAGAGGCAGCTGCGTAGGCAAACACATGGTCAGCATTTGCAAGGAGCCAGGCAGGGCGACGAGCTAATACTTCTGCCTTTTGCCTGCCTGGCACAACAAAGGAGAATGATTTTTGCCATCAGCATTCTCCCTATCACGGAATCATTGCACAATTTAGTATGATTAATGGTTTCCATTTAGGAGAAGCTGAGAATGAAAACAGTGGGGGAGTGGTGGCACTCGCTGGGGGTGTCTGCGGGTGATACTAGAGTGAAAGGGAGAGAGAGCTGGCCGTTGCCTGCCAGCCTGTATCTTCCAACCTTTACTTCCAGGCACGACTGGGGAGACACGGTGGGGCAGAGACACATGGCTTTTGACATGCTTTTGCAGAAACAGTCTGAAAGCTGCAAACTTGTGAGGCACTGTTTGCTGTTTCATTCTTGCATCCTTCCCAATGTTTGTGACTGTGAAGCCACTCCCTTTTACCTGCCAAAGGGAGTGCCAATCCCAGAAGTTCCTAACTAAGGGCTGGGGCTGAGAGTGGTCAGGGCACAGTGATGAGGATAGTGGAACTAACTACACCACTTCTTGACATTCCTGATGGCCACGCGGGGATGCCACACAGGGAGGGAAGGACCCCACCCATGTGCTGGGACTGTAGGGGTGGCCTCCAACGTAGCCGTCTGTCTCTGGAGCACCCAGCTGGTGGTAGACCTAGTCTCAGCTCTCATCGGGTGGCTTTCCTGGGAGTTCTTCTTCTCCCCTCAGTAGCATCCTTTTATTTCCACTTCTGTAGGCTTCTTTTTGGGTCTCACGGCTGCTGCAGGTGAGTGGTGAGACAAAAGGTGCCATAGCCAGGGACTTGTGGGTGCTGATGGAAACCAACCAGGAAAACACAGAGAATTCAAAAGGGTCTGCATTTTTTTTTTTTTTTTTTTTTTTTTTTTTAAGGCATAGCCTTTGTAACTGAAGCCAGATAGAGAGAAAATTGGTGATCTTGGCTGGGGCTAACGTGACTCAAGGCCCTTCTCGATGCATTGGTGTCTCTGCAAGGAAATCTATTATTTTCCATAAACTGTCTTAAGCATCTCCCGGGCTACATTTCTGGCTGTGTTAAGAATCAAGCCATCAAGAACAGCTGTGAATGTTATACAATTTCAGCAGCAGCAATGGGCTTTGGCAGGGAAGTAGGAGCAAAAAACCCAAGTAGGACATTTCAGTTGACAGTAATGGCATTTTCCCTTCCTTGTCCAAACGATAAAAGATTCATGTTCCTAATTGCAACACTATAGCTGCCCTCATCACTTTATTCTGGGAGAGGAGGTTAGAGAAAACAGGCCTAGAGAGAGGGAGAGAAAGAGAAAGAGAGAGAGATGGATAGTAATTTCGTCACTAGCTAACAGAGACTGATTAGTGCAGAAGATTCCCTTCCATAGCAATACTTTTTAATCAGGTCTGCTGTGTCTGGGCAAACAGCTTTTGTGGATTAGCTAGACTTGCACTTGCCAGCATCCATTGCAGGTTTAAACGATGAAATACACAACTACAGAGAAAACAAACCAAAAAGAGTAATAAAGTCACACATTTCAATATTCAGCAACCATTAAGGGATTTAAATATTTGCTTGCTATTAAAGGCCTGCATTAGGCTCTTCCAACACCAGCTCTGGAAGACTGAAATATCAATTACGGATCAATTTTCCCCCTAAGTAAACACTAATGCAGGATAAACAGTATTAGAAGATGCAATCGTAACATTGCTGACTTCAGGATGGACTTCCTGCTGGTAACAGCAAGTTTAAGCCTGGTGATTAATTAACCTGAGAAGATAGCACTTAAGGAAGATTTGAGGCGGTCACGTCTGAAATATGACTGTGAGCCTGTGCACGTCTGGAGGGCAGCTGAAGTCCCGGGCCCAGAGAACCGGTTGATTTGCCCCTCAGTAGTGGTTCTCACCTTCCCCAGATCAACACTTCGAAGGATTAGGAGGGAGTAAAATGGGAGGCGCAGGTAGGTGTGCATGTGTGTGAGAGAAAAAGCAGTAGACAATGTCAGGTTCCTTGTTGGAATACATTCTGCATTTCAATAGGCAAGGCTCGAGTTGTATTTCCCAGCACTGACCACCAGGGGCAGTAGACATTTTATGTTTTTTGGGAATGAAAAAAATAAATAAAAACATAAAAATGAAACAAAGTTTCCTGTGTACTGAAGAGGCTGGAAGCTGAGGTTTGGAACACCTGAAAACAGAGAAGATTCTTGCTTTCAGGTCTCAGTTCAGGGATGCTCATGTGTAATGATGTGAGTGTTGGGTGGGGGGTGGTGGGGGGGGACTGAATCCTGCAGTTCCTATTAGAGGCACATTTCAACATTTTGAGATAAACACAGATAAGGCAAGGACTATAGTTTGCATTTTTAAAAGAGGCCATATTGCATTCTGAAGGCCCCTCACAATATATGATAGCAATACTAAGGCTTTGCTTGGCCATTACCCAAAATGATATTCCCTGATACTATTCCAGTGGGTCCTTGAGAATGATAGGGCCAATCGCTCTAAACTCAGGACTGGCTGGCTTGTCCCTTCACGGCCAACCTGAAAGCCACCTGTAGTAAGGATGGACATGCAAACATCAAGGTTTGAAATACAGCATCGGTGGCCCATTCAGATTAAGTGTAACGTAAGGCTCAGTCAGCCAGGTGCTCGACTCTTCTCCCTTTAATCAGCTGATACTTGCTGGGTGACTACTGCGTGCCTGACAGGAACTTTAATATGGTATTGACCTACAAGGTCATGGATGAGCCAAGAGTCCCTTCTTTCTTCTCCTGTACGGGGGGCCAGCGCTTCAAAAACTATACATGTATGGCTGTGAATACAAATTTCACCCTGAAGGAATGTGGCTGCCAGTTCTTCATGACAAAGGGCTGCGTATTTGGGATCCTGGCAAAAAGGTGTATTAATCTTGGGCATGATTTTATAATAAAACAAAAATACCTTCACTTAAGCAGGGTCTTTCTACCTGTAACACAGTGGCCACATGGTTTCTTTGAGGTTCTTGATGACAGAATCAAAGGAGCATTTCTCCATGGAGCAAGTCCACAGCGGTAAAAGAATTACATTTCAGGTAGACAGAGGACAGTGAAAGATTGCACCAATTAACACCCGCATATCACCTCAGGGTTCCAGTTGATGTATTTGGAGAATGCCAGGCCAAAACATTTGTGAAAACTCTCTGGGGGAAACGAGGGCCATTTTCACTCTCGTACGCACTCTTCTCAAATGAAGGAGTGGGCAACTTATCAAGATCCTTTGAGCGGGGACGGCTTCTAGCACCTTCTCATTTGCATACCCTGTGGAGCTCAAAAGGCAAATGTACAGCAGTCACCACCTCCTGTCTGCCTCAGCTCAAGGAACTTCTGGGACTTTTTTCTGTAGGGTACAGCTAAAGCTGGAGCCTCATGCTGCAGACAAGAGGGAGAGGGGTGGGGAGACTAAACATACTGCATGCCACGTGGCTTGGAATAAGTCTGCTAATGAATGGTGAAGAGAAAAGGGTCATTAAACCTTCTAAGTCGTGGTTTGCAAGGGCATGATGTGTCTATATGCAGAGGAGCCCTCAGAGCTCCCTCTGAGTAGTGACCGCTTCTTCGTAGCCCTGGGTAACCTTCTATCGTTTTAGTCACCATTTGCCTCTATCCTGTGACTGACATGTAATGAACAAGTAGTGTGTGTCTGGCACCTTTTTGGCTGAGCGCTGACTGCATATCTCACTGATCTTTCCTAACAACCTTCGAGGCTATGGTGATGTCCACCTTGCAGAGCAAGAGACTGAAGCCAGGTAGGCTGGGCTACTCACCCGAGGTTTCACTGCTACATGGTGGGACAGGGATCTGAATGCAGGCAGCCTCTCTCTAGTGTGTGCTTTTGATCCTTATTCTATCTCTCTGGGTCTTTTTATAGAGATGCAATGAATGAGTACTCCCTACTGCTCCTTGCCCTCTGGCAGAGGCTGGGAGAGGTCACTGAAGTATCGAGTCCTCTGCCCGGACTTTTCAGTACAGCCACAAGACCCATCCCACCCTGCACACGGAATTGCTTTCTTCTCCCCATACAAATCAGCAGGCTGGCTGGGCTTGTTGCCCTCTGTACTTTTGACTCACATTCCTTCTCCACGAAACCATCCTTTAAGATCCAGCTGGGGTCCCAGCTCTTTGTGAAGCTGTCTAGGGACTCACCAGCCTTCACTGATTACCCTTCTCCAGAAAATTCTCATAGCACTCTCTGGGCTTCTCTGTGTTCAGTGGGGCACCCATGGCTCAGGGTCACTTCAAGTTTTCAGGTGATGTAACTGATGCTCTACTTGGCCTCCAGAGACCGCCTTATACTTCTCTGCATCCCTCACCATGCTGGACATACAGCAGGTGCTCAATAACTGCATATCTGATTTTTTTTTTTTTTTTTTTTTTTTTTTTTTTTTAACAGAGACAGGTAAGAGACCAGGCCAGGATGGAAGTGGCTCAAGGGGAGATGCACAGCCTTCAGTCTTTCTGGAGCTTACCTTTGCTTTTCCTATGGAACTTTCCCCATGACGTGGCCAAGGGAGAAAAGGGGAACTCATCAACCACAGCTGAGGGGATGGTGGGAAAAGGGCACTTTGGGCCTGGCCAGACGTTATCTGCACATTTATAAGATCGGCCACCATGAAGTGTAGTCATTGCTCACTTCAGCCTGCAAGGCAAGGACGATGACAACAGAGCAAATCCTGCTGTCTACCCAGGCCTGGAAGTCTCAGCAACCTAAACAGCAAGTGAGAACAATCTTCTGCAGGCAGCCAAGCCAGTCCTCCACAGCTCACGTCTTCTTTTTATGAAAGGAGAGAGAACTTTCAAGGAAGAAGGCAGAATGAATTGTTAAGACACAAACTCCCAAAGTAAGAGACAGGTGGAGCAGCCAACACAGGGAAGTTGGTGAGGGTGGGGGGGCGGTGAGAGAGGGGATGAGTGCGGAAGACACATCTACGGGAGCGGCCTGTTCCGGCGGGCCCGCCACGACAGCTCGCACACCTGCACAAATCGCTGAGTCCACGTGGGAGCCCAGACTCAGCCACGGCACAGCACTTGGCTCACCTGTCCACTGAGAGTGGGGAAGAGAACAAGGACAGGAAGGATGAGCGGAGAAGGAGAGAGAGCGCGGCCCCCAGCAACCCAGCCGGCAGCATGTCCTAGCATCTACTGCCAGCGTTCCTGGCCCCGTACATGGTCCTAAGGAGGAAGCTGGGACCAGAGGCCCATCTCTTCTCTCACTCGGAGGCGTCCATAAGAAGTCCATAAAGAGATTAAAGGATCACTTTGTAACATTAATTTTTTTTTATTAAGAAGACAGATATTTTATAGTACTTCTTTTTTTTCTTTTTTTTTTTGTAAAAATGGTATACATGAACCAATACAAAATGCGAATGGGAACATATGGATATGGAGTTTCTTACACTGTAACATTGTCCATGTACACCTTAAAAACAGAACTGGCCTAAAGGGAAAAATAAGACGTCGGTGTGACTAAAGAACAAGCTTATTTGGCATCAATTATACATCCTTCATTATTTTATATTCCTTTAAAAAACACAAAAAACAAGTTTGTTCTTTCTTCACTCTAAAAAAAGTGATCAACCTGTACAAAGTAATACTCAACAATACATTTCAAACAGTGCACTGTATACTTAAGAAAAAATACATAAACCAATATACAACTAAAATCCATAATTTCCTGTTTTTGCTTTGTTTTATTATTATTTTTTCCAATGTGTGGGGCCTACACTTTGCAATCTACCTGAGACGGAAAACACCAATCGCAACACATGAACCTGAGACATGTCAACATTGTAAGCCATAAAGTTACATCAGGAACACTGCACTACTGTACACTTTTCAAAACAGAAAGATGGGAGGTCCCAAAAATGAGATGCCAATTCTGTGAGCAATGGTGTGATTTTTTTTTTTTGTTTTTGTTTTTGTTTTTCTTTTTTTCTAAAAAGAACAACTGAAAAAAAACCTTTCAACAACATGCTAAATGATTCTCACCCTTTGATATGATTATACTATGGTCGGAATGGGTGCTAAGGGCTCGGAATAGAGCTGCAGATTATAAAATTCATTGAAAAAGGGATGTTCATTGTGGCTTTTTGTCTTGGTTAAGTGCCTAGGGATAGGGGAGGGGTAAATAAAATGCTGCTCGATAATGGATTTTCTTTTACATACCAGTCCGTTCCCAAAAGGCCCCCATATTGCAATGGTTCTATCAAAGGTTAAAATAAAGACAAGAAAAATAAACATGTTTTCAAATAACAAAGAGTTGACACTTTTTCCCCCTTAAATAAATCAGCATAAGTTTTCCACATAATGTAACAATAGTAAAAATGCACCTTGCAAAATCCAAAATTACTCACTGAAAATGTAATAGAATATATATTTATATATATATATAGATCTATCTTTTTTGATGCCATCTTTCCATAGGGACTGTTAGCTGGAGTCTGGAGTCTTACCAAACATATGGTAAGAGTTTAGTTTCTGTCCTTCAGGACTACTTCTAGATTTCCTAGACGTTTCAGTGAAAATCCCCACACTTCTTTCTTTAAAACATGTAAATGGTAACGTGACTCCTCTACCTTTTCCCGAGGCTCCCCATCTAAGATATGTTCAAGGTCACTGATTTTAGTAGCTATGCACTATGGCTGCCATCATGCGAGGATCAGTAATTTTTGGCAGATGGTTCTTAAGGCTGAGGAAAGAGGCCAAGGCTAGTGTATGAAAGGTAAAAAGATAAAAACACTCACATTTGAGTTTTGATTAAGTAACTGAAAATCCGTACATGCTGTTTTTCCACCTCTGCTCTGACCTATCGAGAACTGAGAGCGACAGCAGACCAGTGTGAGAACAATACCAGCCCTTCTTTTGTACCTCCTGCCTTTGTCAAGCCAAATCTGAAGGAATGAAAGTTTCACACAGATTCGAGTTGGAAATCCCAGCATGACAAATATCTGTAATATACAGTACATGCAGGCCACATCCTACTGCCTTCCTAACTAAGCACAAAGGAAAAAAAAAAAAAAATCAACTCTGTCCCATTCAGTCATTCGCACAACAGACGAACTTGCTTTTTCCTACAAATTAGTGAGAAGTAAGGCCGATTGGGAAAGGTGGATGGAATCATTTGGAACAGAAACAACCAGAGCAGAACTGTATTTCCCCCCTCCCTACTTCCCCTCCTGTGGCAACTCAAAATTTGTCCACTTATATAAAAGGAACAGACCTCACCTGTCAGGTCTGTTTAGGGCATGGAAAAAGGAGGAGTCCTTTCTGCCCCAAACCTTTCTGGACAGCGTAGGGTATCTATACTGAGCCGTCTACAGATACAGAATTAAAGACAGTGAAATTCAATCTCATTGTGACACACCTCACTTGCAGATAACCCTGTACAGTAATGTAGTTCCACAGCAAACAGAACATTTTCTGAATCACAGTCTAATTTTCTAGTCTTCACTGCTCTAAGTATTTGAAACATGGGCAGCAGCAAAGAGTTTTCATTGTTTGTTCACCCAAATCTTTACGACAACAGAGAAGAATGCATTATGGATACACTAAATTCTGAACTATGAAATCTAAGCTGTGCTGGTTCTCCTTTTATGAAACTGAATTTGGAACAGAAAGCAGTTACCATAAAAATAAACAAAAGTAAAAAACTAGAACAGAAAAGGGAAGGAAAAGAGTCTAAGGAATCCCAGCAGGCAAATTCCAAAATGGGAGATTTTGGAAAAAATCCGAAATTGGGGTAGAGGGAGGAAATAAATGTGCACAAAGGGGGAAAAGAAAGGAACGCAACAAACAAACAAAAAACAAGGCACAGAATTTTCTGCAATCTACTGAAACTAAATCCAAGTATCCAAGTTTGACTTGGTAGGAAGAAATAAAAATTAAACAAACAAACAAACGAAAAAAGAGGTGTCAAACAGCAGAGTGTACTTTCCAAAGAACATTTTTTTTTTTTTTACACAGCAAATCCCAAGCCTTCCCAGTCTCACACCTTTCCACCCATTCATAAAAAAACACACGAATTTCTCGCAAGTTCCAATATCACTGTCTCTTTATCATCTAAATAGGGCCAGTTGGACACCTCATTGAAACAAAAAGGCTGATCTAGATGAAGTACTCTTTCTTTTCTTCGGAGTTGTTCTGTCCTCCTTCTGCATTGATTATAGCTGTGTCTGCGTCTGCTGCGTCATCGGCTCCTTTGGCTTCATGAGTGAAGTATGTACCTGAAAGATGAAGGGGTAAAGCACCGTGACTGTCTGATGGCCTCTGTGTAAAGTGGTACAGAGATGGCAACTTGCTTTATGGCCATCATCAGCCGAAGTGGTGTGCAGGCAGCAGAGGGGAAAAAACAATTGGAAGAAGAGAGCGGGGTGGGTGAGACAAAGGGGGATCCGGGGGTTCCAAAGGCACCACTCCAACTGAACCGCTGCGATATAATTCAGCAAATGAGACATTAGAGCAGTGATTATGACCAGAGGATGTCAGCAGAAGAAGACGTGAGTGGGAGCTAAAAATGCAGAAAGCTGGAGAGGGGCTGACTAACGTATAAACAGTAAACACCAATGACCAATGACCAGATATGTGCACGTACATTGTTAAAGACCAAAGCAAGGAAGAGCAATTAGCCAATAAATGAATTAGGGCCCTGATGATGCTTCTGTTGTCACCTCAGCTCATTTATTTGAACCACCGTCCCGTGTCTATATGAATCATTGTTGCCTACCCATAGGTGAGAAGGTGCTTGAACTTGCACAAGTATGTTTGATTTTCCTGTCTTCCACTTCAGAGTGAGGTTCCAGATTGAGAAAGAATTTGACATTATAATAGCAGGGATCAAGGTTTGGGATCTGTCTTAATGAGCAAGTAGGTCTCTCTCATCGTATAACTCTAGCCCGGACCCGGATTCATGGATTTGCTAATTGGCACAGCCACTTTATAATGACAATAGACAGACATTACACAGCTGGGGACACTCTTATCACCAAATCCCAACAGTTTACATGGAGAACAACAAAGACTGCACCTCAGTATGCTATATAGGTAGAAGTTAAACTGCCTACCATAATCAAATAATCTTCCTCCCATTACATACTGTATTCCTGAAGAGTCTTCTATTTAAAAAGGTTGAGACATTTGCTATATTTTCAGGTTTTCAAAGTAACAAATCTGAGAAAGCAAGAGGTCAAACGCTTCTCAGTATCCTTTTTTCTTGCTGCAGAGTGACACACATGTTCCCCTCCCCTGGTCCTTCACAGCTGCTGCTCGGATGCTGCCCTGCTCTCTGGCCTTACCTCCTGTCTCTGTCAAGCTTACCACCGAGAGGCTGGGAGCTCTTGGCCAAACAGACTGCCTCCTGAGTGTGGGCAGAGGGCGAAGTATGGACAGCTCTGATCGTCCTAAACTGTTTTATGCTTGAGACAGGCACTCTGTATCCTAAAGGTGCCTAAGTACCTTAGACCTCCACTGCTGTGCTCAAGGGACCTTCCCCCAAACCCAAGTTCAACAGTCAAGCAGTATGCAAGCACCTAGAAAACCCCGCAAGCTCATTGCACAGTGCTTGAGAAAAATAACTGAGAGAGACAGGGGCGGACAAAGAAAAGGAAGAATAAATTACCAAGAGGGAAGAAGAGGATCAGAGCAGCATGGGGCAGACAGGAGGGGCATTGGAAAAGATGATTGCCCATCCAGACTGCACAGTTGATAAGTGTGATGATTAATGGCAATTTAAATCAATTGCACTGATAATTTTAAAAATACATATTTATGCGGCTTTTAAGGCAAAAAATTTTCTTTAACCTGGGCACATCAAACCAAGGCAGTCTTCTCGCCATTGTGACCAGCTTACACAGAGTCTGGGGACAGGGGATAGGGGGAAATCCTCTGCCTCCCAGAAAACAGTAGGTTGTGGATGTGCTTTTTCCATGTTTATCCTTTGCGGCTTCATGCCACACCTTGCACACCAGCCTCTACTTTATCATTTTTCCTCTATCCCCAATTATGGATGGCAGAATAACAACTCTACAAAGCTTTATATTTAGAGAAAATCCAAATCAAGGAGTGCTACTCATCAACTCCCAGAGTCCTAATCAGCGGCTGCTAAGATTTCTGGTTTTGTTTTTTTTTTTTTTTTTCTCTTCTCTCTCTTCCAGTTTCAGGAATCAGATAGGCCGTGTGGCCACATACATCAAATTGCCTATCAAGGACAACCTTGTAAAGTCTCCAAAGGCAGAAGCTGTGGGGACACGCTGCTTCTGTCTGCTGAAGCTTTGCTTACCTTTATGTCTGGCAAAATAGCGCCCCAGAATGATGAGCAAGCACAGCATGGCGAACACCACCACCGCCACGACGCCACCGATCACGGCATGATCCACTGCCCTGATCGAGCCTTCTTCACCTGCTCGGGAATCTGTTAAAATCAGAAGAGGAATAGGGATGTAGAGCTTATTACAAGGCACCAGAAGCCCCGGCGACACTGTCTCCAGGGTCAGAGGGTCACCTTCTTTTTTAATGGAGGAGTCACAGAGAACAATCGAGATGGATCAAGTTACACTGAGGTAACAGGCTGACCTGTCCAGTGCTGAATCGATCTGTTCTCCCCACGAGGCAATTTCATGATAAGCAGCATAGGAGGGTTAATGCATGTGGAACAAGCTTAGGGAGGCAGGGAAGGAAGAAATAGTCTATCCGGCCCTGACCTAGTCTTAGCGTTCACTCTGTCTGTATCCAGTTGCAGAGCCTAATTAAGGGGGCTGACCTGACTATTTGAGGGTGCTCTGAATGACACCTTTAGGCAACAGAAGGGTACAGCATCTTTCTATAGACGCCCAATGACTTTTATTATCTGGTAGATTAGGGATATGCATAGGAGAAGTAAGGTGCTCAAAAGCCACAGTTGCCTAGAGATAAAACAAGGATTATAAGACTAAAGACAAATGACAGGCTTGCTACATTTAGGATGTATGAAGGAGTAAGCCTCAATTTAAAACCTAAAAACCTATTTCAAAAGAGACAGCAAGGAATAATTGTCCATTGCCACCAACGGTTTTTATTTTATTTATTTAACACCTTGCAATGCAATTAATTTTCCTTTATAAGCATCACCCCCTCAGGATGTCTTCTTCTGACTGAGGAACGACATGTTTGGCTGGGGAACAACTCCAAAATGAACCCAGAATGAGCTATGGTGATGCAGAATGGATGTATGGCAGTGTAAACAATTTTAATTTAGGAATGTGGCTACATCACCCCTTGCTGAAATCCTAATGGCATTTGAGATTTATAATGTAGTAAAAAACAATTATTCTCCCGTTGATTAATACATTAACATTTTGGAGTGGAAGCTAAACCATTGTCTTTTTTTTTTATTGAGTCAAGTACGACACCTCCATTAAAATGATTTACTAGCTGTACCTTACAATTTAAGCACAGCAGCAACAGAAACGGTAAAAATCTTTTAACTTTACATGATTTGTGAAGTCATATGTGAAGGATTTACCATTTGAATCTTTCAGTACAAGAAGCACATGGCCTATAAATCTGTCCCCCTTGCAGTTGCTGGATGCCTAAGAGAAATGCATTTCACCAGGAAGACTGAGAGTGCAAATTCAAGTCAATTTTTAAGAAAGATTTATCTCTGTCTCTCTCCAAAGAACAGAGCAAATCTCTGAAGCCTCTACCTCTAATAATATTTGAAGTTTATCGATCAAGTGTACAGATCCGTGACAGCTAAAGGTAATGGTGCTCTTTTGAGCCGAAACCTGATACAACGCTTTCAGCAGGAGGGCATGATTTACACTTTCTATCGATATTTCCAATTCTGCTCCGAGATTAAGTACTGAAGGATGTGGGGAAATAACTCGTGACTGAGGGTTCCATGAAAAGTGCTTTAATTAAAAGAGTTTAAATTTTAAAATGGAGTATTTAAAGTGTTTCATTAAGTTATCTTTGAAAGGACTACAGAAAAACCAAAACCAAAACCCAAACAGAAATGCCAAATCAGAGGCAGCAGCAGGTCGCCCAGGACAACAGGATGATGGGAGTTTAATTGGAGAAGGGAGCTGGGTTGGAGGCAGAGTGCACTGCAGCCAATTAGCCCGCTCTGAGCTGAGCGAGCCCCTCCAGCAACGTGTCTAATAAGCTCAACTTGAAAAGTGGTGGAGAGGAATCTCCCTCCTCAGCCAAAAGTGTTGCCAACTGCAGATGCTACAACCCCCATTGTCTTGAAAGTCATTTCAACAAGGCAGAACTCGGTCAAGGGATTTTTTTTTTTTTCCTTTTTAGAGACGACAAAGCTCGTTGAAGGGGAGCATTCCCCGTGGGGTGCTGCTGGACACGGGGTGTCTGCTGGAGGAGAGCGCTTGACACACTGGAGATGTTCAGTCCAACTGCACAGATGCAAAATTGCTCATGGGGGACAAAAGTAACAGAAAAGCCAGCAAGTTGTGTTTTCCTTAGGGAGCTGTCAAAATAGGGAATCTTGGGGGAATGAGAATTAACTCATCTCCAATGGCCATGAGCTTCAGACCTATTAAAATTTATGTGTCTTTCGATGAACTCTGTATGTTTTAAAATTGGGGGAGGAAAACAAGTGAGACTAGACATTGAGGACAGGGGAAAGTTAGGCACAAGAGGCAAGAGGTGAAGAGAGGTTCCAGGAAGACTGAGAACAGAGAGAAGCTTCGAGAAGCTGTCCAGGACAGTTCTAACCCATCTAGGGGAAGACACTATCTTGTCCACTCTTAATAAAAGACCGCCTCCTCTCCATGCCTAGACACAGGAATATTCTGGAAGCCTGAGGGGGGAGGGGGGAGGGGAGAGACAGAGAGAGGCTCTGTGACAAAGAAAAACAAAAACCTCCCTCAAACAAAAAGATCTCACGAGGTATATGTATCTGTGAGATTAATTTCTTGAGCCGAAACTCCTTACTTGACCTTTGCCCTCCATGAACTTTGAGCTAAATATGCTCAGTGTTGCTATTTTTCCCTGCACTTTGCCCAAATTAAACTAGAACCTTAGATGTTCTAGTTATCTTCCCCACCCTCAAGGACATACATATTTTACAGATACTTATTTATAAGGGTAATCTCTCCAGCTATCTTCTGATACCCACTTTGATCAGAAAGTTTACTACCACCAGTTAATCACCAAGACATTTCTCCTGCCTTCAATTACTGCAGATGGACACAGAAGGTAACTGATGTTTAATTTACAGGGAACACTGCCGGTTACGAGCGCCTCACCGCCTCTTCCCACCCCCACTCCCACCTCCTGGGTTTACGTGGGAGGTGTTAATAGAGTTGTGCCTGTTCACTGAGTGCCTCTGTCTTGGCCTTCCCTATGAAAAGCAGAGCTGTTTCTGGAGTCATCTCAGTCCGTTCTTTTATTTCCACGTGTGGGGAGGGTGGGGGAGTGTTTATAATGCCATGGATTGGCTCAAGGCAGCAGGGCCGGGGTGAGCTGCCTGCACCTGCGGGCTGTGCCTCACTCATGACATGAAGCAGCCGTGCAAGATGCTGCCCAGGGGGGAACTGGGCTACTGGAGTCGCACGAAAACCAGAAATGGAAGGAAATACCGAGCACTAAGAGAAGCATGGCTGCGACAAAGTCTGTCAGCTGCTTGACCTTTCCTTCCATTCCCAAGGCAAGGACTCTAACCAATTCCATGAGAAATGACTTCTAAGTGGGAAAGCTATGGGTTTCCCCATGAGCCACAGATCCTGGTCCTGCAGGGTGCAGACCCCTTCTTCAGGTCCCATGAAGTGCTGGCTTTCCTGGGGACATTCTCTTCAGATTCCCGGCTCATTTTCTGAATCGGGCAGGCAACGAAACCAGAGGCAGATTCTACAGCTGCCCCTAGCTTGTCAATTGAAAAATAAATGTGGGAGTGGAAAGCACTTTTAAACATGCCTGATGCTCAGGCATATGGACATCACTTCGGTTTAGAAAGCCATGTTTTCTTGTTCCCTAAGAGGCTACAAGTGTTCCTCTTACTAGTAACAAGTGTAAGAGTGTTTCTTTTCTGGGACTAAGCCCTGCCCCATCATCCTGAAAAGTAAAGCCATGTTTTTGCTTGGTGAATGGTTCCAGCATAAAGGTTATTCCAGCCTCAGTGAACCAAGCATGATTGCATAACACAGTTCAACTGGAGTTAAGAATCTCATCCAAATTATTTCACATGTGACCTCAGGTGAATTAGGCCTAGTCCTTGAATGATTCTGACTTGCAGATGAACCCTGTAAAGGTTATTGTGTATCGCTGTGTCACCCTTCACTCCTCCTCAGAGGTAGAAAGCTTGGTGTCCTTTTGGCAAAAAGACTGACCTTGGACTCTGTAGTCGAGGGCTTCAGGGCGGGCAGGCAGCAGTTGCAGGGAGGTGTTCCTGACAGCTCACAGTTGTGGTACAACCCTCCCTGCCTGTCGTGTCCCATCCCGCAGCCACTTCCATGGCTCTAAGTGTGACAGATAAATCATGAGGTGTTTAGTATTCGTGAGTTAGCTTTTCTTTTGGCAAAAAGCTGAAACAACTTGGCTCCAGGTGAGAGTTTACCAGCTGCTTGCAGAATGTTAAGTTGGCCACTACTGCTTGGGTCACAGCTTCAACAACCCTGGGCTCGCTTTAGCATCTTAGAAATTGCGGGACAGAGAAATCTCAAAGAAACTCCCAAGAGTGATGCCCCAAACTGCTCAGATTTCTTTACCTTGGGCCAGTTGACCTGGCCCGATCCATTCCTCATGGGCAATAAGAAGGGGAAGTTCTAAAGGCAGTAGTTCCCCAGGGCGTGACAAGAAAGGTGACTGCTAGTGGAACTTCAGTCTCCTTTCCCCTCCTTCTAGGAGACTTTTCTTTCTCTACTTGTTTTCATTCCTCAAACTCCTTGCCAGAGTCGTCTTAAACGCAGCACTCTGGCAGCCATGCTGCCTGTATTAAACAGGGCTCTGCAAGAGATCCTGGTTTCTATGGCTACTTTACCACCTGGCATGAGATGTGTAGCATAAACCGCCATGCAAATGCCATAATCATGGATCTGTGATAAGCCTAGAAGGCTCTGCTGCCAAAGTGGGGATCCATGGATAACTGGAGAGTGGCTAGTACATCCTAGACAAGCTCCTGGCAAATAGGGACTTTGGCAGAAGGACTCACTGAGCAGAACCTTCACTGCAACTGCTGCCTGCCCACCCTGAAGCCCTCGGCTACACAGAGTCCAAGGTCAGTCTTTTTGCCAAAAGGACACCAAGATTTCTACCTCTGAGAAGGAGTGAAGGGTGACACAATGATACACAATAAAGTATGCAGCATGAGGCATGACAGCCACATTGCACTGGGTCACCCTCACATCTCAAACATCCCTGGCTCAGGCTGTAAGGCACATTTAGCAACATGGCGCTTAAACGCACACTTTAACTCTTTTCATAGGTCATAAACTACCTCAGCTCTCATTTTTACGTTTAAGCCATGGGGAGGTTCTAACGGTATTAGTCTTCCTACTTCTGTTTAGGGACAGTTCAGATGCTCAGCGTTCTGTGCTTCCCCCATCCGTGGATGACTGGAGGAAAAGAATTGTTGCGGACTTTTTTGCAACAGTTCTGTCACGTGGCTCAGTTTTAGTTCCTTTCCTGGGTGGAGATCTTGCTGGACAAGTCAGTTTAATTACAAACTCTCAGAATCGGTGTTTGTAATGGAAATGCTGCCTCCAGCTTCCTAGGGTTGTAGGGATTAGTCTATTTCAGAGAAAGCTTAGTGACTATGATGTCATTTGTTACTTCTTGCTAGGAAGAAAGAAAAAGCCTGGTAGTGGATTTCCCAAATCTGAAGCAAAACCATAATCTGACCTAAAAAAAAAATGACACTTAAGAAAACCTGGCACCATCTGAAAAATGTAGCTACCCATTCTCATCATCTATTGTAGCTCCCGTCCATGGCAACAAAAATAAGTGTGCATTTTAAAAAGCACAACTTTATTACTGAAGGGGAACAAACTGAATGGCATGCGCTGACAAAATGCCACATTATTTGCTAATCCTAATATGTTATTCTTCTTTAAGATTTGCTTTTCTCAGCACCAATTCAATTATAGATGCTACAAATCCTTCTGACATTTAATTCCCTCTTGTCAGAGAGTAGTAAATGTATACAGTACATGCACAGCTTTCCCATTAAGATGTTAATATATATTGGAGCACACTAGCCTTTATGCAGCATAACCTTTCTTTTCTGTCTTCTTAGAAAGTGGACGAGAAGGAATAAACGTAAAGCAAGAAAATCATGAAGACTCCCATATAGCATCCCAGGCATCTACTACTACACGTCAGCTGCATTCAATTCTAGCAATGTAACTGCATCTATACTAACGTTTCAAAGGAGCTATGTTAAGCTACTTAAAGGAAAACTGCAGTGATCATCCTCATGGTGCCACCCAGAGCTCAGTATGTGTTCATTTAAATTAGAAGTACTGCACACAGATTTTGGCTGTACCTTGTCACTACTCAAATGATCAGGACTCAGGGCTCTCTTAGACTATCACTGGCTACATTGCTTTCCAGAAACAGGCCTGAACAGGGGACGAGCTAGGAGCTCATCTCCTGCATGGTCCATTGGAAAGAGCACTGGACTTGCTGTCATTTCTGGGACAGAACTTGAGCTTCATTACTTTTCTCTGTGACTTCAGGCAGGTCAATGAGGCACTCTGAGCCACTGAGTACAATTACGTACTTCACAGGGTCACTTTGAGAGGCCACTGTTTTCATTTCCTGAGCCAAATGAAAGTGCCTATTTGGCTCAGGGCTTGGAGTATCATAGGGACCTGGTGTTTGCCAAATTCAAATCTCCTGTATTAGAGCCTAAGGAGGGCTTTTCCAGTTCTTATCACCGACCCAAGGCAAATAATTACCAGTTCGTTAGGGGTAAGCGTGGTACTGCATACTCAGCATTGCCCACACATGGTAAGATGCCCAATAAACACTTACTGAGTTGAAGTCACCAAGTTCTTTTCATTTATACAGAATTGACAAACTGTGTAACTAATGGCTTAGCTGTCCTTTATGAAGGTCAAGGCTGTGGGCCTGGCAGGTGAAGGCCGTCTGATTCAGGTTTCGATTCGGGTGTACCATTTGAGTATCAGGATATTAAATACTATTGTAGCTAAATATGAAAACAAGTGTTTTGGGTTTTTTCTTGTTGATTTTTTCCCCTCTCAAATTCCTTGATTTAGTTAATTTAACCATGAGTGGAAATGACTTGATCCAACAGGATGCAAGATTTCTCCCAAGGCATTTAACACCGCCAGAGACACCAGAAGTCGTGCTTGAGTCCACTCTGTTCATCTCATGATAGCACAGATTTAGAAATGTGATCATCTTTTCCATTTTAAGCAACAGGAAGGCACTGAGGATGACACCAGAGTTTCCCTTAAAGGAATATACGCCTGATAAACAGGACAGTTGTCGAGTATTTCCAAACATACATTTCCCACTAGAATCTCTCTCTGGAGAAAGATGCTTCAGTGGACCTCAGGCATTTGGGGGTGTGAGGAGGATGGATTAATGAATATGGTGAAGTCACCCCAAAGCAGTGTCCAACCTGTAGAACTAGAATTCACACTCACCGTGGCCTGCCAACTTTTTAACTTTGGAAGAAAAGTTCCCGTTTGATGGTCTCCTCCCTTCCCACGGTGGAAACAGGAGCATGTTGGATTATGAGAAAGACCAGCAGCAGGATGCAGTTCAAACACATCGTGGGGAAGTCGTGGGTGAGCTGGCATGGACCCAATGTGATTTCTTCAGTCTACTGCCTTGTATGAAACTCAGTTTTAAAAGGGAATTGATGTGGTTTAACCTTTTCCAGCCATCACTTTCCCATGGCACTTAGGGTCACCTCCCAGGGGAAACTGATCCCATAATTTAGGGGAATCAGTGGGACAACAGTACTAAACTACTGAAGCAGAGTTTAGGTCTTCTTTGAGGAGAAAGAGCTTGATTTGATGCTGGGAAAAAAAATCTTCCCAGGTTAGTCAGCACATTGCTCTATGCCTGATGGGCTGCAGAGAGCCTGACTTTTCCCTCATTCCCCGGGTGCGCACAGTGAATTGAAAAGGGTCAAGAGGATTACCAAAGGCTCCAGCACACAGGAAGCTGTGGATTTCATAGGGGGAAAGGTGGCCCCTGCAAACCAAAGTCCTCTATTTCCTCTAGAGCCAGGAAGACCCATGCTTCGCTTCTCACTGTCTCCTAAGCAAACCGTTTAGCCGTTTGGGTCCCAGTTTCCTCATTTATAAATGGAGACCAAGAGCCCTTCCTTAACAATCTCAGGAGATTTTCATGAAAATCTTCTATTATCTGGCTCATTCTCATCTATCTGGGTCTTCCTGTCCCAATGGCCTTCCCTGGTAAACTTTTCTAAACTGACCTCCACCTTCTTCCAGCCCCAGCCCTCACTTCCACTTTATCCGGTTTTATTGTTTCACAGCATTTGTCACTGTCCAAGATTAACTCGTGTTTTGGGTCTGTCTCCCTCAGTAGGGTGTCGCGGTAGGAGAGCAGGGGCCCTGGCTCCTGGACGCCATGGCAGCTCCAGCTCCTGTTGGTCTTGTTCACTGCAGCATCCCTGGTGCCCAGCCCAGAGCCCAGCACAAGGATCTCAAATAATTTTGTTGAATGAATAAAGATCAAACGAAGTAATATGTGTGAAAGAGCTTTCTAAGTTACAAAGTATGATACAGATACAAGCCATATCATGCCACACTTTAGATTTATGGGCTATAACTTAAATATATCTATACAGCTCATCTGGTTTTTAATGTTTTATTATCATTATTGTTGTTATTACTCTACCAAGGGAATAAAATAGCCTGTTTGCCAAATCTGGGCCACTCTTTATGTGGGGGTTAGGAAAGAGTTCCCCCTAAATGGTACAGCTACTGACAGTTTCTCACACACATTTCAAGTAAGTTTAGCCAGGACTTAAGACACTCCCAGTAACCGGAAGGCCATATATCCCCACCTCCGGGACTGATAATCTAGATCAAAAGAGCTTTAAGTGCTCCTATTAGCTAAATGTAGGTTTGTTATTTTATTTATTTTTTGAGATGGAGTCTCTTTCTGTTGCCCAGGCTGGAGTACAGCGGCGTCATCTCGGCTTACTGCAACCTCCACCTCCTCGTTCAAGCAATTCTCCTCAGTCAACCCCTGCTCCCCCGCCCCCAAGTAGCTGGGACTATAGGTGCATGCCACCACGCCTGGCTAATTTTTGTGTTTTTAGTAGAGATGGGGTTTTGCCATGTTGGCCAGGCTGGTCTCGAATTCCTGACCTCAAGTGATCCACCCGTCTCAGCGTCCCAAAGTGCTGGGATTACAGGTGTGAGCCATCGCGCCCAGCTAAATATAGGCTATATTTTGAAGCCGTGTTTCTTGTATAATCCATTTAGGGGACTGCAGTTGGTTCACCTAGATTCTTCCTAACACCTAGATGAGGGTTAGCAAAGCCATTTAGAATTGCCCTCCGAGGCCCATGCTTTCTTTTTTGGATCGTGAGGGACATGTTGTAGGAGTTTTCCAGATCACTTTCTTGTCTGTAGGACAAGAGCTGATAACATGTTTTGAGGAATCATGACAGCTCTGGAATTTCTTTTTGGTGCCTTTGCTTCCAAATCAGAAGACTGATGGATTTCTTGAACTGTGCTGGAGGGCCATTTTCTGGCACACTGTATATTTACCACCTCACTCCACTAAACAGTTCCCCAAGGCCCCTCCACTGCTGAAGGGAGAGAGGCAGTTGGAGACATTTTGAAAAAGTTTTAAAATAAAATAGAAGGATAAATATGCTTAAAGCTATTCTATTCCACATGAGTGGCAATAACCACCAGCTGTCACCAGGAAAGAGCAGATGTAATTGACAAAACAATTCAAAACTCTTATGGATCCATCATCAATAAAGTTAACACCCAAAAAGTAAATGAAAGGGTTCAAAGTAGAACTGGGTAAGCTCCCCAGGCCTGCCAATAATTAAATCACTGAACTACATACGAGCATAATTTCTTTATGCAGATTAAAGAGGAGGATCAGCTGGGCAACTTGCTTTGCTGGGTGAGAATGGAGCACCATATGTTGCTTATGAAACTGTCATTAATGAAGGTAGCACTGGTGCGTGGGGGAGGTCGGGGCAAAGGGGACAAAAGGAAAATAGACCATCATTATTTGGAAGGAAATTGAGTACGTAACATTTATCCATAATATGGAAAGGAGGAAATTTCTACCCTGATGCAGCAGGGAATGGATGATATTATTCATTACCACAGTTTAGCATTAAATGTGCAACACCTACTCTAATTTATTGATGGACTGTTTAAGACGGGTGTTAACCGGTTTGTCTTGTATTATAATTGAATTCAGTCTCTAGGCTACAGAAATTTGAGAAGTTCATCCTTTCTCAATCAATATGCTCCCCTTCAGTGACCCATTTCAAGACAGCTTCATAAAAATAATGTATTTTGTTTTAATAAATTTAAACACTATGACAGCTGCTCAATTTTTATTGGTTGTTTTTTTTTTCCCTTCAGATGTCTCTTTGCTGCTGAGTGAAGCCAAGCTCACAATCAATAGTAATTGATTAATCAGCATCCCCTTCGAACAAAGGTGCTAATCAGTTTTTGATTAGTTCATCAAACCAGATGCAAAGGCAGCCCGGCCCAGCCTGATAGTTCATCAGTGTTCTACATGACTTACGGCTCCTGAGCAATATATGACTGCAGTGTTCCTGCAGGGAGTGGGGGAGGGGGACAACATAATTATTAATTTAACTGAATTATTATGAACACAAACAGTTGTTGGTTTATTGCTTCTGACTTGGGTGATTGATAGAACTGCAGCAGGGACCCATCTGACATGGCGCAGTGCTGAGGCCCAGAGTATTCCTAATTGATGATGCTGGTGGAAGGGGTGGATGGCTGATTCAGTCACATTTTCCTAAAGAGGAGAAAAATGACTTTTGCATATCTGAGTGATCCTTGTCTGGCTATTGTGCCAAGAGGGATCAGGGCCAACACACCCACCAGCTTTCTTAGGATCTTTGAGAAGATCCAATTGCCAGGGCTACTGTATCAAAGAGAGTTGTTTTCTTTACGGTCAACCAGAACTGAGACTGTCTATTACCAGAAATGCAAGCAGAAATTGCTTACTTCCAGCATCACATTTTACGTAGGGAGGACTTATCCACCCTTATTTTAAAATAAAACTAGGTAAATGTTTTTGCAACTTCTCCAACTACACCACAAAGAAGTGGCAAAAAATGAAACACTCTCTTGATTGGCTGTCTATCTTTCTAATCTATTTATTTATCTATGCATTGGGATTTGGAAATTCATTCATTCATCCAATAAGTGTCAACTGGGTACTTAGTACATGACAGGTGTACAACAGTGAACAAAACCAGCATGGCCTCCTGGAGCTTCCAGTCTGTAGAAAAATAAATCCGACAGCTAAACTCAAACTACAGGCTACATAACAGCAAAGTGAAGATATCCCTGAGGTTCGTCAGAAGCACGTAGTTGGCAATAAATCAATTGCACTTTGAAAAATCGAGTAGTACTATCTTATTCTCTCACCGGGTCAGACTTATAGTTAAGGACTGCACCTCAATAGCCAACTATTAAAAGGAGCTTCAGTAAAAGCGCCTCTGGAATCTTTCTTTCCAATAGGCTTGAGTAAGTGTCTACAGTCCTATGACTTAATTTCTCCACTGCAATAACAAGAAGGGCCTTGCTTACTGACTTATTAAGTGATGGATGGAAAGGTTTAAGCCATAGCTGGTTGGCAGTTAAGTCCCACAACATCATGGAAGCTCATATAATTGTTTAGCTCTGACCACTTTAAATCTCCTCCCTCCCTCCTTTGTAGGATATGCTTCTTATTCTGGATTAGTAACACCTAAATCCTGGAATCAAGCATGAAACCTACTTTTGCAAGAGCTCAGTGTGCTGTGAAAGAGGTCTGAGGTGGATAATTAGTTTACATCATGGTGTGTGACAAAACAATTGCTTCCCCCTCCTCCCTGCCCTTCCCCACCCCTGACTTCTAAGATAACTACAACATGGCTATTCTAGTCCCCTCCACAGAAGTAGGCAGTCAATGAGTTGCTTGTTTTTTTTTTTAAAAAAGATCTTGTCACATAATCCAACATCCTTAAATTGCTTTGTAATACAACAAAATTTCTCCCGACACATTATATATCTAGGACATAAACATTATTTGAAGCCACTGAACAGAGGGGCTTTAGTACAATCCCAAAGGTAACTTGTCCTCTCCTGCGTTAATTAAATTGTCCCCATTCCGAAATATAAATATCGCTACCACAGAGAAAACAGGTGAGTGGGTGACCGGGGAGGAAGACAGTATTGATACAAATTTGTTTTTTGTTAGTCTCAAAATCCACACTGATTGCTCAGCAAACCAAATGGCCATTTTGTAGAAGTGGATAGAGCACCCACAGGTTGGACACTGCAGTGCCTTACCTAATGACTAGCCCTTACCTGAGAGGTCCTCACTGTCCAGTTCTTCTGCGGAATTGGGCAACTGAGTAAGGCCTTACAAGTAAAAACAAATCGTTTTTCTTTTCATTCCTCGAGGGACATAAACAAAACACTTAAGAACTGAGGATGAATTTCTTTAAAAACATGAGCCAAATCTCTTGCTATCTATGTTTTTGATAGCATGAATGTATTAATCCATAAGTACATTTCTTCAATTATGTAATTTTGTTCTTAATACGCAATCGAGGCAGAAAGATTCCTCAGTCTCCACTGTTCAAAGGACATGAAACATGAAGGTGAATGCTTAAAATCACTCATTCGTAACAGCATGCAAAAAGAAAATCAATAAAGCCTGATTGTTAGCTGTCGATGCTCTGATATCTCTTAAATAAAAATGTATTTAGATGTTACATACTGATGTATGTACATTTTATTTCGCATTTTACTGTAAATTGAAATCCGCTGCCAATACTGACAAACACAGTTCATTATCAATTTATGATGATCTTGGATCACATATTTCAAAATGGTACAGCATCTGCTAACTGCAGATTGCAGGTTATGCCTTCATCAGAAAATCTGATTCGCAAAATGATTTTTTTAAAAAAGAGAATTTCATAAATCAATGGTATTCCTGAAAAATAAAACCCTCAAAGCTGAAAAAGCAGTTAGGTCAGGAGGTAATCAAATCGGGGCTTGAAATGCCTATATCCGAGTCAATTCCAATGCTGGCCAGCTGAGATGCTTCTCAGCTAGCTCTGATTTGAATTAAAAGGGGTGAAGAGGGAAGTAGATAAACAATGGGAGGCTCAGATAGGAGATGGTTTCCATTTCCTTTTGCTTTATTTGTGAGCTGATCCTTTAATGAAGTTTATTTAATAACACAAAATGTTAGACATTCAATGTGGCTTTACTTGTTCTTTGCTGTTCTGCTCAAAGTCCAGTGTGACTAACTGCTTAGGTCTTTTAAGTTGCACAGCAGTTTGCTCATACTTCTCTAGTCAGATTTGTCCCTTTTGAAGATGTCTGTAGACCTAATAAACTGCAAGGTCTTTGGAGAAGCAAGTTGTGTTTATTTTTGCATCTTTCCCTTCTGCTACAGCCAACCCACAAAGTGTATTCTCAGTGAGTATTTGTTGAATTAATAATTTGGGAATAATGCCCAATCAGAGCATAAAAGCAACCAAAACAAATGCTTTTGAAACAAGTAATGTCAAACTGATCACTATTTTTAAAGGCCCAAATGAACCACAACAGTCATGTGCAAATGATCACTGAAGCCTGCATTTTGTAAGTTGCTTTATAGAGAAACCAAACGAACATTGATAGCCAGGTCAATTCTGTGAAAGACGGCTGTCACACCATCAACCCTTGAGGAAGAAGAACTTCCATCATGACCCTTGGGTGCTAATAGTTAACAGCAGGTGCTGATTAAAAATGGGAAGATTTTGAGCCCACAGGTATTCCCAAACTATAGATTTAGGCAACTAAAGGGAAAGCAGTGAGCAATGCAATCAATTATAGAGGCAACTGAGTAGAGATGATATCCATTTGTTCTGAAATCTGATTGGTTGACAATATTCCTATTTCTAATTGGCTTATACATTGTATAAAGACTGATGAATACAATTATTTAAATAACTGTTATAAATAGGCAACATAAAGTACTCCTTTGTAGTTAATTATAAATTTGCAGTTCTCAGAAGGCTAATCTCTCACTTCTACCTGGCCCAACAAATATCAAAGCGTCCTACATATGTGCTTGGTGCCCACTGAACCACATTAAACAAGGATGTTTCAAGTAGGTAGCTTTACTGCTGAAGGCTTATTTCCTCGGGGAGGGCATTAGAAAGCTAATTAAAAAACCCAAAAAGACAAATATGTTTATGAAATATCATTGATATGCAAAGGTTTCCATTAAAAGCAACAGACAGTTGATATACACCTCATTAAAGTGGAAACTGTCATTTTTAATGGCATAAACTTTAAAATATATCAAGTTATCTGGAATCTACTGCTCGGATTACGTTCTAAAGCAGGAAGCCATTTAGGCTACTGGCATTAAATTTGTTTTTGTAGCACTATTATATTGTGTGAACCTACAATACTCTGCCATAGTTGGACAATTTCTGAATAAATATAATTCAAAAGAATTTACTGAAGCACTGGGTGTGCAAGTGGGGACGAGCAAAATTTATCTCCTAAAACTGATTTGGCTTAGGTATTTTTCTTTCATGTTAAAAATTATACACTTTTCATTTTCTCAAAGAAAAAGACAAAGACGTATTTTATGAAGCAGAGAACATTCTTCAAAAGGAGACTTCACTCTAACAATAAGTGGGAAATTACTTCTTGTGTATTCTCTTGAAACTTTCATATCATCCATTAAGGCCTCTTTCTAGTCACTGCTAATTAAAATGTATTCAACATATGTCTTTAAACTTTGTTAAACAAATGAAAGTTTACTTTTTGTCCATATGGGATTATTTTTGAGCAATTAATAAAGTCCTAAAGATGCAAACATGGTAATTTAATATATGCATGATAGCCATCTCTTCTGCAGAGATGAGTATTTAACTTTTTCATGGTGCTACAATGTGCTATAACATACCCTAAGCCCGCTCAGGTAATGCTTTTGCCGTTGTGATTCTTCCTTTTCAACAGTAATTGCTGGCTTCTAAAAGTGATACAATGTGGCCATTTAAAACCAGGGTAAGAAAAACCTCAAAAAATTAGAAACAGTAAGAAATTCTAGAGATATTAAATCAATTCAAGGTCAAATACGATTTAAATGCTTATGGGCTCAGTTTTTCAGGGTATCATTTTTTTTTTCCAGAAAATTTTGAAATAGAATGATCGAATAAAACCTCCAGAAAACAAAAACTTAGCCCACCGGCCCTAGTACCATTCCCATTATGAAAAACAAAGTAGGCGATGGTCTCTCTCTTACCTAAGCAGCATACATCTGATCACTTGGCCATATTATGGAAACTCTTACTTCCACCACCAGCCATGAGTTCAGACGCCCCCGGGAGTTTTAATCTAAAAACTCAGTCATCCTGTTCTTCCTGCTTTGTCAGCTTTTGTGGAGAGTTTTCCCTTCTTCCCATTAGCAGAAATTTGGTTCACGCCGTTAGACAGTAGCACATTGTTTCCAAACTGCATATCAAGGCTGAAACACAATCTTCAGGTCCTGCAGCCATTCGTAAACCTCTTGAGCTTTGCTCTTGTGTAGAACGTACAATGTCTGCAGAGTCCCGTGACTGAATGACAGCCTTTGAATGCCATTGTTATGTGCTCATACAGAGAGATGTACATAGAGGCACATACACAGATGGTGGACATAGCGGTTGTAGTAATGCGCACTGCTGGCTATGTTTCTTTAAAATGGGCTTAAGAATTTCCCCACAACTGAATATAAAGTATAATAAGAAAATTGTACGTGCTTTTAGAATTTGACCATGGTTTGCATTATTTATAAACGAGTCAGGAAAAGGAAGAGCTACAGGGGCAGTTTTCTAAGGGCTGTGCTCGTAGGGTACGAGCATGTAGCTAGCACAGGCCAAACATTCTGAAACCAAAACTGAAAATGAGAAATTATTCTTCAGAGGGGTTTCCAGTTTGCGTCTTACCACAATTGCATACTGAATTAAGAACAATTTAAAAACTCATTGGGGATATGAAAATTCATGAGATCATCAGCCTCTACTGTATTAAGAGGTGAAAAAGCAAGAGGACAGGTAGACTTGAAAATAATAAAATGGAGAGGGGAGAGAAGGGGCACAGAGAGAAAGAGAGAGAGACGGAGACAGAGAGACCTCAAACCCAGAGGAAGCCAGCTGACTGCAGTGCAGCAAAAGCACAAGCACTATTCCAGACCATGGGCATGCTGTCACCCGACCCCTCACATTGGGGAGGAGGGTGGGGAAGGGGAGAGGGGACACACAGGGCAGAAGGAACAAGGCACAAGACACAGAAGCGCCCACATATGAACAAACGAAAACCATCACACGCACCCACACATCAAGAACATAATGACTACACCATCCGTGCGTTAAATCACTCATGCATTTCTCAGACCATGTGGTATCAGGATTTGGCAGAGTGTTTTTTGCATTGCTCAACATGCACACATAACACAGGATTCTTCCTGTCCAGGCCTTAAGGATGAGCTCCAAAAACACAAATGCTCAAGATCCTTATTCAAAGAAGATCCCTTGTGTCAGCCTAGTCTAAAAATCCCATTCTTAACACTCACATTTATCTTTACTATCAGTTAAATCCTTAAAAGCACATTGTGGCTGATTGTTGTTTGGCTTTCTTTTTGGAGAAAATCCACTTGATTTTGAATCATGCCCATGCACTTCTAACCTTCCAATACATGCTTATTCCAATCAGATATTGGTAAGAACAAATGGTCAACATACATAAACAACTGGTATAAACTTCATACATACTCTAGCAAAACAAGCTTGAATAAAATATTTTAATGAGTCTTCAAAGGGAAAGCTTTAAAAATTTTTATTTTTTCTTTTCCTTTTTATAAAAACACAGAAATATAGAAGGAAATCCAGTATGAAAACTTTTAAGACCAAATAAGATGCCCATAGCTGATTGACTTAATGTCTTGTCATTTAAGTTGCTAAGTTATCAAACCTTTCAACATTTCTAGGCCCAGATCACCACAACAAACATCTCGAGATTATTCTCAAATGAATCTAAGTCAAATGGTTGCTGTAATGAAGAAGTTGGGTTTTCAGCTACAATTCATTAGAATAAAATCAGTTCTGTATCATCATCTCTTTGGAAATCTCAGATGTTGCTTTGTAATTTCCACCACGTTCTATTACCTTTTCTATCCTGACAACTGACCTGGAAGTTTTTCCCCGACATCAAGCAAAATTTTAGATATTATCTGGCTTTCATTACAGCTTCTTTGCTGTGGGTTAAAGAGTATGCTCTTTAAAACAGTGGCTGGAGCCCTTTGTGAAGATGCTACGAGGATTTTGGACAAGGTAAAGAATGTATTTATAAGTGTATTATACAGGGATCAGCCTAGATTATCTATCACTTTTCTATCCCTCTGCCATTAAGAAGTCAAATTCCAAGTATATATATACAAAATACAATAAATCCCTTGGCTCTAGGTGTATTCTTCATGCACTGCTAGTCAATAACATCCTACTGAGGTTTCACCAACTTGAACATCGTCTCCAAACTAATAGGAAGGCAGTTGCTTCTCACAGTACACAAACACCTCTATTACCTGCCACAGAAATGCTATAAAGTCCCATTCCAAGTGTCTCTTCCTTATACCACAAAAAGAGATCACCTTCTCTTTCTCTCTCTCCAGGGAAAGACCCGATTAAAACTAGTACTCTAAAATCAGGATCAGCCTGTAAGTTAACTTCTTATTTTTCAGATTAGGGGACAAATTTCCTACTTCGAATAGCCTATCCAACTCTGAGACCTACATCCACTAGAGTCACACTAAGAACATGAATTTTATTGAAGGGACCTAGAAAATAGAATTCTGGAGCTTTAGGAGACAAATGGTCAATATTTCTTCAAGGATCTCACAGAATTTAGGAATTGTATGGTTACATTATATCAGGGGTGTCCAATCTTTTAGCTTCCCTGGACCACATTGGAAGAAGAATTGTCTTGGGCCACACATTAAATACACTAACAATGATAGCTGATGAACTAAAAAAAAAAAAAAAAAAAAAAAAATCACAAAACAATCTCACACTGTTTTAAGAAAGTTTATGAATTTGTGTTGGGCCGCATTCAAAGCCGTCCTGGGCCGCAGGTAGCCCATAGGCTATGGGTTGGATGAGCTTGCATTTTACCTTGTAGTTAATTACAGTAAGCTCAAAACTTAAAGTATCTTAAAAAGAAACTTAAGTATCTTAAAAAGAATAGAATAAAATCTCTCTAACTACATTAAAATAACCCTTTGAGAATAATAGATAAAAGTCAGGAGGTGCTCAATTAATGATGAAATCTACAAATAACTGAGCTTAATGGACTGCAATGCCTGAGATGTAGCAAGCACTATGGGGCATTACCTTAGAAAGTGGAAGTTTTATACCTAATTGATTTCTCATGACTGTCAGCACACCTAGCCCCTTTAAGTTATTTTATGAACTTTTCCCTTTGCACCAATGACCAGAAAGGGCAGAAAGAAATAGGAATGGGGTGGGGAAGGATATATTGCTCAGTACCCAAGTTCGTTTTGCTTTCTCAGAATTCGTCATAGGAAAGTCAAAAGATGGGGTGACCTGCCAAGCATCAAGGCCTGACCTTCAAGGACAGCTCCTACAGAGCTCAGAGATTTTCCAACTGGTGAGTTATCAAATGTAGGTCTCTAAGTGAGTCAGTCTGTGCCAGGAAATGTTTCTCTAAAAGTTGAATTAACATGGCAGGGTTGGCTGATCACCTCTTGTCATTTAAATGATAGATTTCCACCCTGTACAACAACAGGCAAAGCGATTAAAGTAGGCCCTTTACCAAATAATTCCCTTGGATTCAATTATTAAAATTCAGCCCAGTTTTAAACATATCTTTTCTAAGCAGTCTTGTCAGGGCTAGATTTGAGCTAAGTAATAAAGTAATATACAGATGAAACATGATTCTCATTTTCTGATTGGAGAGACATAGAAAAGTTAATAGACTTATTCCAATCCAGTAAGTCATTGGTGAGATGGGGAAAAAGAGATCATATTTCCTGATGCCCCTCCTGAGCTTTGACTCACCCAGTTTTTATCACTTTGTGGTTAAAAACGTATTACTATTTTACCTGCAAGCCACACACACACCAGTAACTTATTTAAAGTCCCAGTTAATGCTGATAAAATTGACACATGGTATCATTCTTGGTTTGGAGGAGTTTTCTGCCAAATGTGAGCATAAAGTTATATGAACACATAGAGATTAGGAGTGAACCAGTGAGGGGTGGTGGGGTACATATGATTAGCAACATAATTAAAGTCATGACCTTTCTAAAGAAGAACAATGACCTTCCTCATCAGAAGCTCACGATTTTAAACAGGAATCTTCTTCCCTGGTCTACCCTTCCATCTCAACTTTACTAAGTGACACAAATGACTCCTCTTCAAGATTTACCTGGGACTATGGCCTATATATAAACAAAGCAACTGGGCCTTTAATTCAGATGTTACAATTTTCCTGCGAATACTCGTTTGTTTGAAGCCCCATGTATTTCAAGGTTTGGTGGAGTTTTGTAAGGAGGACTCTGTGCCACTGAAACTCCTACAATTCCAGCCACCCAGTGGGGAGAAGGTCTCATCTCAGCTTGCATCCATTGGGTACTGAACTCACAACAGAAATGACAAGACTCGACATCTTTTCAAACCTTAAAAAATTATAGTATATTTATGAGGTCAGTCTACTTGAAACATGATTTCCCTTGAAGACTACATTTCTCTTTTTCCCAGGCTTGCCTTGCCTCTCAGCAGTGCTGAGAAAGTAGATAAACAGTAATGTGATACCAACCGTGAACTGCTGGTTCTGTCGTCGCCGTTGTGTCTACAGACGGGAACAGAGGATTGGAGGAAGGGAAGAAACAGGAGGAACGGCATGCAAAAAAAGGGAAAATGGAAAAAAAATGGAACAGATAATATATGAGCAAGCTTTCAAAGAACATCGCGTGACAAGCAATAATAAATGAAAAGCAAAAAGCATTTGAAGTGAGTTGCACTGTTTTAAGACATGCCTTGAGCTCAAAGCTGCGAGCCAGTGAGGAAAACAGTAAATTCTTTGGTTCTGGGGGTCTTGCCAGGACACATATATTTGCTAGTCAATAGTCAGGTGGACATGCAAAGTGATGAGAAACACCAGTGCAAACTCAGTGGCTGGTAGATGGCTCTTAAAGCATCAAGGCTCAGGACTGCGACAGAAAAGCTCAGTCGAAAGGCTGGTTAAACAATGGATTCATAACATTCAAACATTGCCTTTGTTTTAACCCAACCCACCCGGGCACTTGGGCTTCTTGACTGCCAATTAGGCATCACTGACTCAATCACACTTTTAGGATCCTTTTACTGCTTATGCTCAGATGCCTGTAGATGAATAGACAGGTTTAAGTTTTCCATCCAGTGTATTATTTCAGCATAGTTTAGCCAGAAAGTTCAATTAACTGGGAGGCCATGGCAATGAACATGTTCAAGGTTTTCACAGATTAGTTTCTATACACACACACACACAAACACACACATCCATTCTTCACTCTAAAGCTCTTCATGTTAAAATCCAAGAGCAGAAGCCTTTAATGAAAACACCCAAGTTCACACAATCTGCCAAACGCTGCTTCTAATCATATGACATTCCAAAAATTTAAGTATCCAGCCATCCTTTCGCTCACAATTCAGAACCACGTTCACCATTCTGAGGGGCTGGGAGTCCTGCTTTCATGGCTGGAGTAGGAGAGAGTGCAGTTTTTTGTTTTTGTTTTTTTCTTTTTCCATTGCTAGATGAACTTGCTGTGGAAGGAAATGTATTTTGTCTTTTTCTTCTTCTATTTCTGATGCTGTTCAAGTTTTCTCCTTCTTCTACCAGGCTTCTAAGCCAAGCTTGCTGTACTTGCTCCTGTTCACAAGAAATTCCTCCAAGGAGCTCAAGGAATTTTCTCTTTATTTTTGGCTACAGGGGAAGTGGAATAAATATCTAACAAAATGCAGGGTGACATTCTTTTTCCAGAGTCATTTTATCACCACTCTTCTAGTCAACCTCATTCCAATGTCAACCCATCTGGCCATACTTTCATTTTGAGTTCTAAACTTCCCAGGCACATTCCTTCTACGACTCATTGCTGGCAAAAAGAAATGGTGAAACTGAGACAGGAGTTAGTTATCTCTAGTCAAATGGTGGTGGTTGAAGTAAGATTCTGGGTTAAACTGCAAGCAAGCAGTTCACTGTCCTTTTGTAGAATGCAGCTATTTAGCTGGCAATTGCTTTCATGAGCTGTGGAGACGCCAAAAGACTTTCTGATTCAACACAGGCAATGTTTAAATGCACTGGAACTTCATATGAAGCTTTTTTGGGGGGCAAATGAGCCTGGTGCTTCTGATGTATAAATGTGACACATGAATTCACACCGGCATTCCCCTTCAGTTGGCATGCTTTCCAGAGGATCCTATACCATCAAAAATTAGATCCCTTCTAAGGAGCCAGAATTAACCAGAAGTCTGAAAGGCCAATGCAGCTTAATATTACTGATAGCTTAGTTTCTGATGAATAGATGAAGGAAAGAGAAACATACAATATACCGCATAAGAACAAAATACTTACAAGTCAAGTCTGTGTGCATAAAATAGCAGTAAAAAACAATAAACTGTACAGTTGAAACACACTCTGTCACAGATTCTCCTGACACAGATGACACATTTCCTTAGTTGAAACATCCAAGTGCAGCATTAGGTACTTTAAATTTGAGGGGCAGGATCAAATGCCCATTTGTACAGAAACATTTATATGCATGTTAATACATTTTATAGATAGGCATCGGCTCCTTTCCAAAATTACAAAAAAGCAATCAACACTCTGGCTCATTATTTTTGTAGTAGCTCTTCTAATGTGCTTTCTTTTCTTTTCTTTTTTTTTTGAGATGGAGTTTCGCTCTTGTTGCCCAGGCTGGAGAGCAACGGCGTGATCTTGGCTCACCGCAACCTCTGGTTCCTGCATTCAAGCGATTCTCCTGCCTCAGCCTCCCGAGTAGCTGGGATTACTGGCATGTGCCACCACGCCTGGCTAATTTTGTATTTTTAGTGGAGACGGGGCTTCCCCATGTTGGTCAGGCTGGTCTCAAACTCCAGACCTCAGGTGATCCACTGCCTTGGCCTCCCAAAGTGCTGGGATTACAGGCGTGAGGCACCGTGCCCGGCATAAGCTTTATTTTCACCAGGTAAATACTTAAGTACAAATGATAGAAGGGCGGGGGGTGGAGTAAGACCTAAGGGTTAGAGTCATCAAAAATAATATCAGCATTAACCAGTGACCCCAATTTACTGTCTTCCTACATCACAACATCATGTCAGCTTTAAGATGAAATTAAACCAAGTGAAGCTAGGCGTCTGCTCCTAGGTGAGTACTAGAAAATAAATGAAGGAAAATCCACAGTGCATCTTGCTTCCCCGTTCTGGGGATGGGAAATCCATCAACTGCACCCAAAAGGGGAGGAAAGGGGGATGTTGAGAAGAAAAAACACATTCTAAAATGGTTAACAGCAAACACATGTTCAAGTCACACACACGATTACTGCAGCTGGAAATGGCAAAACCCGGAGCAGCAACGGGGTAGGAGACTGCAGGAGAAACACAGGCTGGCTACAAAGTTCAGAGCAAGATTGATGGTGTGTCTGGGGAGTCACTGACTCCATTTCTCTAAGAGCATCTGGTATGCTACTTGAACAGAGGTTATTTTCAAGTAAAGAATTAAGAAAACATTCTTTAGAAGTAACTTTGTGCTCCCTGCAGGAGACCACGATGACAGAATCTAATTCTCCTTCATAATTGCGTTATGACTTCATGCAGAAACCACAGACACCCTGGCTCTGAAGTGAGTGCAACTCTGTGAGGCAGGATTTATTAGGGTATCTTAATCAGAAAACTGGAGAAATGTGCAAACACACCCTGTGAATCAACTTGTGTGGTGACCATATTGTTGGGTAACATTCTAAGCGTAGAGGCAAAATGCAAATACTAAATTTCAATGTAAGTGATAAATGCTATAATCAGCTTGAAAAATGAAAATGTCTAATTGCCCTAACAAAGCCTTTTTAAAACCTCATCTTGCTGCTGCCTTAAAAAAAAAAAATCTTTGAGCTAGCCCATGAGAAAAACAGGTCACAAAAAATTGAGCTGGACTTATGGTGGTGTTGGGTTATATAGACATTTAAAAGGCCTAGCTGAGCTACTGTCTCTTAATTTTAATTACAAAGAGAGCAAATTTATTATACATTTATATTATATGGCCAAGAAAAAACAATCCCATCTTCTTGAAAACCCATTAAGTGTGTACGGTCTTAACAGTCACTCTCTGGCTATTTTATGAGTACAGTCAAACAAGGTATCCAAAGAAGGGCCCAGCAATATTATTTGAAAGATGCACATTCTACTCAAAATTGACTTCTCTTCTTAGTCTCCTAGTCCTACAGTTTATCAGACCCCATCTTGAATAAATGAAACATCACATACATTTATTGTGGCAGTATATTTACAAAATAAAAAAAGCTCTGACAATGTGTGAAATTAGAGACACTAGCAATTTAACTAAGTAGCAAAAAAAAAAAATAATACTGCAGGAGAGGCAGCTGGGCAATATTTAGTTGAAACAGTCATGTGTAAGCTCCACTGTGGCACATTCTAATCCTTTCATATGGATTCTCTCCAACTTAGAATTGTTCATTGAGTGTGACAGACTGGGGGTTTAAAACTAATCCATAAATTGGTCCATGTTCTCAAACACAACGGGTGCCATAAATGAAAATGAAAATCCTAGAACAAAATTAAATTTACAACCTTAAATATTTTTTCCCCCAATTGATCTGCGGTGCTCCTGCTTTACAATGCGCAGACTGCAAGCCTGCATTTTAGGGTGTGTTTGAGTAAGGTGTACATTAAAAAAATGCACGGTGTGATAACCCACAATCTACTCAAAACCAGAGCTTAATTGTAAAAAATTTAAATTCTCTCATTTTTGATTGTCATAAGCCTAAATGAAAGCATACTAAGCAGTTAGACATATTTTAATACACTTTCTCCCAGTTTATTTTCTTAACTAAAGTCAATAAGAAGCCAATGGGTTTTCTTAATTGAATTCCCCTTCAGTTTGTGTTATGGAGGTGCTTTAAATCTAGACACTAGGGCAGGCAAGGAATTCCCCTGACAATTTTATTTTCATAGTTGTGCTGTGCTGGCCAATATATATTAAATATATGGTGGGTTTTTTTTTTTTCTTCTCTTTCATGTTATTTGAACTCGATCGAAAACAAAAATAACTGCTGGAAAATTAAACTCTGGAATTTATTTTCTCCTGGTTTCCTGGCTAATTTTCTTTCCATCTATGTTATGTTTTAATCAAACTCCCCTGTCTTAGGGATGGGAGAAGTGGATAGGAACAGAATGAAAACTAAAAGGCCAAAATAGGAGAGACAGGATAAAGCTCTCTTCCTTGTTAAAGTCACCTCCCCTGTGAGTGAAGAGATTGTGTGCTACAGAACAGCAGCAACGGGGGATGATTTTTTTTTTTGGATAAGCAATTTCAAGTTTTGTTAAAAGCTTCTTCAGAATTGTTCACTAGTGCTGTTGTGCCCCTGAGATCTTTTCATTTGCAAACCAGATGTTCTGCAAAATAATAGGAATCTGTATAGTGGTTTCATTTAACAAGAAAAACAATTCCTATATCATGTTGTGTGTGAATGCTCAGTGGAAGGGGGTACAGAAAAGAGGAAGGCAGAGGGGAGGGAAGGAAAAGAAGAGGATGTTGCCACGAGGGTAGTGATGGAGACAGGAAAGAGGCTCTCTGTAAGTTGTAGCACATTTTTAAGTCTTGGCAAATTTTGTGTTAGATATGGGAGGGCTGGGTCCTTCCAGTCAAGTCTTTTATTTTTCACTACCAAGATAGCTGTAAACATCACTTTTTAATTCTGGGAAACCTGTATTCACAGTATTATTTGTTTGCATTGTTGATTAGGTCTTTAGTATGAAAACATGTCATATCTTTATCTCCAAGATTATTTTTAAAATAAAGAGCATAAAGTTATTGAAATTATGATAGAGGCATTAAAAACTTTTCCACTAGCATCACATTTCTCATTCATTTTTTAAAAAATATGGGGTCAGGTGGCCTCCATCACTGTAGTATTCAAGTCTTTTCTCATTCCCTCCTAAATCAATATAGGTCAAAAGCTGGTTAGCTATGTTGTTATTTGTAACAGGTTTACAATTATCAGGAAAAAAAAATGTAGACACTTAAGACAGTATGAAGAAAAATGGACACATACTTTTTGGAGTAAAAACTTGAAAAGGTGGCTTATTATGTAAAAGGTGGCTCATGAGTATTTACTAGTGCCCCCAAAATATTCTTGTCACTAGGTATACTGGCATATCAATAACACTTGATGAATATTCCATAAATGCTGAATGAAAAATAATCTTAATGAAGTAGATGTCAACTCTAGAGAAAAAGGCAATTTAGTAAACATTCTAGGATGAAGATGTGTATCTCCTAGCAAGAGTGGCCTAATCTATGCCTGAAACATAAATACATGCAAAATAAACACACATTGAAGATAGATGCTTGAAGTAACATTGGACCTTCATGTGTAACTTCCAAAATGCCATCCTTTCTTATCCACATTTTGTCCCTTCTTTGATGGCACAGACCAAAGTCCACTGTGACACTCTCCTCAGCATCTGCGGCACCTTCTGCCTGTGCCACCGAATCACCCCAATTGTACAGTATCTCTTATTGGGTTCCAATGTGTGTAACCTGTTCTCGCAACCACATGATAAGGGGTTTAGGGAGTATTTTGTCTCCATAAGCACTAGCATCGTGCTGTACATATTATGGGCACTCAATATTTGTTGAGTGCATAACTAAAAGCAGACCAGCTCTTGAACCATGCAAATATCAATAGCAAAGAGTAGGAATCATTAGGCTAAGACCCTGGGGAATAGCCAGCTGTATTTGGAGGAAAGCTCTCTATCATCATTTAGATGGTCATGACATAGATTCAGTCTTAAGGACAGGTGTGCTTCTTTGCTTTGTACCTAAGGAACTAAAAACATGTGTTCTGGTGTCAAGTTTCCCCACTTGGGCATATTCTATACATATCACTGAAGGATAAAGGCTATACCCACCTTCTTTATGTGATCCAATCCACATTACACAAAACAAAAGCTTATGATTTCAGACTATGAAAGCCAAAAATAATAATGTGGGCCTGGGGGTAGGAATCATTTGCTACAAGCTATATTGGTTTTTGAGTACTTAGATACCAATAAGAAAAGCCTGGCTATTTTCTTTTCCTAGGAACACAAAATATTTAATTGGGTACGTACTTTTAAAAGGTGGAAAACTCATTTAGAAATGACCTACTTCATTCTTATGAAAGGATTTTTTAATGTGTTTCACAATTTGGCCCTATAGCTATTCATTTCTTATTCTAAGGTGGTTTTAATTTTTTAATTTATGACAGTCACATGTCTAGTGTGACCTCCAGGTTGAACTCCTCCCAGCCTGAATTTTCTCTGTAAGTTGCTAAGGGTATTTAAAACTGAGTGTGGAGTCCTTTCTATGATATTCCTCATCAAGCATCTAACTCAAGATGCAACCAGGTACAAACAAAACAACAGCCACGCTAACTAGGAAGGGAAACACAACATGCTTTCCTGAGATGATTACAGGAAAAAGTTTGATCCAACTGGAAGACAGGGGCTAATACTATCACAGAAATGGGTAAGTTTATGTACACCTAACACACAAAGTCAACTAATTACAAAGAAAGTTAAAAACAAGACAGAACAAACACTCCCTACTCACTCACACTCCCCCACCTCCTCCCGCCACCCCAGCATGGCATCAGGGTTTTCTTCTATTCTAGTTTTTGACAGGAATCTGTGTGAAGGACTCTTACCCGGGGTAATGGCTGGCTGTCTCCACTTTTTCACAAAGGATTCCAGGGACAATTTAAATTATGCAATTTATGCTTCCACATGACAGCATATGTCTTCATGAATGAAACCACACGGACAATTTGACACAATAAAAAAAAGGAACAGGGGCTTGCCAATAGCAATAGTTGAAACAGAAATATATGGTCAGACTATCAATACACAGGAAAGAAAACAGACTCCAAGGAACCTCGTGGCAAATCATAGTGAGGCTCTGAATGGCTCCCAATCTAAAACTGTTTTATAGTTGGAAAAAAAATTTAATGGTACTATAATGGCTTAATGGTTTTAAAGCCACAACAAGTTGATACGGCAAGTTGACATCAAATACAGATGCTCCTTGACTTTCGATGGGGCTATGTCCCAATCAACGCACCCTAAGTTGAAAACATTGTAAGCTGGAAATCCATCTGAGACACCTAACCTACCAAACATCACAGCTTAGCATAGCCTCCCTTAAACATGCACAGGACACTTACATTAGCCTATAGTTGGGTAAAACCATCTAACACAAAGCCTATTTTATAAGGTGTTGAAGATCTTATGGAATTTATTGAATACTGTACTGAAAGTGAAAGGCTGTATGGGTACGGTTTCTGTTGAATACGTATTGCTTTTGGACCATCCTAAAGTCAAAAAATTGTAAGATGAACCATCATAAATCAGGGACTGTTTGTATTCCTTTCAGTACTTTAGAGACTACAAAAATTTCTCCCTAGATAAGGCCACATTTAGATGTGTGCCTTCACGTGTAACTCTCCAGACCTGCTCCGTGTAGGGTAAGCAGGAGGCAGAAAACGCCCTGTGCTCCCACCCATGAGGGGTATGATTCTGGGTGGGCAAAGCAGAGTCCGATTTGGCTTATAATTTTTCTCTCTGAAGGGTCTCCACGATGAAGCTTTAACATGTTTCAAGGAAGTCAGGCGACTCAGAACAGAATGTCAGTCTGCCTTCCTAACAAGGGGAACAATTTGATTATCCTGGTTACGGAAGATAAAAGATAACACTGGAACACTTCCTTTCAGAGAAATCAGAAATCAACTATGACTTCTCGAGTTTAAAAATATTTTTCTATTGCATGTGTACATTTTTCTTGTAATGAAACCCTGACCTAGGGAATGGGTTTCAGTTATTGCATTTGACTGGCAGAAAAGAAATAGATGACTGTGGACTTCTTTTTTTTTTTTTTTTTTTTTTTTTTTTTTTAAGCTCAGGCTTTATGTTACTGTCACCGAATTTGGCTGCTGCAGCTTTTAAGGCTAATGGTGGCTGTAATGTACCAAACAGTGCAAGAGAGAAGAGGAGTGGAAATTAATTTAGCTATCCATTTGTCAGGATTCAGACTGGAAGATTTTTTAGGAACTAATCTAAATCTAGGGGATAGCCTGGACCTTTAAAATGGGACACAGAATCATTCAGCTGCATAACCTTTAATCTGTTTGGAGAAAGGAGCAAATGTTAAATTCTACAAGTGTACTTTCTGGGCAAGATAAATATATATAAGACTGCTTGTTAAGACACAGTAAGCCTAGAAGATCACATCCATTAAGGCAACGAATTCTACAATGTTGTGTTAGTAGCAATTTTAGTTTAACTACTCTTGGGTGTGCCAGTGAGATTCTGGGCATTCATTACCACAAATGTATTTTGTGCGCAGGGAGGACTCAACTGCTAACATCAAGAGGCTAAAGTGCATCTATGAGATCATCTTACATTACCTTGAGCTGAGAGTCCAGTAGCAGAGAGACAGAAGCAAAGACAAGTTTCTGTTAGAGGTACCTTTGATGTGGACAGAAATAGAGCATTGTTTATTTTTTAAATTTCCTCTTAAATGGAGTCTCTGCAGTCGGAACTGTGATAACAGTGAGTTGTAGCTGTTTGAGGACATAAGATTAGCTTTAGTCTGGAGTGAAGGATTAAGAGCTGTGAACTGAAGCGACTCTGCTGAGTTGCTGAGATTGATTGTGAGGGGGAGGAGTTCAGCGAGTGCTAAGAAAGGTCTTAAAAAAAAAAAGCATAAGCTAGTGAGAAGGCCAGCCGCAAATGAAAAGTGTTGTTCCATATAAAAGAGAAATGTGGTTGTTTATATACCACGTGAATAAGGTCTCGACTGCCTTAAAATGTAAACCTGGATAGCTACCTAACTGGCACCTTCTAGAATGAGTGGTAATAAATGCTGGCTCATACCTGGGCAAGTTCTGCGAAGATAAAATAGACTGGTGATATATTTTCTTAAAGGGTTAATATATGTAGGGCAATGGAGAATTACGCAGTATATTTTACACTAGTATCTAAAGGGCACTTCACAAGAGTACGAGTCTAATTTGGCTTACGAACTGGGTAGCAGGCAAGAAATGTGAAAAGGTAAAAACCTAGTTCTTAGTATGAAAAGCTGATAGCACAGTTACTCTGGAAATCAGAGTTAGGAAGAAGCATCTTTGATATGCTGGTGAATAGTATAGAAAATGGAAAGAATCAATTCACTAGGTCAACAAACTGAGTTTACTTAAGTTTACAGAAGGAAGTAACAAAGAGCCAAAACAGAAACACACACAGACAAGAATCTAGGAAGCAGCCTGGTTGGAGCTGAGTTTAGAGTGAGACATGAAAACCAACTGATGGATTTTCAGAAGATTTTAAATTAAGTGCTGGCACTGATGGTTTTGTAACCAATGTTGAGAAGCACTGGCTTCCTTAAGGGTTCTTTTTTCCACTGTAATGGGTAGAAAAGTGAAGAAAACTGAGATTAGACAATCTGTTGTATATTCTATCAACTGATGAGGCCTCCTCTTTCTTTGAACACTCTGAATTTTCATCATCTCTATCTTACTGACTCCCATGAAAATTGGAAATGTCTCTAGCATGTCAATGAAAAGGACAGCAATGATATCTAGGGTGTTAAAAGGAGCTGACCATGAAGGGTGGGGAGTCAAATACTCAGTGTTCATAAAGAAGTCCAGAGACAGGGGTGGGTACCAGGGCACACGGTTCAGATACCTTGCAGTCTCACCAGCTAACAAAATGCAGCGGAAAAGTTACTCTTTCAAGAGATATTTTTTTCTCACAGAATAATTACTTTCACATGTTTTTGTGTTAAGTCCCTGTAAACACAGGTTGGGAAGGCCTTATCTAGGGAAATCCTTCATGTCAAGTGGACATAGTGTGGCCAGAAGCTTTCCTACTTAGGTAGGCAGAAGAAACCCCATGGCTCCCAGACAAGCCACATCAAGCAGTATGAGAGAGCCACTGGATGCCAGGAAGGGCTGGATGGCATGCCACCTCCCTCAGTGACAGAAACAAGAGACAGTAAAACTCATGCTGAATAAGAGTTTCAGACAGTCCAAAAAGATAAAGCCGCAGAGTTAGAACCACAGTGGCTGCCTCTTCCACTCTTCCAATATGTGACCGAGGGCAGGGAGGGGCACATGAGTGCTCAGCATGGAAAAGACAGTGACTCCCTCTGATCTCTTGTGACTACCTAGGCAACACAAACAGGTAGTATCACTTGTCAGCGGGTACTCTCTGGAGCAGGAAGGATGACTATGCATTTAGTAGCATGGCCCAAATAGGCACATTGAAGTTAGGTGTGTATATTTTCCCTTACATGGACTGAGATGAAACTAAGACAGAGACAAGATTGAAAGCCACAGTACTTACCATTTCATCAAACATGTCTAAGCAGAAGCTATAGGCGTGTTCTCTAGTAGCCAGCTGCCATTTTCCCTAGCATTTTGCTTTCAATAGTGATGCTTAAAAAAGAATTCTTTTATGCATAAGCTGCAAAATATCTGACGTACTGTTAAATGCTGGGATGTTTCTGAGGTCCTTAAGATTCAACTTAAGAACATAGTATCTAATGTCGTTGGAGTTCCAAAATAAAGGAACGATTAAATTCCAAGGATTTAAAGGGAACTTTTCGGCTTCTTTTTATACATACCAGAAAGACAATATACATTCAGGACATTTTCAATGGTAATGAAGATACCATACCTGTGATGATGGTAAGGATGGTGGTGGTGGTGGTGGTGGTGGTGGTGGTGGTTGTTGTGGGAGGAGGGATAGTTGTGGGGGGATCTGGATAGAAAAAAAAAGGAAAATCAAACCCACAATGCTGAACACAACAATGACCAGTAATGACAAAACAAAGGCATGAGGACATTGAGATGTTTGTTTGATGGCTTCCCCCTTTAAAACCAAAAGTTCTTTCCCTGCAAGATTTATGTCTTGTAATTATATCCCAAAGCCTTAGTTGGAAGAGCTGAGAAAAGAAGAAAAGAGAATTTTCATTAATGAAGTGAATTAGGGATGAGGAGATGTGAAGAGAGGGGAGGAAAAATCAAAACATACGACACCCCTCTTCCCTACCAGATTTCAAAGGTGAGGTTAAATCAACTCAGTACCAAGAGGGTACAATGGTTGTCATTTCGTTTCAGCTTTTACAGATGGCAGGAAGGAGGAGGAGGAGGTGGTGCTGCTCTATTAGGGGGCTCATATCAGCCAAGGATGAGCGTGCCCCTGCACACTTGCTCTCTGTGACTGTTAACTTCATTATTCTCCATCAATACAACCCAGCAGGAAGTAAAACTACTTCTCTACTCATAATAAATACAAAGAAGAGAGAATGTCACCACTAAATATCAAGTTCCAGGCATGTGAGATTTTACTGAGATTTTATTCTTTAAAAGTCAATAAATTTTACAACTTATAAATATTAATAAGTTGCCTTTGCTCATATTAAAAGCTTGACCTAAGTAGACTACAGTGATAAAACTGAAAGAACGTTTTCCATCTTGTAAACAAGAGAACTAAATATAAATGAGACTCGACCTTCAAAGCCAGGAACCTGATAGGGAACCCTCTGTCAGATATTTGATATACTGTATATTCTTCTATCATCTCAAAAATTATTTGGAGACAAGGGAGGGGCAAATATGAAAGAGAAAAAAAAATTCTAAGCCCAAATGATCAAACTGAATGTGTTAAATTGTCAGCAAGACTTTGAACTAAGCAATCATTCTGCTATAATAGAGCATAAGACGATTTGAAAGCTTTTGATTTTAAATTTTATCTAAAGCATGTCAACTTTTTCTCCCTGACACATCTGGTGTCCTTTTATCTTCAAGTGAGCTCTCAGATTGTCTAATTAATACATCAAAACTTTAATTATATACTGCACCTTTATTGGGTTTGGTGCAACTTCCCAAAAGTTTATAGAAATATTATTTTGGTGCTTGGTTGCAAAGTCTACTTAAAATGATATCTACCATCGATCAACAATCTGAGCTTTTAATTTTCCTCACAAATTGCTTCTCTCACACAAACACACTTGGATGAAATTAACAGAGAAGAATCAACTGTTCTGTTCAATGGGAGGCTCCGTTCCTTTAAGATGGGGATACAAGCAGTTTACACTTTCATTTAAAGCAGCCTCACGTGAGTCCAAAAAAGGATGTCGTTTAAAAAAAATCTCATTCTCCTCCAAGAGGTAAAAATGGTTAAGTTAGTGATTTTAAACTACCTTTTTAAAAGAAAGGCAGAATGAGAAATACGGTGATTCAGGCCATGTGTTCAGTCTTGCTCCTTCACACTTTTTATGGAGGCCACAGGTAGGGAAGCATTTTGTGACCTGGAAACTCATTTGGATGCACCTACACACCTGCTGCAGGTGTCAGCATAGATATAAATGAACCAAGTGCACTGACCCCTGAGCCCAGCACTAAAGACGTCCCGCTCCCTCCACTACACAACTAAACTATATCCAGAGAGGTGCCTGCTGCCCAGCACAGGGTCAGTTAATGTGATTTTTCTGTTTTGCTTCAATTACTATATCTACTACTGAAAAGGAACATTTGTTCCTGGGAGATTTCCCCTGATATACTATAATCCTATTTCTTTTTTTTTTTTTTTTTTTTTTTAGACGGAGTCTTGCTTTGTCGCCCAGGCTGGAGTGCAGTGGCATGATCTCAGCTCACTGCAATCTCCGCTTCCCGGGTTCAAGCAATTCTTCTGCCTCAGCCTCCCGAGTAGCTGGGACTACAGGCATGCGCCACCACACCCAGCTAATTTTTGTATTTTTTTTTTTTTTTTAGTAGAGACGGGGTTTCACCATATTGGCCAGGCTGGTCTCAAACTCCTGACCTTGTGATCCACCCACCTCGGCCTCCCAAAGTGCTGAGATTACAGGCGTGAGCCACCACGCCCAGCCTATAATCCTATTTCTGCACCTATTCTAAAAGTGTTGACATAAAGTGTGTGATGTCCACAATACAATAAGAGTAGATCTGAAGGTGATTTGAAAATATGATTATGAACCAAGGGGTGGACCAGACTAATGAAGACACAGACTTCAGAGAAAGGTCATCAGTCCCTCCCATTTTGTGCAAATCACACACTTTCAATTATCTTTATCACGACTGGGGCAACTGTTGTCCTTCACATCTGGCTAAAGTGACCTGAAAGAATTAGATTCCTTTAACAGGTAAAATAACTTCAGTGCTTAGATCATTTCTAGCAATAAGAGCAATGTGAGGCCACCACTTAAGAAAGTACAGAGTTGGAGTTAATGAGCTGTGCTTGACATGTAGAGGCTAAAAGAATAAAATCAGTTGGGGCTCAGGCACTAACCAGCTAGATTCTTCATGTGTAGAAGTTGCTTCTAGAGAGTTAAACTTTATGGGGGCTTGCTAACTTTTAGTTCATAAAATACTTCCAAAATTATGGTAGTAATACAACAAATCAGCTTTGGAAAGAAAATCTACTCAACACCTTCCCAAACTGCTAGAGTATTTTGTTAGTAGACTAGTAATACCTTAGGCTAATATTCTAATCTGTCATCCCAAGTATTGTTACTAGGACTGATTAGGGGAGATAGGTAGTATATTACAGATCTAGCAAATCCCTAGACAAGGATAGGTGTACCATCTTGGATTAGGGAGACATGTGTATGTAGCTGTGTCTGCCTTTAACAGGTGGATCCCTATATTTCTTGGTTTTCAGATAATGCACTCTGGCCCAGACAGTTAATTCTAAAAGGATCATCTCATATTGAAGGGGATTGTTCTACTGGAAAGCAGTGAGAATAAGAGAATATACAAAGAAAGACATACTTTGTTGTGGACTTTAGAGCCAAAGTATTTTGGTTCTAAAACACATTTAGAAACCTGGTGAAGTTGGGGAAAACTGTACAACCTTTCTGAACTTCAGTTTATCATCTGTAAAATGGGATCGTGATAATGCCTGCCTCCTGGTGTTATTGTGGAGATTAAAGGAGACCATGCTTGGAAAATCGTTACCATAGGGCATGGAATAAAGTGAGCACTAAATAAATGCTAGCTATAAACTACTATCCAAAATTATTCAAATATATCTGTCCATCAAACCCACAAAATGTTTCTTCTCTTGAAATGTAGGGGCAGTAAGTACAATAAATCAAAACTGTTTATCCAGATAACTTAGTGTTCTGAATCAAGGATGCACATAACAGACTAATGGAAATTTGTCACTGCTTTTTATAACCTGCAGTTTGTAAAGAGCTGGACTGAAAGCCAGTAAACCCGGGCAACAGCAATGTCGGGGACTCCCATGAGGCGCAGGCCCTTGTGTGAAGAGAGCACATGCAGAAAAAGGGAGGAATGTACTTTTCACCCCCGCCGAGCAGTCTGTGGAAAGAGGTGGCTCTGCATATCGCCAGCTGAAAACGGGCCATGCTGTGTCCCCTCTCACCTATGTAGAAAAGCTGTTTGCTTCACATGGATTTCCTTAACTACTGGGAGAATTAATGTTATTATGTGTGAACAGACATAATACAACCACGGACAACATTGGTAGTGCGTAAAGATAAAACATACTTCAGAAGTCTACAAATAAGGTGATTAGATGTGATCTTTTAATTTTGCATTATGCTAGGAAAAAAACCTCAGGTATAGGCTAAGGATTATATTTTAATATCCATGCAGATATGGTGTAAAGCATGCTTCTATTTGATTAAAAAGACTGCCACTCCTATTTTCTTCATAAGCAAAGTACCCTGGTTCTAAGACACTGTGGTGTGGATATTTCAAAGGTATAATTTATGTGTATCTAAACATTTATTCATATATACTTATATTTGGATTATTTACACTGGTAACATCAAGAAAAAAATACCCCCTTCACACACACACATTCAAATATTTATAACACATTGAAATGCCGATGCCTCTGGTTACTCATTCTTTGTCATGTCAGTTCATGGCTATTTTTTGGCATATGAGGCTTCAATTGAACAGAAGAGACTTAATTTGATATTATAAAACTAGAGAGGAGGTGCACATCTCAACTAAATAGAAAATATTCACCATGTGCAAAATCAACAGTAAGTTATAAACAGGAAGTAAGTTTAAGATGCCTGAAATGTAGTAGATGCTCAATAAATATCTGTTGACTAGAGAATAAAATTCATGATGTTTTAATAATCCTGTAAAATGATATTAAAAAAACAGACACATTTTTTAAAAAAGCTTTTGTTCTGAAGCAGTAGCTACAGGTGGTTCATGTAGCTACAAGGGACCTTGTATTTGTTCTGAGTATTTACTGGCTTACAACATCTTTTGGAATTAATAGCTTCATGCTGAAAATAGAATAGTTCTGCTCATCAAAGCAGGAGAAAGCTAGCCCAGGTATCATAGTAAAATACCACTGGGAATAAACTTTCTGAGCTGAAAAGCTGCTAATTGGTAAGGCTGAATGTTTCAGTCATTACTTCTAACGTAATCTCCATGGCTTGTGCCTGAGGACACAGCTTTCCTTCTCAGCATGACCAAAGACTGTGATCTAGTAGAAACACCCACCATTAGAGGGAGAGAAGAAAAGTCACTATCCCAGGTGGAGACACTAGGGTCCACCTCAGGCCAGGCTTCTTTAAGTTCTAGAAGGAAACCAACTGGTTTTTGATTTTCAACTTGACCAAAAGCTTTGAGAGTAAATCACAAGTAGCAGCTCCATGTGACTGACTCTAGTAGAAGAGCATTTTATCTTCTCACGTACCGTATACATACAGCATATAATCCGAGTGAGCTTTCCCCACTATGTTTGAAGCTTCACAGCGGTATGTACCATTATCTGTTTTGTTTAGGTTATTGATGAACAGGTTGGGCCCAGACAGTACGGCGTGTTGAGGCATTTCATCATCGACTCTCACCCAAGTTACCATCACAGGCCTGCAGGGGGAAGGGGAGGAAGACAAGTCACATTATCATTCCCCATTGCATCAAACTGCTCACCCACATGCAGGGTGACACAATTAATGAGGACCTACTGGAGATATTTTAAGTTCACAGAATTACAACTGTGAAGTCTCCAAAAATCTGTTTGGTATACAATTTTTTTCTTTTAAACACGATCAGGTGTTGAAAAACTTTGAACAGACCACAAGCAGGAGTCTCATTATTTCCAATTCATGTTCGACAAATCAACAAATAAAACAGTGTGCCTATTTTTATGCCCCGCTGTGTGGTTTCACACCAACTCAGGCAGGACAGACCTCACCCATTGTTAACATCTCATTAATTAGGAAAGAAATCAAGTTCTTGGCTAGTGATACATGCATTCATCTGATGGTTACTAACACACCAAGACTTGTTTAGAAGCCTCTTGTGATATTTAGATGGATTTTGAGTTTCACCAAAAGGAATGGACTTTTATATCTGAATAGTGCTTTTCTTGGGCCTCTGTTTGAAAAACCACCTTTGATTCTGGAAAGATGTAATCATTTCCTCTTCCCTTTAACCCCTCCCCATAACCTGCATCCCCCTACCCAGAATGCCACCCCTGTCTCTGATGCCCTAGTCCACCATGTCTATCTGTTCCTTGGCAAATTGCCTTCTTTACTGGCTCTCCAAGGCCTGCATATTGTGAGAACTTTCCCTGTGTGTGCACCTGCAGCTCCCCAAGCTCGTGGGTAGGGCTCTCAGGCTAATCACCATGGCATGCATTCCACATGGATCCCTTAGGGCCCAGGGCATTTGCTCATCAGAGACAAGTTTGTTTTAGTGATTTAAAGTGCCACATTTGTATCCATCAGGAAAAAGCAAATTTCATAAGATTCGCCAAAGCTAAAAATGCATACACACCAAGTATCTTTTGAAAACTTCCATTCTTCAAGGCACTTCCCTCAACCTCCTATGAAGTTGAGGCCACATTTAGAATTGTGCCTGAAAACTTTCATTTTGAAGGAAGGACAACAGAGATCCAGCACACAAGTGACTTCCTTCCAGTTCCTACAGCTGCCTCTAGGAGCAGCGACACGACAAGAGACCCATGCTTAATGATGAACGGATCCTCAAGTTAGCCCTGTCAAGTAGCATTCCAATTTTCAAATGGGATGTGAAGTTACAATTTTTCTTTAATTACACATGGGTTTGTCATCACAACCCAGTAAATTATTTAAAAATTAGTACTGCATATGTCCTCCTTGTAGGCAATGGCAAATGGGCCTGCCTGGCAATCAGACGTAATGTCCTGCTGCTTGACAGCTGAAACAATCAGTAGGGGTAACTGCTGAGAATCTTCACAACATTTAATGGCAAGTTAAATTACCATTTTTATTGTATGCAATTTCTTGAGAAAATAAATAAGTAACATGCTAGAAGGGGTAGCAGTAGAGTAATGTGAGCTTGCTCACACAACCATATACTGGTTCCTATTTGAAAGGAACAAACAAATCCCTTCTCTGGCATAAATGTCCTGAAGGAAACATGTAATTTACTGTCCCCGTGGCACATTCAATTGAACGAAGTACCTTCTTCAGGGGAAAAATACAAAAACAAAGTATAGGTTAGCAAGCCATAGACTGTAACTGTGGTTAATGTGGCCGAGCACGGGTATTGCAAGCGGCAAGAGGCCTCTGAGAATTTTTTTTTCTTACTCCATTGGATTATTCTGGAAGAAAGCTGCTAATTAGGGAATAATTCAAACTGTTTACAAAAAGAAAGATCTGAATCTTTGGCAGTGCTCAAACGAGAAAAAGATCACTCTGCTGAAGCTCGAAGCATTCAAAACCAAATAACTTGGAAACACCAGAGGGAAAGTGAAACAGAACCAAGACCACTTTCCAGCTCCTAAAGGTCATTTAAAACTCCACATGGTTAGCACAGAGGGAAGGAAATTCCAGCACATGGAGAGGTAAGTGCAAAGATAGGGAGGGTTGAAATGAGAAGAGAGAACCAACAGCAGGCAGAGCCCCCTTTGGCTTTCTGGTCTCTTGTCATAGATCATTCCTTAGTTAAAGTAGGGAGGCTTCTTTCCAGAGATTTCTGGGGAAGCTTTGTTAAGATGCTCTGAATTCTTTATATGAAAACTGTGATGACGCTGGCTAGCAAAACTCTTTGAGGGAAAAAACAAAATCATACTACGGGGACAGCAAAGGGAGCTCAATGCTGTTTTTTGTTGGGTACCACTAAAGTTTGAGCGTCCTTAATCCCAACATTGACCTATTATTCCATTTCATGAATCCTCAACTTGTTTTTTTCTTTCCCCCACTAAGGAACAGTTAAAAACAATCTTTACTAGAAACACTAAAGAAGTGTCCCCTGCCCAGTAAGTAAACTGAATAATAGTTAAAATGGTACCACTGTGTGGCTTTTTTTCTTGTATTAGTGATGATATATGTAGTTCCTCAAATTCACTTTGGATCATTTCACAGGGCAACTCAAGTGGCTCCTTTATACTTTCAATAAAATAAGAGTCTTAGTTGTTTCTTCTTTTTCTCTTATGAAGTGGCATATATATCCTCCTTAAGAAAAGTTCCTGAGCTTTTCCTTACTAACAAAAATATTTCTGGGAGTCAAGTATGAATGACACTTTTCTTTGAGGGAAGAAGATGCAAAATTAAAGGTAGGGCAAATTCATTTGCCTACAGCTGGCCCTAAACATAGCAGCTTAATGTAAGTCTTAAAACCATCTTTCTAGCAGCTTAGACATTAACACAAAAGGTGGCAGATATATCATTAGATTGTAGGGACACCAATAATTTATTAGGATTATTTTTTTGTGTGTGAGAGAAAATAGTCCTGACAATCATGTTGATAATAATAAAATAGAATTAGCTGAGATTTCAATCTTAGCGGGCATTTAATTTTTCTCCCAGTCCTGACCATTAAGAACTATGGATATTTATTTCCACTCTCACTGAATATTCTTTAGTTCCTGAAAAACCATCCATCCTTTGCAGCAGGAGACAGGTGACAGGCCAAGGACTGGTGAATGCACATGTCTGTGTTGTGACATTTACTGCGCATGACCCTCTGCCAACTTTGGCCTTCAGAACTTACTGGGGCTTCCCGATGGCTTCACATGTTAACTCAAGCGCGTCCCCTTCCCGGGTTAAGCCTTGTAGAGGATAAGTCATCTGAATGTGCACTTGAGGCTTATCTGTGTGACAAAAACACAAAGTATAATGTTTAGCAAATGATATCATCAGGCAAAATCAGACTCACACACTGCCTCAAAACCACAGTACCAGCACTTACTCTCTCCCATCCGATGCCTTCAGTAACACCCTTCTAATTAGTTGGTAATCCTGGCATTTGCTCAAATTAAATTGACTAATAACTCTAAGGAGTGAACCGCAAATAGATAAGAGATTCATAAGCCAACTGCGCCACATCAAACATTTCCTGTGAAATACATTTTGTTACACTGAAGTTTATCTCCAAACTCACTCAAGCTAAAGGAAACTCATTTGCCTTCATGCTGAGGTGAAGCCATAGATATCTGTGGTGCTCAGAATTGATACATTTTATCATATATCATATATTACTATGTGACAATATGTTGTGACACTGCATGTTAATAAATTTGCCTCTTCTATGTTCTTGTTTTCAAATGAGAAAGGCAGACTGAATGACTTTAAGAAAAAACAACTGGGATATTTTGGAAGCCCTCCCAGTGAAAACTCTGACATCTCAGTGTAAACATTAAAAAGAAAAAATACTGACATTTACTCAGCATCTACTCCCCTAGGAACCATCATTGGGGGTAGAATAAGCCTAGTTTTAGGGATGGGAACTCTGGTACCCACAGATTGAAGTAGCTCATCCAAGATCACAGAGAGAGAGACAGCCCCATAAGTGTATGTTGGGATAGATTTCTGATCCATAAGTGCATTTCCAATGGCAATCCATAATTAAAGCCAGGTATAGCTTCCTAATGCAGTGAGGTACTTAGGAAGGAGATATAAGTATTCTCATTTCCACCAGCTACTTAAAACTGTATTTGTCAGTGTGGGGATATGGCTATGAGAGCTGAATAATGGGAGGTTCAGGGAATAGGGAGGGAAGCTACAGAAGTTGGAATTAACATAGATACACATACAAATACATTAACAAATAAAATCTGAATGTAATTAGGAGATCGTTTTTTTCAGTGCTGAACTAACAAGCTATTAATCCCTAAATCGGTTTTCTCATTTAATTCTGTGGCTCTGTAAATGCATATTTTTGGAAATGTACCCAAGAGTAATAAATGTGAGAGGGCAAGACATCGGTTGGCTGAAAGGTCAAAATAATTACCATAGTTTTACTTTCTCAGACAATCATACCACCTAAACAACAGCCCCTTGGCCTTTTACAAGCTGTGGTTAGCTCATTAACATTCATCCTATGGAATAAGGGAGAAGATAGAAATATTACGGCAAGGCTCAACCAATCTCATCTTGTACACAGCTATATAAGCTGCACAAGGAAGTCCTCACTAGAGATAGCTGCTTTCTAGATGCATTCTTATAGTCTCTTTCCTATCACAAATCTTTCTCTCATGTCTCTAAAAATTACATGGCATTCAAAACCTTTTAAGAGAGCCCCCTTGTTCACCCACCAGTGTGCACTGCATACTGAGAATTGGTAGTGCTTTCTGAGAAGCTAAGTCTCTTGCCAGAGAACGTAAAGTTAACAAGCCCAGAAGCTCCAGCTGACCCTTGCAAGTTACACAGTTCTATTCTTGGACACGTTGGCAAAGAAACTGTTTAAGAGCAAAATGGTGTTGAGGTTTCCAGATACTGATAACTGGGTCGGGAAGGTAGTCATTAAAGAAAAGCAGAAATGCTTGTAAAGGATAAACAGGATGACCTTGAACCAGCACTGGGTGGCTCAAGAGCTCCTGGGCACCCCCTTTCAGAGACAGAGGCCACATATTAGGCTAACTACAACTGCTGGGCATCAGGTGTGGGTTTATTGTTTGTAGTCGTGTAACACACACACACTAGTTAGTGAAGTTTAGTTTTTAAAAAAGATACAAAAAAAATGAAAGAAGAAGGTTATGACACTGGACACACAGAAAACAGAAGACCTGCTACCTCACAGTTCATACCCAGAAACAGCAGCACTTACTAGAGTTCCTAGTTAGGGGACCTCTATCATTCTTACCCATGAACCTTCTGGGTGAGGCTAAATTTAAAGCCCAAAATTTGGGCTGAAATGTAACATCTGCTTATAGGTTAATCTCTGATCTACAGAAAGGCTACGTTTTTCATGCACTGCTGACTTTGGCCATTAATTAAGAAGAAGCAGAATGCTTGCTGGCCTATGTGGAAGGATTTTGTTTTTCTTCTTTTTTCCTTAATGTAATTTACAAGCAAACAGAGAGGGCATATTTTTCAGCATAGTGCACTAAGGATTTTACATGCTCAACTTCCATCAATAATAAAGACAGTGTTGAAAAACTTAATCCACCCTGCTTCTTCAGTACCACTGAGTTTTAGTTAAATGCTTTTTTATGTTCCTAATGAGCTGTTTATCAGTTGCCAATTATTCACATAAATTGGGAAGAACAAGCTAAGGATTTGTTATACCCAAAATTTATTTTAAAAACCATTTACTAAATCACAAAAAATACACCTTCAGTTTTGATAACTGATTTTCCCAATTTACTCTTTAAGTTCTGGAGAAACATCTACTATCTACTTATGGCTACAGCTGCCACAGTTACCGTAATAGCTGGCTGAAAAGGTAAGCGTTAGTCTTGCCTGCATTATACAGAAAAATGTTCCCCTCTGTTGACACATGCAGTATTTATAGGCATATTATCTGACCACGGGCAGATGAGCTATCCTCTCGCCCAGCCTAGGAATCAAATATTATAGAAGGTCTATGTGCCGAGATCTATCCCTGGGTGATGGAAACTTAAAAATAAATTCTGTTCCCCTTCCTTTGTCCTGAAAGAGAAACTTAAGCGTTTTCAACAGGTGGAATAGAAACCCTGGGATTCCACTGGCACCTCTAGAACTAAGGGACATTAAATTTTCCATTGAAGAGCCTAACTACGATATGAATATGTCAAAATACCAAACAATCCAGATGGCTGATTGAATAGCCCAGAGCTCATCATTTATATTTTAATTATGTTCATAAATCAAATGTTATAACCCACCAAACCTTTTCTGAAACAGAACCAGCCTCCAAGATTTATTTTTAAGTAATGAGGTAAAGCCTAGTACATTTTCTGGGGGATCATTTTACGCCTCGGTTGGTGTTGTAAGGCATGAGGCCAAAAGCCAGACGATACTTTCTACCCAAGTGCAATAACTGCCCAGAAATGTATCACTCAGAATGGCTTAATGTCATTATAAAATGGAACTGCTATATAAAAATAAGAAAAATAGTTAGGTCTGTACACTTAAAGAACATTACAGTTATAGACATGGCATCATCAACAGCCAATCAATTAGGTCGAGGGATCTGAGGTTTTCATAATACACTGTGAATTTTTTTAAACCCTGTAAAAGACATTTAGCAAGACTGCTATAGCAGACAAATTTGTTCATTAGTCAAAGTTGCACAGAGGGTTAAACACCAGGAGGCTTTAGGTCACACTACAGTAGCAACCAATTAAAAAAATAATATTAGAAAGACATTCTGATTTGATGAGACTTTCTTTAAATGTACTTTGCTCTCTCTATAAAGGGAAAAAATATATAAAAGGAAACTCTTAAAGAGGTTGGAATGGGTTGCTGGCAGATTACAATTGATTTCATGCCAGTCTGACCTTGCACCACATTCTGTGATCTTTTCAGAAGATGAAACTCAAGATTCTGAACCTGTATTTCAGTTTCCTATGTAAATGAAAAGACACAGTCTCCTCTGTAGGTCCAAACACTAACGTATCAGGTCTTTGCATTCCTTTATTTAGAAAAAGGTACTTTGCAGTTTCTTCATGACTGGGATGTCACCCTTCCAGGGTAGCAGAGAGGAGCAGAGCTGAGTCAGTGGAAAAGGCATCCTCATACCCTGGCAGGAGACATGCCAGCGGGAGACCTATTATCCCTGGAGTCCCCACAACCTTCCCTCTCTTCCTAAGAATTTCTAAATCAGGAAATGCAGGTGTCATATTTTCTTTGATGTGCTCAATGCAACTAGGTCCAGGGGCTTGAGTGCAAATCTGTTTCTGCAACTGCATTTGGGACACAGGCTCTTCTTCATGTTTCTTACTTAGATTTCACCCAATATTCTGAAACACCAAGGAGTATGGGGATTTGATGCTTGTGGATCAAGTGCTAATTGTTTCAAGTCCTACCAGGGAGAACTCAAGGGCAGCATGAGCACAGATGATATCAGAATGTCTGGGTAGCGGGTCTGGGTCAGCCCCTGTGCATTCAAGTGAGGAAGCATTGACTGAAGAGTCTTTGTCAATCATGGAGGATTATTGGAGTTTGGAGTAGAACGACAATGCAAAGATTAACCTGAGATTTGGTGAGTGTTAGAAGCTGTTTGAGCTCAAAGCAAGAATCAACCCCTACAATATGGCTGTCTAAATTGTTGGGGGAGGACAGCTTTGCAACTAAAGGAGGGCAATGTCTAGCAATGCCAGGTGACTGGGATTGGTGAATGAACGGAGTCACACAGAGCTCTCAGAGGAGTTAAAGAGAACATCTTGCAAAATATTTGCTTTCTATTGTCATAATACATTCATGAATAATTTTCACTGCCGTTTATTTTGTTTGTTTGCAAGGTGAAGAACCTCCTGCTGTTACATCTGTTGTTATGACTCATAGTACTGAAACTGGGCTTCCTGAAGAGGGCTGAACGATTGTGAGTGGGATGAGTCAAATCTGGTGGGACTGACGTAAGACCAATACCACAGTAGAATGCAGTCTTCTCTTGCTGCAACTTTCAGGTAGGTTTGTGGGTATTAGAATTACTGTTTACAAAAAAGAATCAAATTTGATCCCATGGTGTGGTGGCAGAAAGCTTTGTTCCCACTGCTTTTTAAATGGGGGTACATACTCACAGAATATTCTTCCATGTCTTGGAAGCAATTCTCATCATTTGTAAGCAAACACTGGGCAAGAAAATCCCTATAGCAAGATTTTCTGTACAAGAATCTTCCCTCTGTAACAAGAGAGGGGTTTTTTTGTTTTGTTTTGTTCTGTTTCTTGAAGTCTTGGTAACTAGAACGGTGCCAGGGACTGGCACACAGTAAGCATTCAAGACATAGTTGCTGGATGAATGAATGAAGGAATAAGTGAATGAGAAAGTGAAGAAACATTGGGGCATGGACTTCTCCTTCCACCTTTACTACTGATTAAAAAATAAATAAAATCAGATCACGAGTTCCCGTTAGTCCTCATCACAGAATATAATTTTGTTTTTCTTTTGGAAGGTCAATCCAGCCGCCCAAATCAGAGGTTCAGCCCAGGTGTTCTGCTTTACATATTTCCACTTCACCATACATTTATTTAGCACTTCCGATGTGTCTCTAAGTGGTGTCTTACAGGAAATCAGAAAGGATGTTGTTTGACCATTCCTTTTAGATTTTTAGATGCCAGCTTCACAACTATTTAACCTTCCACACAATCAAAATTTAACCTTGAGTTAAAAACCATTAAGTGAAGTATGTGCATTAGAAGACTGGTTTCACTATGTAAGTATTCAATGTCCACAGCCACACAGACACATCTTTTACAAATACATTAAGGTCAGTGAGATGAGAGGAGGTGGTTCTTAGTAAAACAGGCCTCTTTCTGCAGGGTATGCATTCAGAAGGCAGGTATAAAGGCAAAGGCTTTTCCCTTAAGGGTTATTCCAGTCTTGCTCACGATGTATTTGCCCAACACTCACTCTTTGTATTTTGAATACTGGTTACTCAGCCTCTTGACACTTTTGGTACTGCAGATTGTATCACTAACAATCTATAGTCCTTATAATATCAGGAACTTGGAACCAACACTACTCTGTGTTAACACAAAGAAATAATAGGTTAAAAAATTAGCTTCAATCGGGGTTCTTCATTCCTTGATTATTTCTCATAAGGAATCATAAATACTAAAATAACCTCCCTGAAACTCAATTCACTGCTTTAAAAAAAAAATAAAAGGGAGAGTGGGAGGAAGAGCGTATTCCGTTTAAAAAAAAAAAAAAAAGAGAGAGAGAGAGAGAGAGAGACTGGAGATCAGAGAGAAACAGGCCAAATCTGAAAACGCCAGCTATTATGCTCTGAAGAATACAACCTGGAAACAGAATTGATGAGGGAGAGGATTTGACATAGAAGCTGCTCTTGGGAACTAAGTGTTATCCTCCACTCCAAATAGGAAAGATTTTCTGATTTCCAGGTTTTCCTCTCTCCTTCAATGCAGGGCACTATCGATACCAGAGAAACATTTATTTTGGCACAGATAAAGAACAGGTTTTGATCATCTCCTCAATGCCCAATTTTCCTCCAGTTGAGGGAATGAAAGAAAAAAAAAAATCTACCCTTCTCTGGACCTTGGATGAACAGGGCTATGGATTTATAAAATACCTAGCTACATTCAGTCAATAAAACTCATTTTGAAAATGATGCCCACGTATACAATTAACTGTCAGATGATAATCAGAGCAGGCATGGCATTCAAGCACCCATTTCTAGAGTCTTTGTTTTCATTCTTCTTTTCAAAACTCATCTCTGAGTTTTCTTTCTTTTTTTAAAATATGCACAAACACAAAACCCTCAAAAAATGAGGATTTTTGCCAAACATTTTAAAGAGCAAGGCTATGATGGGTGAAAGCAGAAGCCACACAGCAGTAATTCAAGAGCTTCATATTCACCCCAGTCCAGAGGAAGGCTTTCCTCCCTTGTGCAAAGCAATCTGAATTCCATACTGAGGGTCACAGCTTTTCTTTGAATTCCCAGCTTATGTCGCTATGTGTTGCCACCTTGATGCTATTTAGACAGTTTTCTCTTAACGCTCAGACAGTGAACTGTTCCCATTTAAACAGGCTTTTATTTGACAAGAGTACATTCCCTCAGATCTGAAGCTCTACTAACCGTGCTACAATTGTATCACACTCTGCTATAATCAACCATGTTGTAAATTTGGGCACCACCACCTGTACAGACATTCGCAAGAAAAAAATGCACTGAAAGATTTTAGGGTCATACAGCTCGGAACATTAAAAAGCAAAACTGTTCTCTGCATAACATCTAAGGAAAGAGAGCTTTGAGCTCTTCCAGCTTGGGAGCATAATTATTTTCTGTTTTAAACATTTAACTGTGTGCTGCTGCTGTACCCTTGCTGAGTCTCAGAATGAAAGCTAGAAAACTAAGAGACCTACTGTATGTTCTTCATTCCCGGCAACGTTCCTATGAGAAAACCTTATTAATGAGCTTGCAAACGAGCACCCAACAGGGAAATGTCACAAACAAGAGCGGCTAATGCCCCAGAAAATCAAATAACTGAACACTTGGCTGATTGTGGTGCCTTTCATATTTATAATAAAAAAGGGGGGGGGACTTTAATTCACTGATTCTGAAGGGGTCAACACCTTGCTGAACAAAACAACTCATTTATTTATGTTCAGAAATCTCCAGATGATAAATTACATTGATGTTAATCACTTCAATGCATACTACACAATTAATATCTGTACTCACCAAAAACTTAAGGATTATTAAAAGTATGACAGCATACACATCTGGCTGATTTTTCACATAATTGGGCACAACAATTTCTCCTGGTATCACAAATAAGGGTCCTAACAAACAAACACTGCAAAATCCTGGTTCAATTAATTAGGACTTAAATCCACAAGACAAAAGCAATTCCAAGTTGCAGCTCAAGCCTTGTCTTCTATGCCATATGGTAGCACTCCATTTTAAGGACAGAGGTGCAACACTTCCTTTCTTTTTATCCTTCCTCTCTTTTTTCCCTGTCTTACTTAAAGTAAGATATTTAATGACATATAACGCAGGTTTTCATTATTTCATTTCCTTTTTAATAGTATTTTTTAAAAATTACTTGATGTAGAATTCAAATCCATGATCTGTCATTTAACCCTATTCATGTCCTGGTTAACATCCATTCATCTTAGATGGGGATAAAGAGAGGTTTCCATAAACCTTCATGGTGTAAAATCAGCCAGGCTTAAACAAGTGAGCATATTTAATACCAATAGTATCAGATTAGATTTGCCCCCAAGGTAGCCTTATTTACTCGGAGTAGACTCTGAGGTCCATGAATGGGATCAGTATTTCCTAGTGATAACCTATTGTTTCTCACCGAGAACATAAGAAATCTTTTTAGGTGACAAAGGAAAGGACATTGAAAAATATTAGTTGTACATTTATTTTAAAGCTTATTAGACACTATATATAACAAATGAAATGTGTAATTTAATAGATATTTTTACATAGGCCCTGGTTAGGATAAAGCAATAAAGTGACTTAAAGAAAAATTCTAAATCAGGTAAAAATACAGATGATGCATGAACATGGCAAATTTGTGAAAGTGGTCCTCAAATAACTGAATTTAGGAAAACCCTGAGGGGTAAATGGACTCCTTAGATTGTAAGTAGAATATGGTGAATATGTGATTGTATTCATCTTTTCCAGGTCTATAGCTATCAAAGGGTTTTTAAAGGGGCCAATGATCCCCAAAAGGTTAAGAACTGCTGACTTCAACGGCATGAGTCAACATTAAAATACAGGTGCAATGTTACTCCTCACAGGCATCCAAAATAATTCAACCTCCATGCAGAGTGGCTACTGAATAAATTATTCTAGGAATCTCATGTATTCGAGTGTCTCTTCTTTCCTCATGGTCATCAAAATATGGTGCTACTTGTCTGCAGAGAGAGGACGGCTGTGGGGGGCACTGGAGTTGAGCCATCAACAGCACTGGGCAATGACTGATCAGACTTCAGGGCCCAGTGACTGAGTGCTTCAGGCATTTGAGGAATGAAACTTTTTGTTACTGCATAGCTGCTAGTGTTCAAGGAGAGTAAAGCTGGTAGGAAATGATGTAGAGAATTCCAACTGTGTTTGAAGAAGCTACAAAAGGAATTCCTGGCTGACTCTGCAAAGTTCTCAATAGTGCTCTAGGAGTGGAGGGTAGTGAACTTTCTTGAGCACAGAGAGCCTTACTTAAGATATCAAACCAGATGCGAAGTTCCATTCAGGTTAATATAATGCATTGTAATTATCTTAGCTTTCCTTTATACAAAAATATTTTTCCTTATGTATATTCTGAAAAGTGGAATAAAGGCTAAAATATTTGTATGATTTTCTTGGATAAAAAACAGAGTCTCCCACAAAAAGGTGCCATATTAGAGTTTAAAGTATCAATTGGTGCATCCTTGTTTTTGGAGGGCATTAGAGTCACTTTCCTGCAATTAAAGGCTCGCAGTACTTTGTTAGATTGAAGTCAAATGGATTCAGATGTGGAGCCTTATTCCTTGTCTTAGAATCTACAGATTATGGAAACCAAGGCTTATAAGGATCATTATCAAGTTTTCCAAGGAGTAGGAGGTGTAGCGCTTGAAATATTTTGCATTTGGGAGTGAGGGTAATTTGGTAGGTGGGTGGGACTATATTCTATTTAAAAGATATTCTGGGAAAATACTGAAAGAGTTTAGGGGTGGAAACTGGGTGAATATCTACTCAGGACGTACAAAGGAGCTAATGTATTATTAAAGCTAATGGGCCCCTACAAGGAAAGTTAATGGATATTAAGTTTGCTTAAATGAATTACATATTAACAAAGTCACAAGAAATCTACTATCTGCTAATTTAGATAATATCTGATCATTTCCGTTTTCCCATTATAGGGACATTATACCACAATAGTTTTAGTGATATGAAAATTATAAGCATGATGCCCATATTGAAGCAGATTAAATGAATTAACGAGGAAACCCTGCATTATGTAATGTTAAATTGAGCCAAGCTCACGGAGTTAAGAAAAGGTTGGAATGGGATGGTTTCTTAGAAGCAACTTTTTATAACTTTTCCTGCCTTCCCATTTTGCTCAGATCATTTAGACAAATAATAGGGCTTGTATGGAGTTGAATGGTGGCTCCCAAAGATAAGTCCATGTTCTAACCCTTGGAATCTGTGACTGTAGCTGAATTTGGAAAAAAAGTCTTTACAGATGAAATCAGCTTAAGGATCTCAAGATGAGGCCATTCTGGATTATCTGGGTGAGCCCTACATCCAATGACAAGTGTCCTCAGAAAAACACACAGACGAGAGACCCACAGAGGAGAGGGGAAGGTCATGTGACGATGAAGGCAGAGAGTGGAGTGGTGAAGCCACAAGTTAAGGCGCTCCTGGGACTCCTAGAGCTGGAAAAATCAATGAACGATCCATCCCTACAGTCTTTGTGGTGGGAGGGGGTGTGGTCCTGCCAAAACCTTGATTTTGGACTTCTGGCCTAAAGCGTTGTAAGGAAAGAAGTTTCTGCTATTTTAAGCTACCAAGTTTGTGACAATTTGTTATGGCAGCCCTAGGAAATTAATCCAATGATTCACAAAGGGTAAAGCTTTTCCTTTATCAGACATCCAATCACTACCATCCCAACCAAACTCTGGTAACATTTCAGTATGCATACTCAAAGATCACCTTGATTTTTCAGAAGCCAAATACAAAGTGAGAAGCTGGCTACTTAGCCACAACCTTGGCATAAGAATGGCTTTGTGCAGAAAAAGACTTTTTCCTTTTAAGCAGAAGGGTCCAGAGGAGAAGATGAGGAAAACATATTCAGTCTACAGGGCATGGTAAGGAGAAAACCTCACTCACTACAATCTAGCTTTTATTGATGAAGCCATCAAGATTGTGGCAATGATCCCAAAGAGTCGACTTTTCAACTCATTGCTCTAATTTAAGCTAAAATAGAGGAGGAATGTCATTTAAAACAAAATGCCGACGTAAATGGGAAAAAAATCCCTTCTATAAAAACTTCAGTACTTATGATGGGATAAAAAAAGGGGGAAAATTACCCTAGATTTTGCAGTTGGCATAGAAATGATGACAGTCTATATGCAAAGAAATTAATTAAGTCACGTGTTAGAGCAGATTGATATTATTTCAGTTTTACCTTTGGGTTCAATGTAGCATTTTCAAATCCTCATTGGCACTCTGTAATATGGCAGTACAATATTTCAATAAAATAATCCTTTATTTTTCTAGCAAAAATAAGAATTCTATGTATACTATATAAAATGAATGCATTGAATAAATGGCTTCTGAAGAGTTTCTATGTAACTGCAACTCTACGCCCTCAGAATAAGATACCAGGGTACTCACACTGTACTTCTAGATACCGCTGGGTCTGCAGGTTTCCAGTGACCGCAGGGTGCTCCACCTGGCAGATCACTGGGACCCCATCGTCCTCCTTGTGCACCTTCAGCATCAGCTGACTGGTCACAGTGTACATGTCTGACCACTCTTCCACCTCCGATTTGCCTGGGGAACAGAAAATGTACCAAGACACCAGAGTTGGGTGAATTTCCATCAGTTTGTTTTTATGTCCTCCCCTCTGTCCTCTAACCCCAACATTGCTATTTTAACAAATATGATGGCAGTTACTTGGGATGAGAGTAACCTGTGGATAGTTACCTGATAAAGTTTTTATTTCCTTAATTTATGACTTTTCAACCAGGCAGCATAGTATTTAAGATATATTTCAAGTCCAAATACCATACACTATTTTTACTGAAATATATTATGTATGGTTTTTCTATCTTAAAACCTCCCAGAAAAAGACAGCTGAAAGTTGAAACATTCTGACATCTGGCTGCTCAAGGTATTCAGGAGGAGAAAAAGAAAAATGTTTTTCACCCCTACAACCATCTGAACTTGAAATATTGACTAGGCTGTCATGCCATTTAGAAATTCTAGGATATTATCCAAATCCCCTAAGTAATTCAACAAGCAGTAGAGTTACAAACAACCCCCTTTGCCTACTCCCATCATCAACAATTAAGAGAGAAAGTAACTAAATGGATTTACATAATTGAAATTGTAATTGAAATGTTTAAACTCTGAGACTTTTGGAAGACCTCAAAAATGCAGTGGCAGTGGGCTAGAGCAAAGTAAGATACAGGGCTTGGGGCCAGATGGGAGACACATCCAAGAACACCCAGAAAAGGAGGGAGGAGGCTTCCGGATGGAATGAATAGGCCAAGGCAGTCCCTTCCTGAACTCAGCACTCCCAGGAACATGGCACACCATTAACTTTCTTTTAATGTTTTGTACTTATCGGTACACATTTAATGGCTGAATTCACTTAGACAGAAAAGCAGAGAGGAAATGAGAAACTCCTTCCTTCCAAAACCATACCTAGGAAGTAGGAGATTAAAACAGAACAAGCTTCTTGAAACTTAAGCTGTTATATATAGATTTATCTGCTTCCAGATATAGATTTCTATATCCTCTTTCTAAAAGGGCTGATTCTTTCATTTCTCACGCTCTTTATTTATTTAACAAGCACATATACAGCACTTACTTTGGCCCAAGTATTAGCTAAATACTTTACAACTATTCCCTCTTTTCATCTTCATAAAAATTCCATAAAGTATGTAATACGATTAACCCTATTTTAGAGGAAACTGAAGCATGCCACTAGCATTTCTGTCAAACAATTAGAGGAGTTCAGCCCCTAAGACCTTTGTGCAGGGTACTACCTGCAGGGTAACTTTGAAAAGGAAGGAATCTCAATGCAGAAATACATGCGGAATTTAAGATAACTGGCAAAAAATGGTCAAATAGGGTATAGGCTGTCTCCTTTATCTGATGCAACACCTGAGGTGCCAGGTATTTGAGGATCCAGGACCCGAACCCGGGATGGCCCAGTACAGAGGTAAAGATGATCAGAATGGGGCTGAAGGAGCTGCCTTGTACTGTCATCACAAAATCACAGCCTGCATAAGAACAGACTGGTGAATTGGGCAACTGAATCACAAATTTCACAAGAAAGGTGGTCCCTGTAAATTCACAATTTAGATGAAACTGTTAGTCCACTTAGTGCAACCACTCTTGCAGGAAAGCATATAGTCAACACAGGTGATAGTGCAATAGACGTCAGAATGACTTGGAATTTACCATATGAAAGACTGTTAAACATTTTTTTAAATGTATACCCTGAAAATGTGGGCTTCTGGTCCCCTCTAGGTCTCTGCAAAAGACAGGGTAAAAGCAATTAGAATTGAAGGTACAGACAGAGACAGCCTGAGCTCAGGAGACAGCCCTCATGAAAATTTTTCCTAGCCTAAAGAGTTCTAGTTTACAGTTTTAGTTCTTTCTGGGCATCTGAGTAGAGCGACAGCTATCACCATGAACCCTCAAACAGCAGAATGAGGACATGGATTAGAAGAATAAAATGCTTTTATGCTTTGGCCTCAGACATATTTAGTAACTGATTATAAACCATATCTAAATGAATACTTTTGTTTCATGGGCATGTTTTGTATTTCTCCATGATTTTCACAAAGGCATATCTGCTAGAATCAGCTAACTACTTCAGTGTGTGGCAATCTGCAGCTTACCTTTTAGCTCTGTGTTCCCTTTGAACCACCTGATAGTCGTGGCTGGCTTGCTGGCCATAGCAGTGCAGTTGACTTCAATCTCCTCACCTTCCACCGCAGTGTCTTTCTGGATATCGATCATCAGATTACGTGGTGGGACTACAAATTAAACATATGTGCTTTATAAACACAGAATGCATTTTTGCATTGTTGCTATCAAAAAGGAGAAAAACAGTAGACATTCCTGATGGGAATTTAAATCATCACAAGAGGCGAAAAAGAAATACAAAGTAATCATCAAATAAAGTGAGTTATGCAAAATCAGTTAATTTAGAATTTCTATCCTAAATTTATGTTATAAAATAACCAGTGTGGCTGGGCATGATGGCTCACATTTGTAATCCCAGAACTTTGGGAGGCCGAGGCGGGCAGATTACCTGAGGTCAGGAGTTTGATATCAGCCTGACCAACATGGAGAAACCCCATCTCTATTAAAAATACAAAATTATCCGGGCACGGCGGCACATGCCTGTAATCCCAGCTACTTGGGAGGCTGAGGCAGGAGAATCGCTTGAACCTGGGAGGCGGAGGTTACAGTGAGCCGAGATCGTGCCATTGCATGCCAGCCTGGGCAACAAGAGCGAAACTCCGTCTCAATAATAATAATAATAATAATAATAATAACAACAACAACAACAACAACCAATGTCTCACTCTTATCACTGAGCACATTATATCAATATAGATATTAGTCACCAGTCATTCAAAAATTAACCAGAAAGTAGATATAAAAGGGGAGTACATGCTATTGAAATGATCATCCTTACCAGGAAACCCCAGAAAGCAGTATTTCTCCTTGAACTCAACTCTTGAATTTCAATCTTCAAATGAAAGATTCCAAAGTCAACGGAGCAAAGATAAAAATCTTTGAGTCCCTTAAAAGAATCACTCACCATAAAATGCACAGAAAAATTGTCTCAAACCAGTTCCATGTAATCAAATAATTCACAGAGATCCAGAATGTAATCATAACCTCTGATGGATAATGTAGTAATAAAGTCCTTTGGATATGAAGATGCAGTAATATAAGAAATGCCAATTAGTTTGCAGCAATTTTCCATATTCTGAATTCCAGTGCTCCAATTTTGGAAACCAAAGACGAAAGAGACTCTTAAGTGCTTATAAGTAGATTTACATATCAGAATTACAACCACCCTTCTGTAAGCATATTAAACATATATGTGATAAAATGGTCAAAATAACGGATTGGGAAGTTAAAGTACTGACTATCAAATCAAGAGTATGTAGTGTGATAGTGATAGTGATGGTGACAATGATGATGATGATAAAATATGTTATCTTTTATGAAACTGAGTTGACAGTAAAATTTCATATGCAACCTTACCTCAGGACTGAGCCTGTTGAAATAAAAATCAGTAAGAATACTGAATTTAGTACAGTGAATCTAAGAATATATGTCCTGACCACCATGAATAAGCAAAGACAGTTCCGAGACTTATGATTAATAAGTTTCTCAACTCAGAAGAGAAACAAGAAATTAAATATGTATAAACATGCCATCCTGATGATCAAGTTGAATAATAAATCTCTGATACTGCTTCAATAAATTATGGTATTAAACCAAGTATTTGGGATTTCCAACTGTTCTAGTCCACAATGTGAAAATTCTGCCCAAAGGAAGACTTTTACACTGAATTGGAGCAGTTGAAAATTCCTATAGAGAATGATAGAAAAGTAAAAGTAAAATGATTTGTTGCACATACTTCCTTAGCAAGATAGTGTTTGGTGGTGGTGGTGGCGGGGGGTGTAATGAGCAGAGCCAAAGGATCCCTCTTCTTTGTTTCCCGTGTACAAGGAAAACAACATTGCTCAAATGGATGTGTTGCTAATATGATATGGCCCAAATGAGTAGTTAAACATGGCAAAGAACTACCCTAGTCTACATTTTAAGAAAAAATAAACAAAAAGATAATTTAACATCTAATTTAGAGTTTCACATCTGCTAGCATTTTATGAGACACAGAAAGGCTTTAACAAAAGAAATGGAATGACTTCAACTAGCTGTATCTTTCACATAGTTCATCCATGCTAGATGACAGTCACGTAGGTTATAGATTTTCATCATACATACCTAGATGGTTGATAGGGGATACACAGAGAGACTAGATGTTTAGGACTAATAAATACTACTGCATTCTGAGTGCAGTATTATAGGAATATTTTTTACATGCTATTGTTAGATCAAATGTCAGAGGAAAAGCCTAAAGAAAATAAGACCTTAAAGAGTGGTATAAGAAAAAATGAAAACAACTAAGGTGTAACAAATATAGGAGTGTCTTCTCAACTAAGGAAGGAATGAAAGTAAAAAAAAAAAATACCTTTCAAGGTCCAGGAAAAAATAGGAGTGATGAAAATAATTTTTCATGTTGAAATATGCAGTGGTTCCTAATGAGAACTGTAATGGAGCAATGTAACTGATGGGATAGGAACTTAGGAAGGTGGCTCTCTTAGTATGTGACAAAGAGGGCAAATGGCTAAAGCCACTGGCAACCCGGGAAATCCCTAGGGAATGGACCAGATCAGATCCCACTTTATCTGTATAACTTTGGGAGAAACACTTTGATGCTCCCTCTGTGGAAACACGGGAATCTTCTTGATGCGACAGTCCAGCAGTTGTTAAAAGACTCCTCTATGTATCTCTGTTGAGTCTTAGTGGAATTTACCCTCAAACATACTCAGATGGTTGTTTCCTGTGTTCCTGGATACCTTTCCTTTATTCTCTGAGTTTTCAGGCTGAGCCTGGAAACCCCTTGTCTCTGTTTACCCCAAGCTTCTCCTAACCTTCACTACCTCGTTCATCTTCAATGATATTTCTCAGTGGAAAGTCTTTATTGCCTCCATTTGGTTCATAAAGATGAGGGTGTGTTCCTTCCACATTATCAATAACGTCTGCTGGTCCAAAGTAAGGAAATGAAAAGGGACAGGTACAGATAAGGATCGAGGAAAATTCACCAATGTCTCCTCCAGATTTCGTTTGGGGGCTGAGATCCTGACAGGCAGCTAGGTCCCCATCTGGATTATTTGTTGTTTGGCATTATCCAAACAACTGCAACAGATAAATTCTACTCTGTAACTCTTCAGAGTGAGTCCTGAACCAGTGCTAGTTCCTAGGATTATATGCCCAAAGAGCTGACATCATCTTCAAATTTAAGGCTAAGGTAAAAATGTGGAAAACTTCAGAAGCATTAGAAAATGTGCCCAGGTTTGAAGTGGCTCACGCCTGTAATGCCAGCACTTTGGGAGGCTGAGGTGGGTGGATCACCTGGGGTCAGGAGTTTGAGACCAGCCTGGCCAACATGGTGAAACCCTGTCTCTACCAAAAATACAAAAATTAGCCAGGTGAGGTGGCGGGCACTTGTAGTTCCAGCTACTCAGCAGGCTGAGGGAGGAAAATCACTTGAACTCAGGAGGCGGAGGTTGAAGTGAGTCAAGATCACGCCATTGCACTCCAGCCTGGGCGACACAGGGAGACTCCGTCTCCAAAAAAAAAAAAAAAAAAAAAAAAAAAATTTGCCCAGTGTAGAAAAATGAAGGGCTTATTCATTGTTGAGATCACCATCCTGTGAAATCACTGAATGATTTTTTTTTCCAAGCCCATAAATAGTTTTCTCAAGATTGTGACCAGTATTTCTGATCTTAGCTAAGGTTAGAAGAAGAAACAGGCATGTATACTGGGAGTTGTTTGGTTTATAAAATAAAATCTGATATTGTGAATCATAATAGTTTATTGATATGTTACAAAGCTGACTTTGCTCAGTTTTTTTTTTTTAAGAGCAAGAAAGCTTTCAAAAATATAAATGAGGTGATTTAAATCTGCTTTTCTGAAAAAAAAAGGGTTGGACAAGAAAATCTTAAAACTTATTTGGTCTATTAATTCTATCCTGTTTTTCCTTTAGCTTCACAATGTCTACTCTAATACAAAAGGTTAGTAAAGTATAAAAATCCATTTATAAGAAAAATGAATTAAAACTGCTGCTAACCAGAGAATATACTTATGCATGGTCCACTAAACAGGCACATTTAGTAAAAACTGCCTGCAGCCATTAATGAAAATAACCAAAGATATTTCTAAGGAGGTGCATATAGATGAAAACCTGAATGAAAATCACATAGAGGGAAATACTAGAAAACAGTAATGAAATGTCAAGGTTCTTCTCAGCTAACCTCAAATCTATAAGAGTGCTAATTATAAACATTACGCCTACAACATTTAACAAAAATCAGCAATATCAAGATGAGTCACATTAATTACAACAAAAGAGGAGTCTTAAAGCTGATCCAGTATGTGAAATCTCACTCTAAGACCCTTTAAAATAATTAGGTTCTCCTGTTCCTGGAATCTTAAGAACGAACACTAATCTTAGAAGGACAGGACTGTGATAATATTAGCTACTATTACCAGTAACTATATTAATCTTAAAGAAGTGTATTCTCTGTCTCATTCATCTCCTCTTATGAATAGTAGTATAAAGAGAGTCCTACGGTATGTTCTGGAGAAAGAAACAAAATCGTCACAAGTGGAAGGAATGAATGAATATCCTTAAAGGCAACAAATGCATACAAAATATCATAGGAGAGTCTTCAGATTTTACATGGATAAGATCATGAGCATAATAGTAACTATAGAATAGCATAGACAACATTAACAAGTACCCGCCTCCATATCTTATAATTATGCTGAAGTTTTTACTGAATGTATCAAATAACTAATAGACACATGCACTAAAATGAGCATCTTCAACCTATCAAGAAGTTTGACAGCTGTGTAAGTACGCATGGAGTCCTTTTCAGAGAACTGAAGATAGCAACGAAGATGCTACTGTCATTCTTCATTCATTGTAATATCTGAAAACTCTAAACCTTACGAGAAACGTTGGAATATACGAGTATCAGTGGAAATTGTCAGATTTTGGAAAATGAAGGACTCAAACACTGATGACAACAATTTTACTCTGTCAAGGAATCCTAGAGTAAATTAAATGGAAAGAATATTAAGTGAATGAATAATATCTACAGAAAGAATATCTACTACTTTTTATACTTGAAAGTGCTACTTTCAAGTATATTTAAGTTAATACTTCTATAAAATACAAGTAGGAACCTATTACTTCTAGAATAATCAGACCTCCAAAAGGATTACAGGCATAATGCCTCTCAAAATTCTAGTGCTGGCACACTGGCTCCCAAGCACATGGTGTATTCGGAGCCAAACTGATCCAAAGCAGTTGTTTTGAGAATAAATGTATCAGGCACCAGAAAATGACAGGCAGTAGTAACTGCTTGCCAATGGCTAGACATACTCCTGAAAACAAAAGATGTGTGCCTTTAGGAAAAAAAAAAATTTAAAACAAAAGCATTCGGTATTTAACTGAAAACAACCTAGACTGGAAGACACAAAGGTTGTAATTTTAAGACAGAATTGTAAGATTTATTCTGAATTCTAAGATTTTTGGTTCTTACTGAGTGCTTTGTAACCTGGGCAAGATGTCTAACATCTGTTATTATCATTTTACTTCTGTGAAAACAACATATAAATACGTAAAGGTATATGTAGTAAAATACTCTGAAAATTCAAAATGCCATAAATAGATTTTATTTTATGACTGTCACTTTTGTGGAAATGCCATAAACGATGATGAGTCAAAGGGTGGATGAGTGGATAGTCAATTTGAAGTCTATGCTGCTAATGACTTACTCCAATAAGCAAAGAGCATTTTCAAATACTCTGATACAAGCAGACAGACAGAAAACTTCAAATTTATGCTTGCGAATTTGGTACATCTGCAAAATACCAAAATAGTCATCCCACTAAAACCTCCCATGCTTACTATTTCTACAGGTCTAATCTGGAGTAAAACCACAATAGTGACAAATATGAATACGTGAAAGCCATCTATCATTAAACACAGACCAGATTAGAAATTGTATGGACTGGTTTTAAACACATCTTTCTAAAATTGATACTCCTCTTGTCAAAAACATATATGTGAGCATTAGGGTTATGTTTTAGCTTAATGAATAAAAAAAATTTCCCTTCTACAGCTGTGTTGAAGTAAAGTAATGAGGCAGCAGCTCAATATGTACATCCATAAATACATATATGTGCACACATACCAAGCAAAAATGTCCTTCATATTTATCTTTCCTCTTTAATCTTCCTATCATTACACTGAAAAGCTGCAGTCTGCCGCCTCAAATAGACTTTGATTCATCATCTTCCCGAAGGTGTAAATCAGAGATCTTGCCTCATGCTATAGTGTATGTCCTTGAAAATTCAGTTTCAAGAATCCAAATCAGCTGGTGTTATGCAGTAGAGTAAGCTTGTCTAAAGGTGACTAATTCAGACCACCTTCAACATAGAAATATCTGCTGACTATATTAAAATTGAACATGGAAACCTGGCTACTAGGATTTTGCTGAAACTCACAATCTGGTGATCATAAATGAAGACACTCAGCTCACTGGAGGTGTACCTAGCAGCCCGTCAACAGTTCTTTGCTTATTACCAGTTAAAGTGCTCTTAACTCTTTTATGTCCAATGACTGCAATTTGTGGCAAAGTATATGTTCATGGAGTATGATTTTTTTACAGCATAATCTAGAGTATAAGCAATAAACAAGGCCGTAAGTCAAGCCAATGAAAAGGAGATCAACAATATTAAAACGAGGATGTAACTCAGAAGGAAAAATCATTACGTGGATTTCATAACTGAGCTCTGCCATGGGGTATAGATTTGGTAGCCCATCTCCCCTTCTCCTGCACACAAGGAAGAAAAAAATCCCGGTAGTTAGAAGTAATAACATTTCATGTGGTGAGTGATTCATTTGAGGGCTCTAAATTCTCTTGATCTTTGCTTCTGAAGCTTGAGGGTTGAAACCCAAGAGCAGGTGGAATCTATAAAGACTGCTGATTGCCATTCCTTACAGCATTTGGTAAAATAGGCTATTTTTAAAATTCAGCAAGATGGGCGGTGATTCTTCCTGAAACAAGTTTGAACAGGAGAATTCACCATTAACCTTTTCCTTGCTGCTGTAAAAGGGCCATCTCTATTCCATTTCCCCGGGTAAGCCCCACATGCGTTTCTTACCCAGGACTGTGATGGTGGTGTAACTTTCCTGTGGGGGATCGGTATAGAGCTGGCAAAAGTATCTTCCTTCATCAGAAATTGAGACGTTTGTCAATGATACTTTGAGTTCACTGCTAGAAAAATTCAGCAACTGAAACCTGCTGTCCTTCAAAGCTGTGAAACAAAACAGAGAGTTAGTGATTGTGAGAAGGTGGACGGACAGTCTATTTTCCTTAATTATTTATTACATCTTGCTGTATCTGATACTTCTTGACTTACTATTTTGGGTGTTTGCAGTAACTTCATGTAGACAAATAACCTTGTCCAAAGGAAACTTACACATATCAGTGTATGTGTGAGTGTGTGTGTATGTGTGCGTGTGCATATATATATATATGCACACATATATATATATGCACACACACCCAGCTACGCACCCTTCTAACTTGGCACAATTCCAAATGCTGTCAGTTTTCAGCACTTACTCATACATGTTTTCAGGTTTTATACTAGAGATAGACAAAAAGAAAACAAAGGGAAAAAGCAGGTCATGAGTCCCCTGAAGCAGGGAGTGCCAGGGCCCCCTAGCCTTTGGGCACTGGAAGTTCAGGGACTAGGGCCTACAGCCTTTTAAAATGCCTCAAAAATTGTAAGTAAGGCCTTCAAAAAACAAGGGTTTCAAATTATGAAACAGAACTAAAAAAGCCTTCATATTAATTACAAAAGCAACATGAAAAATTATTTTAAAAACTTATAATCTAATAGCAAAATAAACCTAATCAACTTGGATGCACCTTAACATATTTGACGTGATTTGAGGTGGAGCTGCCAAAAGTGGATGACCTCGAGCCTACGGAGGCCTTAAACTGGTCCTGTGGTTTCCTAAGTACATTTGGCTTCACAGTATGAAACTGATTAAGCATTAAGCAGGAAATCAAAATCACTGCAAAACTGATACATGTGGGCCTCTTATTTAGTTCAAATGTTCTCTTTCAAAATCCTTTCTTAATTTTGGCAAAGACTAACTTAGTATATGACAAAAATTAACTTTAAGAAAAGAAGCTGGCTTATTTCCTTTTATCTTTCCTCAACCTTTTAAATGTTCCTTAGGTTTATCAACGTTTTCCACAGGTCATGAATGACCCTGAGGTATTGGGGAGGAAGGGGACAAGCAGCTGGGAAGAGACATGCTTCGCTTTGGTTAGGCACCGATGCTCTCCAATAACAGTTTTTGGTTTTTTTTTTTTTCAAAAGATTTGATTCTTGCTCTTACTAAGCCCTGACACTGATATGAACCATTTCTATTCTATACAAGTCCATTGCAATTTTGTTTTTTGTGATATTACATTTGGAAAGATTTCAGCATGTGGACACTTCTATATGCCAAAGGCTATGATGAGAGAAGACTTGGTTTTATGCTTATAGGCATTTATTGCCTTGGAAACTTCAATCTTCAAACCAAAGGGATTACCTTTCAGAATGCTGTATTTTCCTTGCCTTACCCTGTTGAGTTGTTTGTGTCAGCTAAGTATTTGGGACTCGATTGCAATTCACCTTGAATTACTACAATCAATTTCTATTGCAAAGTAAGACTGCCTTACTTTTAAAAGGGGCCATTCAAGGTTTCTATTAAGTAGAAAGATTATGATTGCCTGTCTCTTCTTCCCTCTAAAGAACTGACTAAACTTTAAGCATCTAACATTAAATTTAAAAAAGGTGGCCTTAGCAATCTCTTTATCAAGACAACATGTAGGTAAAAAAGTTGCCATCTACAACTATAGAGATGGAAACTTACGCCTGAAGTCCCTGAAATAAATGGTCTGCCTGTTGGGATTCAGTAGCTGAATCACAGAGTCGTCACTCTTATTGACTTGGCAACTGATGGTCGCAACCTCTCCCTCGATCACTGTCACGTCTTTCGTAAACAGATTCTGCCCATCACCTTAAAAAAAGGGAAGAAAAGGTCAGAGGAAAATTTCCATCAATTAAAATGTGATCAGTGGGATCTATTAAAGTGGGAACTAGGCATATTAGAAAATGAACACAAGTAGCAACATTTAGCATGGCTCTAATACCTTTCTTTGTAGTCTACAAAACGAGTCTGTTAATCGAAGACAGATCAAGGGACAAAATACAACTAAGCCTGGAATCATCATACTCTCAAAAGCTGTGGTACAAAAGGTTTCAGCCTCTAGTACTTTGTACTAGTTGAGTAGTATATTGAGGAGGTATTGGAAAGGTCAGAGTACCAGCTTTTGTGAATGCTGAATCTCTCACAAATGGAGTAGGGAAGATAGACACAGCCAACTTTAGCTTACCTGCCCTTGAGCTAAGCTATTTGGTCAGCCTCACAGAAACTCAAGGAGCCACTTAATAGAAGTAGGTAGGAGGGTTCAATAAATAATCTCGTCTTGTTAGTTGATGTTGACAGTCCCAATGTATAGGCAGTTCATCGTGTGTGAGTGAGTGACTCTTTGGGATCTCGATGAAATCCTGGGAAGGCTTAGGGTTCGGAGTTTGTTACTCTGCTCTCCGAAACTCACACCTTCATGATTCACCCAAAGCCCCAGGCATCTCTGAACTGACACCCCTATCTGCAAATCACCCCCCACCCCCTGCCAGCCATTTAGAAAATCTCCCTCAGAACATGTCAAAAAGTCGAGGCTTTCAGATTCACTGATATATAAGGATTATCTTCAGATCTGCCCTAGTTTGTTGCTTCTAAGATTAGTGACGGCAGCCTGGGCCACCTCATAAATGTCCTAAATGATCCACCGTACAGGTAGGAGGAGAAGTGAGTTCAACTCAGAACCAAAGGATGAAGTAATTCTCCAGTGTTCAATGTCACACCTGGCATAGTAGGGGATACAGAAGTATATGTTGTCCTAGCCTTTAAGAAGCTGCCACGTGGGTGAAAACCGATACCTTATCCCTACTTACAGAACAAAAAGTGTGGTATAGGCAGTAGATGTAATGGTCAATTGGGAAGGGGAGAGAGAGAGACTGCTTTTTAGCTGTGTGATCTCTGGAAAATTAATTAAAGTCCCTGAGCCAGTTTCCCATCTGAAGAATGGGGATAGTAATTAAAAGCTATCTCACAGGGCTGATGGGGGGATGAAAAAGGATAATAAATATAAAGCATTTAGCACTGTGTCTAGTTTCTCATAAAAGTGAATAAATGGCAGCTGCTGCTATCATCATCATCGTCATCATTTCTCTAGACATCAAATACAAAGATTTATTAAGCCATTATGCATTGGGAGTAGTGTGGATCCAAGAATAAGGCTCCTGCTCTCAAGGACCTCCCTATGCAGCTGTTTTACACCAACTCGGGGCAGATTATTTGCTCCTTAAAAAAATGTTCCCACATAAAGAAACAAAGGTCAAAGATAAATACTCATCTAAAGAAAATTTGAGACAGTATAAATAGAGATGCAATTAGAATAAATGGAAGGTTTCTACCTGCTATCATATTTCTGTTGAAGGATCCTTTTTTTTTTTTTTTCCTTTGCTAGGACACACTGGGAAAGTGTGAGAGGGGTGGCTAAGATGGCTCTAAGCCAAATCCACCTAGAAATAGACCAGCCCCTGGCAGAGGATTAGAAAAGAGGAAACTAAAAGGATAAGGAAAAAAAATTATTAGAGCCACAGATAGACAAAAATTTCTGATGCTTGAGGAGCAGACCAAAATGAAACCCAACCTCGAGCTCTAGGATCCAGGGAATTAACCCAGGTGTGAGAATGCAGGCCCACCGGGCTTGCAGTGAGAGGGTAAATTCCCGAAAGCTTGATCCAGCAGTGGAGGCTTAGTATGCCGAACAGTGTTACAGAATAACAACAAAGAGAAAAGGTGATCAGAAAAAAAAAAAAAAAAAAATGAACAGATGCTTATTTTTTCCTTAGTGCATTACTGTGACAAACACAGAATTCAGAACCCAGCTGGAGAAAGTTTATTCCCAGATTGGAGAAAAGAAAAAGGAGAAGAAAATTTCTACCAATCAAGTGAGGTTTTCAAGGTGGTTTTGCTGGCCCTGGCAAAAGTGTGTACAGAAAAGCTACCACTCTCACAGCCTCAGGTAATGCGCGATCTACTAAGAAAATTAAGAAAAAATTTAATTGTGTGATTCAAGGGCTATAACTGTCTTAAGGCATAGGACTTGCTTTGAGTAGACAAGAATACCAAACACGGTCTTACTGGGTTATGGGAGGGATTTCTTCTATCAAAGGAAGTATATTAGCAACATAAATAATCTTCAGTTTACAAAAGGTACATGTGGAAAGGCCTGGTGACGGGCATTAATCCTTTCAACATAAACCAAGGCCTTACAAATCCTGACTACTATCTTGCAGCCACTGGGACTTAAAGCCAGTTGCAATTCAATTATGCTTTAACAGAATAGTTCCTGTGGAAATAACTGTATGCTTTAATTTTAGCTCTTTATTGAAATCCTAAGGCTAGCATATTCTGAGAGTAGAATACTCCACTCATATTAAGGCTACAGAACATGTATATAGGGGATGGGAAAAGAGGCATGTTGTCCATGATTTTGTCTTTTAAGCAATGACAACAATAAAACAGAGTGAGGTTTTGTTTGTTTTCTAGAAACATTCTTAATCACTTATAATTGAGTACTATAAGGCCAGACTATTTTAATGTGTCACTACTGAGTGAATCATTCAGGTAAAATTTTTCCATCTGCAAATGTTTGCCCTTGCTGTGCTCTGGCACATAATGCGCTCTGCAAACCCATGGTGGTATCATCATCATGACTGTATTATTTTCTAAAATTGCTAAGGCTAACCTAAAATCCAGTGTCTCAGAAAATGCCAATTCCTAGCTATGTTAACATGGTTATAATACTAATGCTAAAAAATTATAAGTGATCATGAAATATTTTGCTGAAAGATATCAAAGGGCCTTGTCTGATGGTGGTGGCCCAAGGATGTCATTCTGTAAATATCACCAATAAATTATATGGGTCAGCTGGACGGCAGTTATGTTACACAGAGCTCCACACTTTAAGGCACCATAAGATGGCTGCAAAGGAATAATAATGACCTATTTATTTGAGGCAAAGGAAGTGAATGACAGTGATGAAAATACGGTATGTATGTCAGTACTCTTAACTGCCTGAAGCCTTTATGTAAAAATAATTTCTGCTCACATCCTCAAATATTTCTTCCAAACAGAAGAGTGCACTGTGACTTGATAAATTTCCCCTTGAAATAGATATCATGACAATTAGGTAGCTACAAAACACAATTTGATGTGTAGCAGAAGGGTACAAACAGGCAACTTTGGTGCCTTTCTTCAAGAATCCATTTTTAAAACCTTTCTGATTTTCTAAAACTCAATTAGCAGATATAATGTCAAGGCAGAAACAGGACATGTTCTGGGCAAAAGAAATCAAATAGGTACAACATACTGTAGCCATTAAATAAGGCTGTTAACAGGAAGGTGATTTATTTTAAGGGTGGAACAATATCTGGCATTTATAGACTAATCGGTGTATATGGGTGAGGTTTAGAAGACAGAATCCAACTGGATTTTTATTTGTATCAGCAACTATATTCCCTATAACTCCCCGATTTGCCAGACGATTCCTAAAAATAAAACTATGGCACTGGAGAGTCCCATTCGCTTACAATCAAGCTTCCTGTAGTAAACTAGAAGTTGTTAGGGCACTCATCACAATGAAGAGAAAGCTTATTGTCTAAAGAAAGATAAAATATATTTTTATGATTAGTAATGACCATGATAGCAGAGTTGTTGGGGTGGGGGTGCAGCGGGCACATAAATCCCCTACTAATTCAATCTTCAATTAACATAGTTTACAAATGCTTTCCTAAAACCTCATTTTGTTATAAACTCCATTTCAGTGACATTACATAAAACACTTGCCTGGATTGGAATCTATTCAGTCAACAATATGGCCACCGTAGGGAGGTGACAAGGCAAATCTTAAATGAGACATGAGGAAGGGAACAAATGTTTATCCAGGGCTGGGCACTGTGCAGGATGCTTTACATACTTTTCTCTCTCAAACTCCTGGAGTTTTCAGTATCCCCGCTTTAGAGATGAAAAACCTGAGACAGAGCGATTTAAATAAACTGCCTGATGTCATTCAGCTAAGTGGCCAAGCTGATGCTTGAACCCGGTTCTATCAGATTCTCCGGCCCACACAGCTTGCACTCTTTACCAGCCAGCATCAGGCTTTGATGCCAAGGTTCATACTGGCTCTGCCTTGGAAAATGTACTTGTTTTTAAAGAGGGTTGTTTGCCTATGAGCAACTTCTGATTTTTTTTATTTCCATATTTTATCCAGAACACAATTACACACTTTAAGATGAGAGAGAAACTGTCCTGAATGTAAAAGACCTTGTTTACTACTGCTTCCTTCTTTCAGTGCTCGGCACTCTGCCCCTAGAGAAAGCCTTTATTACCAGTGCATGGCGGCCTTTTGCCAGCACCACAAGCTCTCGCCCCCGCTGCCTGGCTGTTCATCAATAAAGCACTTCATTTACACCGGGGGAGTCTCTCTAGTCAAGACTATAATAAAAGGGCAAGTCATAGTTAAAACAGAATTGAGTTTATACTATGGCAACTACGTAAACTGTTACTGACATAGAGAAGGAGCACCAGCGACTCTTCACAGGGAAGACAGTTTGCCCAGAGAAAGGGCAAATACAGTCCCTTGTAGCAAAATCATATTAGGAAAACTAATCATATTAGGAAAACCTTCTGCTCTATGGAAGACTGAACCTAACATTAAATCAGCACATATTGTCTAAATAGGAGTCAAACCAAAACTATTGATTGTTAAAAAAAAAACATTCTGCTAATCAATATAGTAAGTTACTACTTTAAAAACTCTACTATAGTTCTTGAAATTTTACACAAATGAAAGGCTCAGGGTTATTCATTCCTACCCTCCTAGGTTGGAAATTTTCAAAGAAGCATGTTTTGGAAAACTTATTTTCTTTAGATGTGTGAGCCTTCGCTGACTTGAAGCTTCAAATGACTTGTCAATTATGCTCATTTCTGTTGGATACTATTTTTACAACCCTGTTCAGGGTGGGCCCAACTTGGAAGAAGAACCTCTAATCCCTACCCGAAATAAAACCATCACTAGTAGAGGCACTGCAATTCCTGCTAACGTTTCTGAGAGCTAGTACAGAGTTGAGTACGTTCAGGAAAAGAATGAAAAAAATTAAGATTCTGCTGAAACCCAGAGGGAAAAATCTTTCTAACTACGTATGTTCCCCCAAGTCAACGTAAACACAGTGTTCACTACAAATCATTAACAAAGCCATTAAGATTTGATTTCTATCTAAGCAATTATTGTCAGCATATTTTGTACATTTCCTTTAAAAGACTCAATCCTATCTTTCAATTCATTAAACTGTTCCCTGCATTTACAGAGTTTTATATCAAATCAGAAACCTATTTGAATTAATAAGAATTACAGTAAAAGTAATTTGAAAATAAATTATTCGAAGTTCAAGCCACGAAAGCGTTTGATGAAAGAATTTAGTTCTATTTAAATATTACAGTAACATTTTTAGGCATCCAATGTGCAGACAAGAGACAGTGAGAACCAGGGTCCAAAGAGAGGGGCCCATCAACTGTAGATTTAAGGTTAAGGGTGTGACCTCTTCAAGACAAATGCAATTCTTTATTTCTGAGACAGGCAAATATCAACCTGCATGAATACTTTAGTATTTATCTAAAATCAAAAGCAATCAATCTGTCTGCTGTTTACAAAGCCCCTCTTAACCTTTTTGATCCTCTCCATGTCTTGTTACACCAAACAGTTAAGTCAAATATGTTGATTGTCTGCTCCAAAGACTGTCTACTTAATGGTGAAAATAATTATGAATGCCAACCATACAGTTCACAGGCTTAGAGATAAAATAAACTAAACCAACTCAACAAATAATGGAGTGAACAAGAATATGTGACATTGACCCAAACACTTCATCTGTATCACCTTGTTTTTTATAGAACCCTATGGAATCCAGAATCAATAGAACTGAGTAGAAAGAAATTTGGAGATCAACTCTCTCACTTTAGGCCCAGGGAGCAGATAGGCCTGAAATCATATGACAAGCATGAGGCCCAGCCACGAGTAGATGCCAGACCCCCTGACCAAGTCATCAAGATATTTCTATTCTTGGCTCTTTCTAGATAACACCTTTGATTCATTGCTAATTACAAAAGCAATATGTGCTCAAAGGCTTTTGTTGTTGTTGTTTTGACAGTTTTATTTTATGTAGCATTTATAACACTGTATCCTATGGCATGGAGATGGTCAGGATCTCAAAAGAATCTTCTGCTATATAATTACTGTTGTGTCACTTGAGCTTATAAAAGGAAAAATATTTTATTTAATTTAACATTTTATAATCAGTAACAGGTGAGGCAAATTTTTGAATGGCAAGTTTAAGAGTAATCCTCCTCTGTGCTGGATTTTTCTTCAATTAAAATTGTTGATTTCCCCTGAATACACAACAAAAAATATCATCTGACACAACATTAAGCTATTCATGAATATTCTGTATACACGTTCTTGTTTAGCTGACTAATGGCAAATTAACGTTCTCTATTTTCGCTTAAACACATACTATAGGTATGTTTGATTAGCATTGAATTCCAAAAGCTGATTACTATGCATGGTTTGATTATGTAATTACATAATAGAGTATAATGGCTCCTTTGGAGTCATTATGATCTATATGGCAAATATGTTTCAGTTTTGCTATAGTTTAAATACACGTTGAAATGACAGCTCATAACAAGGTTCCACTTTTCAGTCTTATTGGGCATTTTCCCATTCATCCTAACATCTCCTTGACACCAATTAAGGTCTATTGTGTCAAGCTGCATACACTTTTGAGAAATTCCTTTTGTTTTCTTGGCATTCAAAGGAGGACATTAATTTTAAAAGCAGTATTAAGCAAAAGGCCTGGTTTAAAAAAAAGGCTGAAATTCCATCCTTCATCCACCCTTTGAAAGGTCTGCAGGGAATCACATCTAGTTCATTAATCATTGTTCAGACAACCACAAGGGGGTTAAAGATGGAATTTCACCTTTAAGTCCAAAATGCACATGAAGGGAGAATAGCCAAGAATACTGATGCTTAGGGTGGTGGCTCACCACAATGCATTCCACTCAGGGTCTAACTCAACAGCAACCACAGCAAATAACATGAAGACCCATTTTCTCAAACCTCATGTCTTCTAGTGTCCCTTATATTCTGAAATTCCTTTGGGGAGAGGCAGCTCTGAAATAGCACAGCAAGGTTTCTCCTTCAGAGTCCCCAGACTGGGTTTTCCACAGCTATAAGGCCAACAAAACTTACCTAGTGAATAGATTTTTGACAATTCCGCCCTCAACTTACACACTGGAAAGTAGTCAGGTTTTAAAACACTTACTGGAAAGAATTATGTAAATTAGGAAAAAAGTTATTGGAAAGAATTATGTAAAGTTTCTTTTGTCCCCATGAAATTCTTTAACATCAGCTGCAAGAAGAGTTATTTCTGCTTTTCTCTCCCAAGAGAATGATCTCCTACACCATGCCAAACCAAAGGTGACCAGAGTCTTGACTTCAAAGACTAATATGCATCAAACCATTTCTACCTTTGTGTGTATTGGTTTTTGACATTAAGGCTGAAGAACGGAGGTCAAGCACAGTCCAACTTCTATTTACATACAGGATGGGTATCTCTTGTGAAAGAAAACACTGATTAGATGGGTGAAAACTCTTTTCAAGGAAGACTGTGACAAAAGAAAATAGTTATAGCATCCCTGCCTGTACTATTACAATTTCAACCATCACATTAGCTGCCTTCCCTTTAAAAGACTGAGCTCAATATGACTTTTTAATCAGGGCCCACATCACTAAAAGTGCCAAACAATTACGACGCTGAAGGTCTGAGCTATCTGATCCCATAAAAGGAAGAGGTGCAATTCTCTCTATAGAATGTTTATGCGGAGTGACACCCATCCACTAAACTTGAAGATCTGAATTAGCTTTTCCATTAAAATTCACTTATCAAAGAAGCTAATGGCAAAAAAAGAAACAGGAATATAAAAATAAACCATAAAAGATAATAATAATCATTGAATCCTTTTGCTTTGCACACTGGTAGGTGAAAACCTGAGACTTTTTTCTCTCACTTCTTTTCATAGCTGGATAGGTTGCATGGGCTTTTCGTTCATAAGCAAGATAGCATCTTTTTTAGAGAGAAGATAGGATAACCCTGAAGAAAAACTCTCTCTAGTGGACAGGTTTTATGAGAACTAAAAGAGAGAGAAAAAAATCGAGCCCCCAAAGTAGAAAAGCCACTATTTCATTTGTTTGTGAGATGGCATTGAAATCACCTTGTGGAAGAGTCATTTTAAGCCTGCTAAATCTGCTTAGAGGCCCTTGGGAGAAGGGGGGCTCTTAAAAAATATTAATTAAACAATAACTGCAGCCATCCAACAAACGTGGACTTTGGAGAAGAACAATCTGAAGGCAGAGGCTTCTTATGAAACTAATTGTGTTGGCAAAGCAAGCAGTTTCTTCTCAATGGATTTGATTCTGTGATGCTCGTTTATGGCAAAAAAAGAATAAAAGAATAGTTTTAGATTGAGCTGCTTTAGTAGCAATTCAAAGCTGGGTGGTATTCCAGCATTTCAAAACATATGAAGTTTCTTTTAGACAAAATGGAGTTGTGCTGAAGGCCAATTGTTGATCTTCTGTATCAACCACTTTGCTAATGAACTTATAATATGATATTATACTCTAGGAAACATTAAGTGACTGCTTTCTAGAGTGAAAACCGGTTACACAAAATTCCACTGTTGACAAGCATGGACTATTGAGAAGGAAACTCACATTCTTTTAAAAGGGATGAACTGTGTAAATAGCAGCTGATAGCTGATAAAGCACAAACCCTCACTTCATCCGGTGTTGTTGGTCACAGGCCCCAAAGTTAGTTGAAGTCTGGGATAATAGGAAGCGACTGATTTAATTCAATATAGAACTATCTACATTTCCCAAAACACAAGCTATTCACAACTAAAACAAAAGGTTTACTGGATTAAAACTCAAAACACATATTTGAAAACCACAAAGGAAGATACAAATATTAGGTTCTACTGTTCCTACAAAATCTAAGGGAACTTAGATTTCTCTTTTACCCCAGAAGAGATCTTAGTAGCCAAACTACTTATTATATATACTGCAGCAGCCTCTGGTGAGCTCTTACTCTGTAAAAAATATAACATTGGCTTTCCCTAACCAAATTAAGGAAAAATTTAGGATTTCAAAGCTATGGGGATGGGTGACCCTACTGTGGTCTCTTCTACTTTAATGGATACTTCTCAATCCCCCTGAGTCGTAAGTATATCAGAGATGTAGGCTGTTCACAATACTTGCCATTACTAGTTATTCTTTGAGACAGAGTCTCCCTCTGTTGCCCAGGCTGCAGTGCAGTAGTGCGATCTCGGCTCACTGCAAGCTCCGCCTCCCGGGTTCACACCATTCTCCTGCCTCAGCCTCCCAAGTAGCTGGGACTACAGGCGCCCGCCACCACCCTGGCTAATTTTTTGTATTTTTAGTAGAGATGAGGTTTCACTGTGTTAGCCAGGATGGTCTCGATCTCCTGACCTCGTGATCTGCCTGCCTCAGCCTCGCAAAGTGCTGGGATTACAAGCATGAGCCACTGTGCCCACCCTTACCAGTTATTCTTTATAAAATTATTTAAATTGAATTTCTTTACAACCTCATCCTCAAGTCTCAATGGAGATAACATATGTATTTCCCTTATTTTATATATCCTAATTTTAAGTACCCAATTTAATATGATTTTCTCTTTGTTAAGAGGTACTGTGATTAAACTTGGGTCACTTTTCACTTCAGCTCACTAAAAGCTGGGTTTTTCCCCCTTTACATTTGTCTCCAGGGTGTTAAAAGATTAACAACTAGTGTAAGATATTTAAAATCATAAGACTGTAACGGGTAACAATAATTACTACATAAAGAGAAGAAAAGGAAAGTGGCTGCTATTCTCCACATGTATAGAGGCAAGAAAAACAAATTATTTATTTTCCAAAGCACTTATTATTAATTTTTCTAATATTAAGAAAACTCTCACTGCTATCTGGAGGAGGATATTCTTTTAATCATCTGCATGATAACAATAGCTAATGTATTTTTAAAATGTTTTCTATGCAAGGCGCTATGCTTCTTTTTTTTCCCTTTCTTCACATTATCTAATTTAAACCTCACAACAATCTTATGTGGTTCAATATCCCATTATCATCTCCATTACACAGACAAGGAAGCTAAGATTTACATATACTGAATAAGTGGTTGGAACCAATATCTGAATCCAGGTCTGTTTAACTCTAGATTGGGTGCTATTAACAATTATACTATATTAATAAGGTAGCTGAAAGGACAATAAGCTTTACGATGCTAAAAGAATGAAGGAGAACTAATGAATGAATTTATAGTATCTCATTTTTATAACTCAGGAACAAAACTAAAGTAACATTCTCAGCATATCAAGGAATCTGAAGCCAAACAGCCAATCTATCAGCAACCAGCATGTTCCAATATGTGATACTGATAAAATTAGCTCTACAACAGGGTCTTTAGTATTTAGAGAGGAGATGTCTGTTCTGCCAAAGGACCCAAACTCGAAAGGCAGCTCAACTCCAACTTAACGGCATTTACAGTACCTGCCTCAAGGGCATTCATTAGTATTGACAGTCTACGTGGCTGAAATGTGGCTGTAATAGCAGTCTCTCTCTACACCTCCTCATTCATTTTTCCTGCCAACAAGAGTCATTGAAAACCTTCCAAATTTAAAGCTTAGAGCCGACAGGACAAGCAAGTAAGGATATCAGTTGGAACACATCAGATATGGACTCAGAGTGAATGTCAGTTTCAACTGACATTACTACAGAAACAGAAAATTGGGAAGTGGGAGGGGAGAGGTGTTTTATATTCTTATTCTAGAGTGTATTCTGTGAGTGTGTGTAATATGGTTTGTTCAAGAAACAGCTGTAAATCCATGATAATCATCATGCTGAATAATGCTGCAACATTCAGCTTATCCACATCTCCTACCAGGAAGCCAAGCAGCTTTGAACTATTATATGAAATGACAATTTCTTAGCTGGAAAACTGGGGTCCATGACTAAGGCCCTTATTGCTGAGTTATTCACTCTATCATCTGTCAATCATAAAGCAAGTGCTAGTGGTTTTTTGTTTGTTTATTAGTTTTTAAAACTGGTTTCCTCAGTTGCTGGTCCCAGCTCAACCTGGGAAGACGTATAATAGAGGTAGAAAGCTCTTTTAAGCCACAGTTTGATGAAGGAATTGCATGTGGAGAGAAGTCAGTGGACCAAAGAGATTCCAGATTCTACTCTTATGCCTGCTGACTCCCCAGTGCAAAGCCTATGTCAGACAATTATGCACAGTAACTACACAAACTGGTGCCATTATAACAATAACTTGATTAGTATCATCTAAGTGTGGGCTGCTGATTAATCATCACTGAAATTAGAGATAAGTGAGAAGAACATTACCTATGACTTATTTTTCACTAATAGGGGGCAGCTAAGAAGAAATGAGACCATCGCACTTGGAAAACAGGAATTTTTGTTGTAGTTCTGAGCTTACTGGTGGTGAAAACAGGAAAACCTCTGAAATTCTGAATGTTTCTATATTTTAAAATGGATAAATGTTATCTCTCCAAAAGGATTATTATGAGAATTGAGTGAAGTAATGCCTATGAAAGTATTTAAGCTCCAAAAATGCTAAATAGAGAACTATGACCTTCTCTTCCATATTCTTCATCAGCATCACCACCATCTATGCACTCTCTGTCTATTTTATTAGGACCTTCTTATGATCTTCCATAATCTGCTGAATTTTTTTTTATTTCAGAGGTTTAGCTATAATTGTTTTAATTCTAAGGCTAACTAAAAAGCAGAGAGCAAATTAAAATATCTTTATCAAACATTTATATTGAATTGCAAATTAAAAACCACAAGTATGAAACATATAAGGTAAATAGCAGATGAGGGCAGAGGACCAGACATTTGGAATTGCAATCTACAGCATTAAAAACATGACTTATCGTCTGGGTTTCCTCCCTTTCTGTATAAGCCCATAAGTAGTTCAGAGAGCAATCACCATATTCAAAGGGTGTGAAGGGTGCCTAGTGTTAGGCTGATAATGCAATGCACCCTTCTCCCTGTAAAACCTAAAAAAAAAAATCAATATTTCAGATGCCAAACATCTTGAGGGAATACGGTGTTTCACAAAAGTCAGCTTTCCATATAACTAAACCTCTCTTTAAACACTGAGACTAAGACAAAATGAAATAAATGACAAATTGCACAAAAGCTTGCTGTCTTCCAATTTTCTCTGTTCTATGCTTCTATACAGGGAGGACATCCATGAGTTACTGAAATATGCACGAATACTTGGCCTTCCTCTAAGCCGGGGGTGTCCAATCTTTTGGCTTCCCTGGGCCTCACTGGAAAAAGAATTGTCTTGGGTCACACATAAAATACACTAACACTGATGACCCCTGATAAGGTTAAACAAACAAACAAACAACACACACACACATCTCATAACGTTTTAAGAAAGTTTACAAATTTGTGTTAGGCTACATTCAAAGCTGTCCTGGGCTGTATATGGTCTGTGGGCTGCAGGTTGGACAAGCTGGCCCTAAACAGTCTTAGCCTGTTCGGCTTGCACGTGTCCTCTGCTGTTTCCCTCGAATGCTGGCTGTCACATCTCACAGATAATTCCTGCCTTTAGGACTAAGTGCATGAGCTTTGAGAAAGCTATCAGGTATTGAGACCTTTCCTGCTTTCTAATGAGTTCCTGGGTATGTCTAAGATGTTTGGGGTGTCTGGAAACCTAACCTTCACTAAGTGGTGTGCTCCTATGGCATCACGGGACATAATTTTCCCCTTTCATTTGACATCAAACAAAGAAAAGTTGCACAGACAAAATTTAATTGAATAATAATATTTTGTTTAGTTTGATAACTATACAATGACACTAATAGATATTCTTAGGTAAAAATATACCCTTGAATGTAGGAAGCAAATCAATATGTAATTGATGACTGACAGTAGTTACTGACATAATTTCTTAATTTATTGCTTAATCAAACCCACCTATTACTAATCTACTCATCACAGCGGAAAACTGACCATGGAGGAATTCCTACTTGTCCTGTAGGATTGAGCTCAAAGCCATCAGCTTTCTCCATGAAGAGAGCTCTGATGACTGCCCAGGTTTCTTGATGTCTAACTCACACAAATCGTTATGTGTCTCAGTCTCAGTACTCATTACATGGATAGCTCTGTGATTATTTGTTTATAGGGTTATTTCCTTCATTTGATTTTGATCTGGGTTCAATCCTAGCTCTGCCAGTTATTAGGCAGACCTTGGGAAAGTTAAACTCTCTTAAGCCTCAGGATTCTCACACATAATAATGGGTATGAAATACCTCCCTTGCTAGGTTATCTTGAGGTGCAAATGAGATAATCCACATATTTGTACAGCTTGAGTCTTGACACAAAACCTGTGTGCCAAAAATATATATTGTTATTTTAATTATCTTGAGCTCCTTGAGAGCAGTCACACTATCTTAATCATCTTTGTATCTCGAAAGCATAATACAGTATTGGCTAAGAGGGCGAATGTTAATAAATGTTTATTGAATAAAATTACTAAATGATAAGCTGTTTTAAGACTTCATGGGTGCTAGGCGCTCTCACTTTTTGAAGTAACTGGTCCATATAACATCAAGACTTATTAAGTATCATCCATATCTCACACTAAATATAATTTTGAATTAAAATTTTCAAAGGGTTTTTGCTTTCAAAATTATTTCCAATTGTATATTTTATTTTGAAGCCAATACTTTTCGATATCTCGGGGATTTTCACAAGACTCTTGGAAGGAAACAGGCCTTAGTATTGGACCTAGAGTGCTAATAGAGAAAACAGCCCTACTTTAAGAAGTTCCTAATGCGCAAGGGAGACAAACACACACACACACACACACACACACACACACACACACACACACAGAGACAACAAACGCATACTTGTAAGTCACAAGTTACTAATATGCTATGGGTACCATAGAAAAGGATGACCAGCTCAGTTGGGATAAGGGTGCAGCTTCTAGAGAGGGGGAAGAAGGAGAGGAAATCTGAAAGGAGGATCGTGGCATATTTGGAACAATATGAAAAATACAGTGTGCTCTGAATAGAGACAAGAAGGAACGTTTTCTGGAAAGGTCATTAGGTCCAGATATTGAATGACATTGCATGCCAGGCTAGGGAATTTGCACTGTATCTTGTAATCAATAGGGGGCCATTAAGTGATTTTAATCCAGGGAATGATTACACCTGTATTTTGAAAGATACCTTCTATGTAGAGAGGGATGGGAGGCTGAGGAGGAAAAGGGCTGGAGTCAGGAGGATCAGTTAAGAGACTGCCACAGAGTGCTCAGGAGCTGATAAGAGTCAGGGAAAAGAGTATAGAGAAGAGGAAGCAGAACTCAGGAGAAGGAAAAGAGAGTGAGCAGGAGTCGAGAATACTTCAGAGGTCAGGCGCACGGGCTTTGGCATCAGTGTTCCCCTTTTAAAGGAAGAAATGAGCGTTACTTGCCTCTATAAACGTCAGTTAAGGTCTAGCTGCCTTCTAAGGAAAGACCAGCAAAGAGCTAATTTCAGAAGTTAAAGGGCAAAGGACACATACATTCTGCAATATGACTCAAGAGGGTTTTCCGTAGCACCCAATTGTACCAAAAATATAATTAGGACACCTGTCCACCAGTCCCCTCAGAGCTTTGCTATGCAGTGTTGTTGACCAGCAGTCTTGACAATCCCTGGGAGATTACTAAAAATGCAGAATCTCAAACTCACACGAGACCTACTAAGTCAGAAAGTGCATTTTAACAAGAGACTCAGATAATTCCTACGCATATTAATTTGAGGAGCGCTGGCCTGGAGTATATTAATTCCAATCATTCTTTTATATCACAGTCATAAACACAAGACTAACAGCTAAACCAAAGGAGATCCTAGAAAGAGAAATATTCCTAGATAACTTGTTTTGAGGAAACTGGTGAATCTTGGTGTAATGGGATAAAGAAGATCATGAATCCTAGCCACCAAATTAGGCCAGTTTCCAGGAATAAACATGTTTAAAAACAAATTTTTAAAAATTCAAGGTTGCAGGAAGATAAATTGATGTGGCTCATGGATAAAATCAATAGGAAACTGAATGTATCATTCTTCCTTAAGTTGCAAACAACGAGCAATGCACAGATGAAAAATAACAACAACCAATGCACAAATGAAAAATCCTCTCCCAAAGCAGCTAGCTGACTGTAACCAATGCAAATAGATTATTCTGCACTTAATTGCAAAAATGACTACTTCTAGCCAGCGCTCTCACCCTTAGTGGGGTCTGTCAGTTCACAAGCGGTAGCACCCTAGCTGAATTTTTGCTTACTTGGTTTTATTGTTACTGTGTGTTTTGTGTTTGTGAGCATTAGGCCAGTGAAGACAAAAACAGCAAATAGAGAAATAAAGCAAGTGTTCCAAAATGAAAACTGAAAAGAGGCTGCAGAGGTTTGTTATAGAAGTGATGAAATTCAGCTATATGATTTGAAGGCAGGAAAAAAATAAAAGCTATCTTACCCATTACAACAGGCCTTTTCACTCTGGCTAGCAGATAAAAATTGCTGTAAAAATATAGGTAACAGCATAAACCAAAGTTTAAGAGAAATAACAAGAGTCTTAAGCTTGAGGCAGAAAGAATCAGGCTTGGAATGAGCCTCATAGAATGTCCAGGAGAAGAAAAAGTAAACACCAGTTTCATTTCACACAGCCTCTTAATGAATATCCATGGATCAGCCTGGACTGCTGGCCCTGTTCTCAGTCACTGGAGTCAGCGTGCCTTGTGCCATCCGGATATAGGCTAACAGCATCGTTAGCAGCTGCTCACAGGGGGAAGTAACACTTACCTTGAAACCAGAGAATTCACCTCAGAGTGAAAGGCTCAGTGTGGGGGAGGTTCTTTCCTATCACTCTGAAAATTTATATACCTAGGACTTCAATTTGTTTCAGTTTTCCAGTAAACTTTTTTTCTGGTTGGAGGTGGGCAGGGAGAGAGAGCCAGCAACAAAATGGCCATTGCCATGTTCTAGTTCCTATTGTTTGTGTTCCTTAACATATGGCAATTGCAATAGGTTCACACTTACTCCTTCCTCTAAAAAGTTTGTTCTTATATGAAAGCTGTTAGCTGTTCTTACCACTGGTATGTCCAGATGCCTTCATTGCAATGGGAGCAGATCTCTGAACAGTTTTCTGCTGGGTTACTAAGTGCAGTTTCAGAGAGAATAACATTCTGAATTTTGGTCTCTTAAAAAAGTCGTTAGGTTTATGGGCAGTCATGCTTGTCACATTTAGAGTGTGAATTACGTACTTCCTGGAAACCCAGTTAAGCCCTCACAATTGTGCACAGCCATAATTTCTGCAGAACAAGCACCAACAATTGAGGCACTTTATTACGACTACTTTTCATGTATAAGATGCCAAAATCAACACTTCCAACTTTATACGGTAGTTTTTCTTTTTAAAAAAGTTTTTTTTTAATAAAGAAAAAAATAATCTAATGGGCTACTTGCTGTTCTATTCACTTTTTAGATTTGCCAATTTTTGAGTGACTGCCAGCACCAGGGACTCTTTGTAGCACCTTATACTTGGGATATAATAAAATCATGAAATGATTAAAAATACTGTGAGTGTAACTGCAGAAGGAACTATATATTCTGGGCCCCAAGGAAGGCCATTTCTTTGCAGAATCAGACAGACTCCATTTATGTTATTAAATTGTAGCACTATTCACTGTCCAGACTGGAAGCTTCCTGACATGTCAAAAGCACTAAATATGTCCAAAGCACACATTAGAACCTTAACCTTTAGAATGCTGGTATTCTCTAGCACTGTAACCAGAGGAGCATAGGAGTTAGTGTATCCAGTTCTATGACATCTTTTAAATGTCAAAAATGTTTATCTGTCAGAAAATGTTTATTTTTATCACTAATTCACCAGTGAATGAAAAAAGTATGAAGAATGTAGGGCTTGTACACAGAGTAAATTATTAGTATAAATGACAGGACCAAGTAATATTAATAGTAATAAAAGCAGCAGTTAAATGCTGCTGCTTTGAACCTTAGCTCTATGCCAGGCCACCCTTTTAAGGGTGTTTGTTGGTTGTTTTGCATACATCTGCATTCTCAAACGTTGTCACATGCATCAGCATCACCTGGAGGGCCTGTCTGCTGGGCCCTTCCCAGGGTTTCAGATTCAGCAGGTGCGAGGTGGGGCCCAGGCGTTTGCATGCCTAGTAAGCTCACAGGTGATGCTGACACTGCTGATCCAGGGTCTATGCTCTGAGAATTGGCATACGTAATCTAATTGAATCCTTTACCAACCATCAAAGTATTTGCCTATTTTATAGATGAGGAAACTGAGGCTTACAGCAGGGCTCTTCCACAGACTAACCGGATAAACTTGGGAAGGTTACTTAACTTCTCAGGCCTCTGAGGGTGATCATTTCCATGAGGACTTTTCTCATGGCCAGATCGTGTCCTTTCCATGTAAACGACCCCCTGACTTTATCCGAATGTTAATCCATGTCCCTTTTTTTCTGCTGCCCATTACTAGTACCGTATCAGCTCAGATTTATGATCTGCCAGCTGTGTTGTGATTAGATGTCATCCCTGTCTTTCTATTACTCCGATATTGATAGATAAAATTCTGTGGTGATGCATCGCCTGCCCTTTCAAAGGTTACTGCCAGCAGATGCTAGGAATCAATACAGTTCTTATCTGTCACAAACCACAAGAAAAGCATGGCAAACAAGGCTCAATGAAAGGCCTGTGAACAGGTCAAAGAGGGAACTCCGAGATGCACTCTGCCACCAGCTCTGTTTCCCGACCTACTCCAGAACCCAGCTTTGTTGGATCTCAACTGTCTAAGATTTGGGCCCTATAGCTTAGAGCCAGGCCCAGAGTCCAAAACCATCTTTGGTGAACCTTGTCATGGACACTGGCAGCCAAAACCAAGAAGCTAAAACTCTACTTTTATTATAACGTGTTACCAAGATCAATAAGATATCTGAGTTCTTTGGAGCAAGTACTAAAGAAATCTAAGGTTTCCTTTTCTCCCTCCGTCTCTCAAATCTAAGGAGATGTAGCAGTTCACATATACTTTTCCTTTCCTCCAACCATCTTTCAAATAGGAAGAGTCCTACTTTAGGGGAAAATGAAGATAAGAAGCACAATCATTTTTATTTTTAGATGATTGTAGCTCAAAGCATAAAGAAAAACAAATGGTAGTCATAGGTGCCCTAGAAAGCTTTTAATTTTTTTAAAGAACATGAAAAAGAGAAAAATGTTAACTTTCCAACTTTTTTTTTTTAGATGGAGTCTTGCTCTGTCACCATGGCTGGAGTACAGTGGTATGATCTTGGCTTACTACAACCTCTGCTCCCCAGGTTCAAGCGATTCTCCTACCTCAGCCTCCCAAGTAGCTGGGACTATAGAAGCGTGCCACCACGCCCAGCTAATTTTTGTAGTTTTAGTGGAGACAGAGTTTCACAATGTTGGCCAGGCTGGTCTCGAACTCCTGGCCTCAAGTGATCTGCCCACCTCAGGCTCCCAAAGTGCTGGAATTACAGGCGTGCGCCACCGCACCCAGTCTTAACTTTTTTTTTTTTTTTTTTTTTTTTTTTTTTTTTGAGACAGAGTCTTGCTTGGTTGCCCAGGCTGGAGCACAGTGGTGCCATCTCGGCTCACCGCAACCTCTGCCTCCCAGGTTTAAGTGATCCTCTTGCCTCAGCCCCCCAAGTGGCTGGGATTACAGGCACACGCCACCACCCCCAGCTAATTTTTATAGATTTAGTAGAGATGGGTTTTCGCCATGTTGGCCAGGCTGGTCTCAAACTCCTGAGCTCAGGTGATCCACCCGCCTCGGCCTCCTGAAATGCCAGGATTACAGGTGGGAGCCACCATGTCCAGCCAACTTTTTGTTTTTTTTAAAGGAAAGAGGTGCTTAATCTACAGATGAAAGCAGAGCTACGGTCTCTACCTCTCTGTTAGGAGTCTACTTCCTTAACGTTCGGTATAGCCCAAGAGGAGCTAAAGAAGGAGCTTTCCTCCAAACACTGTCCAAGCAGAAATCCTGCCATCTAAAGATCTCATCCTGAACTCTTCAGCATCGTTTTCTCCCTCTGTAACTCCTGGCTCCATGCCCTTCCCACCTCATTTCACTTTAGCTCTAGCCTTCTCCTTTGCTCAGTCCTGTCTCCATCTCTGAGATAATGGCTCTTAACCCTCTCTGTTTTTGTTTTTTGTTTTTTTGACAGCGTCTCACTGGGTCACCCCAGCTGAAGTGCAGAGGTGCTATCATAGCTCACTGGAGCCTTGAACTCTCTGGGCTCAAGCAATCCTCCTGCCTCAGCCTCCTGAGTAGCTGGGACTATAGGCACATGCCACCATGCCTAATTTTTTTACTTTTAATTTTGTTTAGAGACGGGGTCTGTCTATGTTGCCCAGGCTGGTCTCAAACTCCTGGACTCAAGAAATCCTCCTAGCTTGGCTTCCCAAAGTGTTGGGATTACAGGCATGAGCCACCATGCCCGGCCACCCTTTTGTTTTAATGTGCTTAGATTGACCTCTCTGGATTAGTCCCAGGACAGTCTCTAATGATCCAATGTGCAGAGAGTAAGACAGGTAGAGCTCAACACTCTAAGAAATGGTTCCCTTCCGTGGTTTGTATCAGGTAATATGTCACATCATACATATTGGTTGTACGCTGGATGTAACAGAACTCTCAATGGTTGTATCATACTGTATCAGGTAATATGTGGCCAGTGGGCCTCTCTATCTTTGTGCCTGGTGGCCTGAATGGCCGAGGCCTGGCCAGTTTTCAGAATAATGAGGAGGTATAATTGCTAACAAGACATTAGGTCAAATGGCTACATGAGAATGACCGACACTGATTGATGAGGGGCTGTGCTTGTTTACTGAGTCATAATCAATTTTAAGAAAAAGATTCCTAAGTGCTTTTTTTAAATTTTTATTTATTTATTTTATTTATTTTTTTCAGACGGGGTCTCGCTCTGTTGCCCAGGCTGGAGTGCAGTGGCACGATCTTGGCTCACTGCAAGCTCCGCCTCCCAGGTTCACTCCATTCTCCTGCCTCAGCCTCCCGAGTAGCTGGGACTACAGGCGCCTGCCACCACCCCCGGCTAATTTTTTGTATTTTTTTAGTGGAGACGGGGTTTCACCGTGTTAGCCAGGATGGTCTTGATCTTCTGACCTCATGATCCGCCCGCCTCAGCCTCCCAAAGTGCTGGGATTACAGGTATGAGCCACCATGCCCATCCTACCTCCAGGTGCTCTTAATCAGACCTTTGGTAGGTACCTTTTTGGGAATTTGCAATGTAGAGTCTACCCACTTGTTACATAGGCCAAGTGCTTCTCAATGCCTGAGACTTACAAGCTGTAAGAGAGCCTACCATGAGGTAGGCTAAATGTCATGAGGGTACACCTATTATGGGCACAATGTTTCTTCCTATATAAAACCATCAAAGATGTTATTTAAAAACATATTGAGAAATGGTATACAAAAATAATGCTAACATGAAATTATTATTTAGCTACACAGGGAGACCTAGACTAGCTTTCCTGAGCTCTGATTCTCATTTCAATTAGAGCATCTGTTACTGAACCCATACATTAAGAGTCCCAGGACCTCTGTACCACTACTTCTTAGAATTAATGCCTCTCTCAAAAATTAACACAGGGCAATTTCATTCTAATTATAAAAATTATATAGTCATGGTAGAAAAAGTAAAACAAAGTAGTATAAACAAATCCCACAATCCCATAACTCTGAGATAAGGATTAATATTTTAGTGTATTCCTTTTTCATTTTCATATGTTGAAGGGGTGTATGTGTGCAATGTGCACATCTACATAAATTCTGTAATTTTAATTACTATCTTATGTGTCCGTCATATAGGAATACGAGAAGTCATTTCACTGTCTCCTTTTTGTTTTATATTTACATTGTTTCTAAGTTTCTTTTTCTGAAAATGTTACATTGAAAAGACTTTTGTAAAAATATTTGTTCTTGTTTCAGCCTATTTAGAAAACATCTTTTTAACATCAAAAATTTCATGCACTCCAATAAGATTTTTTTTTTTTTTTGACAGAGTCTCACTCTGTTGCCCAGGCTGGAGTGCAGTGGTTCAATCTCGGCTCACTGCAACCTCCACCTCCTGGGTTCAAGCAATTCTCCTGCCTCAGCCTCCTGAGTAGCTGGGATTACAGGCACGTGCCACCACACCTGACTAATTTTTTGTATTTTTAGTAGAGACGGGGTTTCACCATGTTAGCCAGGATGGTCTCGATCTCCTGACCTCGTCATCTGCCCACCTCGGCCTCCCAAAGTGCTGGGATTACAGGCGTGAGCCACCGAAGATATTTTTACGATTCAGTTTTTTTAAATCACAGCAGCATGTATATATTTTGTGTCACACTTTTTTTGTCTTTTTTTTTTTTTTCCTGCTAAGGAAAACTCAAAGTAACAAATGATTCCAACCCAAAGGGATTTGAGACCCCTTTACTCCTTATAAAAACTCTGTGTTACCAACTAGGATTTTATGGATACATATAAACAACTTATGCTATTCTTACTTTTAAAGCACTCACTTTCAAGGCATTTAGAATCTAAAAGGATGAAATCAACTTCAAAATGTAAGTCATAAGTATGTTCGTCCCATAGAAAACACTGAACACACTTTAAATGAAAGATTAAACAATAGGCTTACTTATATTACAAAGGCTGATCAGGGAGCCTTTTGTGGTCTCCCACGACTAGGTTAAGTGCCTCTCCTGTGTGTTTCCATAAGCACCTCACTTGTCCTGTTTCAGCACTTATTCAAACCTCTGCATGCCACCCTAGGCTGTGATACAGTTAAAAGCAAGCGATGAACAAATATCTCCTCTGAACCAGGCATTGCGTACCAAGCTCTGCAAAGCCGTAGTGGATGCTTATTTTCTTTGTTGGTACTGTGTCTGGCAACAAATACTTCTTGAGTGAACAAATGAATGAACAAATGAATCAATAAATGAATGAGTTGATAAATGAGGATTCATTTTAGGGTTTCTTCACCTAAGCTTTTCTATGCCCTTGATGGGTCTTTTTTTTTTTCTTTAAACATTTTATTTTGAAATACCTAAAGACTTACAGAAAAGTTGCAAAAATAATGCAAAAAGTTATCATAAAGCCTTCTTCATCCACCTTCTCCTAATGTTAACATCTTATTTAGCTGTGGTACAGTTACAAAAACTAAGAGATGAATGTTGGTACAACACTGCATGATTGTGACAGTTTGAAGAGTACCGGTCAGCTATTTTGTAGACTGTCCCTCAATCTGGGTTTGTTTCATGCTTTCTCATGATAACACCGAGGTTATGAATTTGGGGAAGAATGCCACGGAGGCGACGCGCCCCTTCATTGCATCATATCATGAGGTACATGACGTCAAAGTCTTACTATTGGTGACATTAACCTTGATCCATCGGTCAAGGTGATGTATGCCAGGTTTCTCCACTGAAAAATTATGACTTTTACCTTTCCAGAGTCTGTTCATTGGAATTGGAGTCACTGACATCCAGCTCATCCTCACAATGAGGGGAATTTATCCTCATCTCCTAAGAGGGAGCAGTATTAAAGAATTTGTAGATATATGTGTATGTTAAAACCACCAGAGGAATTAATAAATATTTGGGGGAAAATACTTGGAGGCTGTGAAACTATCATGTTTCTCCTTAAACTTTCACTTGTTAATTTTAGCATCCACTAGTGGATCTTGTCTGCAGAAATTACTTCAGTGTTCAAGTGGTAACATTTTTATTTCTTTCACTCCTTAAATTGAAATTCTTCTGTAAGGAAGACATTTGTCTTTCCTCCCATTTATTTATTCAGTAATTTAATTATATCAGTATGGACTCATGGATATTTATTTTGTTCTTTGGTTTATAATCCAATACTATTATTACTAATATTTTTGTTCAAATTCTTTCACCTTTGACCATTGCGAGTTCTTTCTGTTATATCCAGCATAACAGAATTAAGAATTAAGGAGAACTTAAAACTAAGTTATCAAGAACCACTGTAAACAGAAACAGGCAAACAATGAAAAGGGAAGAACAGAAAATGAGTTAATTGAACATTTTATGACAAGATTTTTAGGAAAAGATAGAGGAATAGTAGTACGTTGTTTCAAAATAAGAACAACGATAGCAAAAGAGCTGAGAATCTGCTATAGTACTATGTCTATATATATCTTTTCTGATTCCAGTGTGACAGTTTACATTCACAGAAGGCAGCTGGGTGGTGAGGTCCCTGTAATAAGAGGAGGAAGATGAGATCGAGAGTCAAATTCTAACAGACTCAGATGCTCCCTGCAGACTGCTGCCTCCACCCCGTATGTTTAAATACTACTCAATTAGGATCAACATTCATTTTTTATTAATGCTCTTCTGAGACAATGGCTCTTTTATCTGCATTTTATCTTCCAGCTACATTAAGACCAAGGACACTCTCACAGAAGATCTAAAGGAGGAGACCCTGATGAATTGGGAGTTTAAAATACAAACGGAACTTCCTTTGTCAGTCTTGACTTGTTTTATTAACATCTGAAGGTTGATTTATAACAGATTACCAAGCAGGAGAGAACTGTTTGTCCAATCACTTTACTTAACACACACAATTAGAAAAAACAAACATTCAAAAATGTTTCCTTTCTGTGGGCTAATGGATGGCACATTCAGTTCTAAAATAGTCACTTCCATCTCTGTCATCTATTGTAGCAACCAAGGACAGGTGTACCCTATCTCAAGACCACAGAAAAACATTCTCTGCAAAAATGAAGGTTTCAGAGACCTAGTTTTTCCATGAACACAACAAAAGCTCCTGTACAAGGATATTTGTGCTGATGATGAGAGCTCTGGTGGTGGAACCAGATGGAGCTAGACTCAAATCCTGTTTCAACTTGTATAAGCTTTGTGACCTTGAGTAAGTTATTTAACCTAAGCCTCCATTTTGTCATCTATAAAAATGGAAATATTAAGAACCATTGTAACTGATGCGAGGATGAAACGAGACAATGAACGTGCTGTTTGACATTATAAGGATTCAATAAACAGCAGCTATCATATGACAATCATGATGATTTCTCTTACTATCCTTCTTTCCACACCTACACAAGAGAACAAGCTGGAATCGGGTGGGAATGGGGAAGGAGAGTCTACTGCCTGACCCCATTTACTAAACAAGGGTGCCATGAAGGTAAGTGAACAACACCACAGTATTTCTCCATCTCTTTGGTGGGACACACGCACACACTCAAACCATTATATTAGGAATGAAAAGTCTGTTAGCATTAAGAAAAATATAAGGCATTCACTAGGCTATGTTTGCTCTCGAAATATTGTTTACTGGACTGCCTCCCACCTACCACATGCCCCTCCCCTTCTTGAATATACACACTTACATCAGGAAAACAGTTTTCTGCCTGCCTGTTTTTAAAACCAAGGAATCATAACATCTCCCTATTTTTAGGAATTCAATACCAATACTGAAATTTCCCCTTTTCTCATGAGGAAAGGAAAGAAGTGACTTTAACCTCTAAGAGAGAAGGAACCTGGGTGTTGTGTTCATGGTGGTTTCTCCAGTGCCTAGACCAGTATCTGGCCCTTAGTCTTCCTGGGCCTCTGGCTTCTGGTCTATAAGATACAGGCTATGCCAAATCTGGGAACCTTGGGCAGTGCATTCTTGCTGTTGTATTTCCTTTATATTCTAGCTTTTCATTACTCAGCTATTTAGCCCTGCCTCTATCCACACAGAAAACGCTTTTGGTATGTATTTCTCATATTTTTACGTGCTCCAGTGTTCATCCCTCATAAAATCATGGAAAAGTTTCCCTGTCTCCACCATTGAATACACCTACCTGTGTTGTAAACACAAACACTACTTCTACAATACAGGTTGTCTAATCTGTATTTGGGACCAGTAGTTCACTGGGTTAATCCAAAAGAATGACTTATGGTGGGAAATCATAAAAAGAGATACACACATGCCATAAACATTTTGACTTAAAATATATGGCTGTACATTCATTTAATCTTTTGGTGTAAAGTCCAGGTCTTTTCTCACCACCCCTCCCCTCTCAGGTCTTTTCTTTGAGGTGGTTTGTTAATCAATGAAATGGATAATTGGTAACCATGTAGCTCAATTAGGAGGACAGTAGTCCCCAGTGGTCATTCCTGGACCACAGCCTCACATCATGAGGAAGCTTGTTAGAAATGCAAACTCTTGGGTGTCCTTTCGGGTTGAATGCGTCAGAAACCGTAGAAGTGGGGCCCAACAATGTCTTAATAAGCCTTCCAGATGATTCTGAGGCCTCCTGAAGTTTGAGAACCACCGTGGTAAGAGATGAGTTACGAAGGTGTGCAAAGGCAGCCTTACCCGCCAGCATTCAGTGTGCTGTGGGCATCAGCCAGTAGGATTTCCAGAGGGGCTGGACTGCACCAGTTATTCCAGGGAGCTGCTTATTGTGCTCAAAACAAAGGTAATATTACTCAGCCATGTCTTAACATTAGGTGGCTTTGACAGATGTTACTCATAGCAGTGAAATGTAACATTTTGAAGCATAAACCAGCATTTACAATGCTCAATTGTTCTAGAATACTATAACTTTTTCAGCTAGGATCTCTGTGCAGCACTCCTGTGCTACTGCCTGGGGCCTGCTGGAGTGCCATGTCTGCATTATGACAGTGAGAGCCCCGTGGGAGTGCTGGGTTCACAGGCCATCAGCCACGCAGGACTGGGCCACAGAGGAGGTTCAGTACCTCTCCATGAAGCAAGATGTACACTGAGTGTTGTCTTCCACATTTACCAACTTAATGCTTGTTCTATGCCAGCCAACAAATAGCAATCTTTCTTCTACTACTTAATTTATAGCCACATGAGTATAAGCATTTCCTGGGTTCTTTTATCATTCATAACTTTGTTCTGTCAGTAATATCTGTCATTCCGTGCAGCTCAGTAAGCTCTTTCAAACCCAAGATATCTATATTTCTAAATGGAATCTGAGATGAATTTTGATAAACATGCATTCTGTATCTTAATAAAAAAGGGATTTTCCCCCTTAACTACCTGCATATATAAATGTTTAAAAAGTTTCTGAAACCTGCCTTTGCATTAGGTGAAAATTCAATGTCAATATTAAAAATACACAAAACTAGGAAATTGTTTTAACCGTGATGTGATAAATAATAAATCAGAATACAAGTTACTCTGCGATTATGGGTTTTCTCCATTCTTTAAGCTTCTTGCCTGTTGCACATGAGTAGATCGACAGCCCTTTAACAATTATGCACTGCAGCAATCTTGTTAGGGCTTGATAAAACACTGTTACTGTCTTTGTCCCTGCCATGCAAAGATGCTATAGTAAAAGCTATGATGTACCAAGCTGCCATGCACTGAGGTGATGTACCCAAACAAGAAAGTTCAAAGCAAAATTCCAGCGGGTTAAATGTCAGTTTGAGTGCTTGAGGGCAAATGTAGGAGGTACAACCCAAATATTACTTTCTTTGTAGGCAACGCTCCACAATTATAGCTCAGACAAACTTTCGATTTGTTTGGCTGGCTAGCACACCATGCACTCTTTTGGATGCTAATGTATTTCAGGTGCTGAGCCTTTTCCACAAGCCAAGAGCTTCATTTTTAGCAGCCGTATTCTCAGACGAGGCCAGCCAGTGTGCTATCTCCTTGAGGGATATTTACTTACATATTCAGTTCAAATTTACAGTGCCTGGCTTGCGAATGAAATGCCACTTAGGAAGAGAATGCCATACCATTGTGGGAGATAAATCAAACAACCACTTCTTATTTTAGCACACGCTGGAAATCACACATTTCTAAAGCAGTATGTAGGTTATCTGCACAACAGAAACATGGTCCACCCCTTTCAGTACATTTCCCTGGCTACTACACAAACTAACCTAAAATTGCTTTCTTTTTTTTTTTTTTTTTTTTCTAAAATTGCTTTCTTCGGCAAAAGTCTCTTTACTGAAGAAACCAATTAACCCCTTTGGTTCCTTTAAAAAATATGACGAATATAAGGCAACATGGCTGGGTGGACAGTTTAACCTCCGAGAAGGACACGTGCAAAAGAACTCAGATTCAGGAACAGCCCCCTTGGAGGTCAGAATGATATTTATGACACGGTCACCGGGCTGAATTCAAACCTCAAGGGAATGAAAGTGAGTAAATAGGGTTCGTCTTGTTAGCAAAAGGATTATTTACTTCTGAGAATATATCGTTAACACATCCCAGGCTCAGAGAAGCAGTGGTTTCACACAGCTGCTCGCTTCTGCTGATGATGGCACTGAATCATCTCCAGTAAGTCTTTACGAAGAATTGTTTTTCCAGTAGTGTTGATGGGTTTGCATTGAATCATTCACACCACTGGCCTTGTAGCCAACAGCCCACATATTTGTGACGCAGCTGGCTTGGGGTAAGAGAGTGCCCAGAATTATTAGCTATAGATAACTACTAACAATTCAGAGATATTCTGTGTCCTTAGAAGAACATTCTTGATTTTTTACACTTGAGCTTCTTCAGTTTGGCCACTGTACTAAAGTATTTGCAGACTTTGGGATATGCATTTCAGCCTGTGAGGTGGAAAGGTTGCTGGACAATGCTAGAGGCTTGTTTTCAGGTCATCCTTTTCAGGCAAGGAAAAAACCAATCCTCACCACCACAACCAAATCTCTATCTGCACTCTTCAGATTTCTCCTCATTAAGTCTTAAAGCTACCTATTTGTACTAGGAAAAGGGCCACAGAAGTTCTCAGGCTCTGTGCTCAATAAAAAAAGCCACAGGTCCTTGAAGCAGGGAAAGGACCCTACCCCAGCTCAGTGCTCTGGAAGCACTATTGAGGGTAACCAGAGCAGGGCCCAGCACTGCCTCCATTTATTGCCTGCAGATTTTCTTCTTTGCTTTCTTGATGAAACTGTCAATCTTCATAATGGTGTTAGCAATCACAGGGATGTGCTGCGAAGCGGCTTTAAAGGCATCTGATAAAGAGAAAACCTGTGCTCTCCCGTTCCTGAGCCCCTCTTTAGAGTCAGTTACCAGTGATAAGGTTGGGCATTCTGACTTGTACAGAGTACAAGGAATTTGACTTGGCAAGTCAAACTGCCACCACCTCAACAGAATGAGTGGGGCTGCAGAGCTGCCGTCTTTTCAGTTCGACACACAGGTGGAACTTGACATCACCATATTGCGCTCTTCTGGTTGGCTACGTGGCCCAGCAGGAGGTAAACATGCTTGGGTGTCACATAGGGACCAGTGGGCTTTTTGGATCCCATAGTTCGAAGTATTTCTCTCCTCGGCCATAGCTTCTAGACTGGACTCCCAGGAACAATGGTTTCTATAAATGAGTGTGGCCTGGTGCAACTTCAGCGCTCCAATCTAAGTGTACAATCCACATGCTGTCATTCAAGCAAATCCAGACTAACCCAGTGGCCCACACTTGCTCTTGTGAAAACACACATGGCAGGATAGAGGCCCCAAGGGGTCATCAGAGTTCCCCAACTCTCTAAATTCCCCCAAATCAACATCAGAGACAAGCTACCGACCTGAGAGAGTCTGCTGTTTCTTCCCAGAGCAATTCCACACCAGCAGCTTACCCAAGCCAAGTGGGCAAATTATCAAACTGCAGCACGCTTCGATGCCCTCTTTGTAGGCCCTCCATTTCCGTTATTCAGGACTCCTGAATTGCAAACCATTCAAGGACAAAATGAGGTTTATGCTCCCAATTAGTTATTCTTGAAAACTAGGAGCTGTACTACACATTAAAAAAGGAAAACTGCTCAGTACATACTCTGTGGGGGCCTCCAAACAGCAGGTGATTCCATACACCATACGTGATTCAACATTTAAAGGCACCAAGGGGAGTAGAGGACAGGGTTGGAGCTTCAACTCTGACTCCAAACCACAGAAGCCAGGAAATTCAGATCAGAATTGCAAAGTTATATGAGATTTCATATACCATAATACCCATCAAGTCATGTGACTTAAAGCATCTGTCACTAGCCTGATATGCTTTCCCTCTGCAAACTGAAAGAATCTTTAGCCATGCCTATTTGTATACATTTGAATTGGAGCACCAAGAAGGAAAGCTACGTCCCTCTGGATTTGATGAGGCTTTTAAGAACAACCTCTCTACTCCGGTGTCTTAGGAAGAAAGTTGACTGCACCAAAATAGGTCATTTGTCAAGCGGTTATTTACTGAATTTTTCCTGCTGGAAATTATGCCCTCTGCAAGGAAGGTTTAGGCGACGAAGAGGATTTGTGTAAAAGTGTGCAGGCGTCAACTCCCACTATTTCCTTCTCTTCAAATACATCCCAAAAGGGACATGCATTTAAGTAGCACAGCAGGCCAGTATGACCAAAATGACAGCGCTCTTTCCAATTTAGACTTCTAAAAGAGAATACGCAGACACACAATAACAAAAGCCTTTAGTCTAGATTTCATATCAGACACTTTGATGAATAGTAGCCTAAAGGGCAACATATTTATAAGTTTTAAGTCTCTCCTGCAACACAAACTGTCCTGATTTATCCCTATGATAAAGGCAGTTCTGAGAGCTACTTTACCATATTTATTATTTTACAGAGGGGGAAAAATGTTGATTCAGCCCTCAATCTGCTACTGTTGGAGTTATAAATGTTGGTAACAGACCATTGCTGATGTCTATAAATATCAATCTATTCCCCATAACTTCTGGGCACCCCCTCCCCTTTTCTTCCAGAACATTTCCTTCTTATTCTTGTTGCAACTACAGGATTTGCTTTATTGGTGAAAACCTTAAAAGGAAGGAAAGAGTGGCCTCTTTGAAGCCCATCACTGACTGGATAGCTGATGGCCCAGCAAAGCTCCAATTCAATGTTTATTAAAAAGAAAGCTTTACAGACAAATGTTGATACCTCTTCTGTTAAATGATAAATGGGCATTCTTATCTCCCTGTACATATTCCCAACTCTCACCCCCACTCCCAATAAAAACGTTGGTATGGAATAATATCTAAGGTTATTAAGCTCGTTTATTTAAAATATCCTTCTTACTTTGGCCCTTGAATTCAAGAGAACATTCCCACTTTCTCTAAAATCCAGTCCACTTGGTTTACAACATGGTTAATAAATCACTTTTGGGATCTACCTCAAGTCACTGCTTATTTCAGCTAACTGTGAACCACTGGGAGTTTATTCATTAGCAGTATGAAAAACATCTCAACACAACCACCAGATTGTGTTTGTGTACAGTGTCAAAGTGAACTGTTCATTAGCATTTGTAAGAAGCAATCAAGTCACCAAAGGGTATTAAGCCAACCTGGATGAGGGACAGAGGCTTAGGGACTGATGTGTTAATTCACTCTCCTGGATTAAACATCCGAGATAGGTCCTTAGTACAGCTTCATCTTTATCAGGCTAAGCATCAGGTTAGAAATGGATGCCCTCTCAGGAAGTAAAGGGTCAAGTTCATTCTTATAGCCACTGCCAAATACTTAAATTGAAGCTCTGTATATAGTTTATGTTGTTGTTGTTGTTTTGTTGTTGTTGTTGTTGTTTTTGAGACAGAGTGTCACTCTGTCGCCCAGGCTAGAGGGCAGTGGTGCCATCTCGGCTCACTGCAAGCTCTGCCTCCCGGGTTCATGCCACTCTCCTGCCTCAGCCTCCCGAGTAGCTGGGACTACAGGCGCCTACAACCACGCCCAGCTAATTTTTTGTATTTTTAGTAGAGACACGGTTTCACCGTGTTAGCCAGGATGGTCTCGATCTCCCGACCTTGTGATCCACCCGCCTCGGCCTCCCAAAGTGCTGGGATTACAGGCGTGAGCCACCGCGCCCAGCCTAGGATTTTGATCAGTACAGTCAACTAATACTCTATATTGCTATATAATATTTGTGCCCATTATAGATGAACACAGGTTACAATCTTTTCTATTCCAAGAAGCATTTATTGGAGGTAGAAATTCTCAAGAGAGACTTTATAATACAAAGAGACTAAGGATTTTCAGGGCAGTTTTCAGAAGTTTCACTGGTACTATTCTTGGCTAAATTTGAAAAATGCTTGGTATAAACACTACATGTGCTTGTTGGATAGGCAGCCAAAGATCCACTGAGATGTGGTATTCCATGTGGATATGCATCTTTAATTAGTCTCAATAGATTTTGTATGTATTCAACATTAATCTATACCACCTGTCCCAGACTAAAAGCATGAAAATGGTTCTTCCTAATCACTCTTACACAGAAAATTACTCTGTTCCTTCTTCCAATAAATTCTGCAATCTCTCTGGAAGGTCTTAAATGTTAGTTTAATATCACTTTTTCTGGTTCATTATAGATTTTTTTTTTTTTAGGAACTTGCAAAGACCATTGCTCTATAATTTTGTTAAAGGCAAAAGAAAGCAGTTCACAGATGCATTATTAAAATCCCGACCTCAGACACAAGCAAGAATCTCAGTTCTGTGTTTTAATTGTGGTCAATGCATTTCTCATTTCTATTAAGCCTCTTAGCCAAAGGATTATACTCAGTTGCAACATTTCTCCAAATTGTGCATTCAAGTTCAGAAATCAGTGAACACTCTACTCTTGATTTTTGAGCTAAGATGAACAGATTTTTTTTTTGCTTATTATCTAATAGTAATGAGTTCCACATTTATTCAGGTGTATATAAAAACTGTTTTCATATTTTAAAAGAAAAAAAACATTAGTTTAATCAGTTAGACCTAACTAGTATACAGCTAGATTATTATGAGTTTAACCTCAAACAAACAAACAAAAACAAACTTTTAACTCTCCAGCATTCCATGAGGCTTAGATTTTTAATAGGATCTAACATTAGCAATTTGAAGAGGACAAACTTCATGTTATTCACAAATAATTCCGTATTTTTCAGAAATATTGAGACTCAAAATAAGATTATTTCTACGATGAAACACTTGAGAAGAGACCTATTTCGATCTAGTTTTATTTCCTGTAAAGAAAGGGGAACATCACACTCTGGGGACTGTTGTGGGGTGGGGGGAGGGGGGAGGGATAGCATTGGGAGATACACCTAATGCTAGATGACGAGTTAGTGGGTGCAGCACACCAGCATGGCACATGTATACGTATGTAACTAACCTGCACAATGTGCACATGTACCCTAAAACTTAAAGTATAATAAAAAAATTTAAAAAAAAAGCAACGACGTGAAGTTTTTACCATGGAAAGGCAGACAGAGAGAACAACTTTAACTTCTGCTCATTGGTAGGCTGATCAGAGGCCGTCAATGTCAGGGCAGGTAGGGTCAATACCGGGTCAGAAAGATAAACCTACTACAACAGCAGACTTGTTTCCAAGAAAGCTACTTAGTCGTCACACATGAACACAGTAGATATCCTAACAAGATACTAAGAGCTATTTCTGACATGAAGACTAAGAATAAAACTGTTTTGATCTATTAAGTGACCTACTGTATGATGATAAACATTCCAAAATGTCTAAATGGCTAAAAATAAAACCTTGCTTGACCACAACCAAGAGGCCTAAGACATCATCACTGTCTAGATAAAGAATGTCTATACTACAGTGGTGGTTTATTTTTTTTCCATCATATTAAATTCAGAAACATCTCTTAAATGTTCCTCATTAACTGAACACATTATTCGATTCTGTGCTACCTTTCAAAATAGCTCTTTTAGCTAGAAATGAGAAACAAGAAGTCATACCAGATATCAGTTCGATAATTAAGTGAGTTCACCAATATTTCAGACAGAGGGAAATAAATGAAACCCACTGATCTTTGTTACTAGAAGTATCATGATTTTTATCACATATTTAACCAAAGAACTAGGTACCTTAAATGCCAGTTACAAAAATAAATTGTATTTGGTTCTTAATTAAGTCTTTATCATCGTGTTTAAAAAAAAAAATTTAGCCCTGGGGTTTAGATTGTCATTTTATACAAAAGCAAATGGTAAATGCCTTTCTACATGCGAAGCCATTAGATATAATTATGCAATGGGTAAAGTGTGTATCACACTATAAATGTCATTTGGTTTTACAGTTATAAACTCATCAACATTTATCAAAACATCGCCTGGAGAAAGAATGAGATGGCTATAGCTCATGATAAATTCAATGCCATCTTTGAAGATACATGACAAAGGAGTGTCACAGTAAACACACACTGACATTACATACTAGAGTGTTGGTCTTCATACCCATTAAATAGAAGTTGTGTTCTCTCCAGAAAAGTCCCCCAACCACAGTACATTTTGGTGGGTTTCAAGATCTATTTTCCTCCCTGAAAATCACACTTCCTACCCGATGCTTTTCAACATTGACATAAGGTGTGCATAATTCCAGCCAACTTCTGCAGGTAAAGGAGCATGTGAATTCATCTAGATAAGCTTTAGGGTTTGATTTCAATTGCTTATTCAACCACAAATCTTAGTGCTTCTTAGTTAGTAATCTCTTAATGGAGTTCTGTTCAAATGGAAACACAGAGACTATTCCTGCTAGGTTCCCTTTAGACAACAGGGGTTTGTTTCCTATTTCTTGCTCTGAATCACGGAATGGCACAGGTGCTTAAGCACGAGCACCAGGCTCTGCCCGCACACTGTGTTAACAGTTCTCCTTTCTGAGTGCCATTTCACTATCCCCATCAATCTGGTAGTTATCGCCCAGGGAGATTTGTCCCTTGAAAAACAAAATGGCTGGGCTTAAAAAAGTCTACTTCTTCCCTTGTCCGCATTTCAGTTTCATACAACTTGTTAATACAAAATCTTGACAATGGTCCAGGGTAATAATGCCATTGGCAATGTTTCTGTCAGAGCCACTCCTGGCCTTTGCAGCACGGTGCTTAAAAACTGGGGGAGACAAGACAACAGCAACAACGAAAACTGGGAGAAATAATCACTAGCTCTTGAACGTGTAGTAAAGAAGGTAGAACCACAGGACGAGATTTTGATTTTATATAGTCCTCATAGGATTAATAACTTCATTATATCTTTCTTTACAGGCTGGATGCTTTAGATATCTATAAATACCGGTATTTCTTGGGTGGGGTGGCAGCCCAGGACCCCGCAATGACATCAGAAGTTCAGATCTTGTGTCTTCCCCCAGATCTGTCCTGCTTTCACCATAAGCGCTCTCCTTTTGGCCCCATCTTGACTCCTGCCCTGGGTCCTCTACAAAGTCCCTTCCCACGAATTTGTCTCAAGGCCGTTTGCTGCCATGGTATTTTCAGTTGAGGTAACTGAGGTCTGCAATCAGGATTACATTTCAGCCACTCTAAATGGTCATGCCATTTTCTTAACCAGCTCAAGAGAAAAAATGAGCATGGAAAAACTTGGGAAAACCCACTCCTTTCAATTTCACAAAAATCCTTCCCCACATTGCGCCACTGCCCAGAATCAGGCCCACTAACAGCATGGCATGGCCCCTCCCCGTGGGAGCCACATACAGTCATTTCTCTATGCCTACCTCCTCTCGCTCACGTCCTCTCACCCATGTCCTCCTCTCGCCCACGTCTTTCTCACCCCTTGGCTGCCCAATCAATTCCAACTCATTTTTCAGATCTCAGTGCAGGTGCGATTTCCTTCAGGAGGCCTTACCTCACTCCAACCTCCCTAGACAGGCTCGCGACTCACAACATCCTGCCCTTCCCCATCTTAGGACACATAAACTCGTAACATGCTTTACAACGTGACCTTAGGAGATAGATGCTTTACTGTTTCCCATCTATGAAATAGAGAGAAAAATTTCTGTCAATTCCATTTGTATGGCATATAAGATTGAAGATAAAAGGTGTACACAGTTCTTTGGTAGCATAGGGACACATGAATTCAAGATATAATTGTTGGCTCTTTAATTCTACTCTTGTATTTTGCAAGTAACTTATTAAAGAACTAGTGAAGCATAACTAAAAATAAAGGTGTTTTTAAGAGATTTTAGAGGGGTTGGAGGGGAGGGAATAGAAATGTATCTTAGTTAAAGGTTCATTTTAACTTCTCTAAGAGGACCCAGTAAGCCTTAATAAGGAGAAAAATAAGAATGCGTTAGAGGATAATGGTGCGCTTGCTACTTAAGGTTCCACGTTTCCTGTTTTCCACTAACGGAGACATATTTTTTTCTTTAAATTCAAGCTGGTCCCATTAGCTGCAATTTTCAATTTACTAGTCTTTTCAAATAGCCACAGAACATCCAGGAAACACAAAAATGTGTCTATTCCATGACTAAGGTTAACAGAAGCTTAGTTATTACCATTACTTGTATTTAATTTCAAGCTTGCCAACTCATAGCTTCAGAAGGAGAAAAGGAGAAAACAGGTTATTTAAAATTGATGTGTTTTATCATTACCCATCATTAAAAAATGATGCTGTTGTACCATTTCAGAAGTAGCAGGCAGTGAATATTTAATGCTTATACTAGTATTTATTAATTTCGCATCTCTACAATTCTTCATAGAATGACTATTTTAAATGACTATGATTTACATTTTTCACAGATGCTCTGGCATTTAATTTCCACTTGCAATGCATTTGTATTTGTGCTTAAAAAGCTACCCAGTAACACCTATAAATCGAGGAACTGCTTAAAACAATAGGCACCATCAGGATTAGGAGGGGGAAAGTCACATGTGTGGGCATTTGTTAAAGAGACAGCATATGGGAGAAGGAAAAGAGGTAGCTGCAGCATGCCACTCACAAATCTCTTTGTAGAATACATTAGATGAATGAAACAGAGCCAAGTCAACAGACAAAGCGGCGTGGAGACAGATAGAAAAATATACACAAGAATACACGCACAGATCCTCACAGTGAAAAATAAAATATTGTATGTAAAGCCATACATATTCATGGTGATTTGGGGAGCATCAATGTTATTTTTGTGTTCTCATTACATCATAAAACTCTGGAGGGCAAGAACTGTCTTATACAATTAAGTTTCCTTATTTGTCATGTACCTAAAAACTAACTTACAAGTATTTTTATTGACAAATATCTTTCTCTGACAATTAGTTGTTGATTAGAATGCTGCCAAAAGCCCCGTGGGTACAAATAAGCTGTTTCTACCCTAGATGCTGCTCCAATCATCTCTACACTAAGCCAGCATTCTGGTTCTCAGCACCCGAAAACCCTTATTTTCCTGCCCTCATACTGTCATCTGTCCCCTGTTTCTTCCCTGCACCAAGCATCCCACTAGCTCTGCAGAAGCGGAAAAAGAAAAGTCGATCTGTGCCGAACACTAATAAAGACCACATTTTCTCAACAAGATTGCATCCAGTAAATTGCGAGCCCGAGGGCAAAATACAGAATGGGGAAGGCTTGTCAGCAACGAAACATCTCACAGTTGGTAGCCAAAAGCCAGCTTGAGTAGACGGGAACATATTGCTGACCAGCAACACAATGCCCCACCACAAAGTAAGCCATAGCAACATCTTTTGCTCCTACAAGTTTCTGTTTTGTTTTGCCTATTAGTATTATTATGCAGCATTGATACCCTGAAAGCTCACATCAACCACCAAGCTCTAATGTTGTTACGGAGACTCGATGAAAGCCATGGCTTGACAAAATACACAGGGCTCACAGCTCCCTGAAATGCATGCTAAAGAGTAGGGTATGCTTTCTTCTTTAACAACAACAGAATGTGCAGAACACTATCATTAATAATAATAACAACAATAATCTACAGTCCAGTGAAATTATGGGGACTATTCCACTAAATGTCAAAATTAAAGCAGATCTTAACTAGTAGAAATGCTAGTTATAAATCCCTTCATCGAATTCAGAGATTAAAACAATACAATTACTAGGGTCGAGTAATTGTGAAAGATGAGAGGAAAGAAGCTCTTCTATTCTTCATAAAGTTCCTGCTCCAAATAGGTTTTATACGCCATCCTCATGCTTGGTTCACATGAAGAAGGCTTCTGTTAATGGAGGAGAGACTGCCTTTTGTAATATTTTTATTTTTTCCTCTCATACTCGTCATCAAATGACACTGACTAGGCATTTAGTATAGACTAAATGCTGAAACTACCAAAAAGAATAAACTGCATTCCCTTTCATCAAGGACCTTAGGATCTAGCTGTACAGACAGAATAGACAAAAAGAAGAATATGAAGCCATTTGTGCTAAATACTGAGCAAGTGGTCTAGGCACAAATCTCTGCAGAACTCCTTTCTCTACTGCTTGCCAATGTACTTAATACAAGATTCATCCTCATCCTCAGTTTCTTCCATCCCTGGTATCAAACTTCCGATGACCATGCCCCTCTCTACCTATCCTGTAATTCCCACCCCTCCCCAATCACATTTTCATCCCCTGCAGAGAAGCTTATCTCTACAATAAATTCCCTCACCACTATATCCTGTGGATTGCCATGAAACCTTGCCTGATTATGTTGCATAGAAGTGATCATTTCTGCCTCTTTAAATTCCATGTGCACTGTAATAAAGGGAAAGAATAATAATACCCGCCCTGTGAACTAAGATGAGAAAAAAATATGTAAACACTTCGAACAGTAACTAGCACATAGAAAATGTTCAGTAAATGTAAGCTATCATTATTACTAGTCACAGTTTGTTAGAATTGTATGTGGTGGATATAAGCAAGTAAAAGAAATAGAACTTAACCTCTAGCAACTCAGGATTTAGTAGGATAGATAAGAAAGGTCTTCATATAACTAGGATAAGGAGCAGGGCATAATAAAGATCATATGAATATTTCAGAAAGGACTGGTAGGAGTTAAGAGAGAGGAAGAAGGGCCTTATTTTGTCATTACTATGGAGGGTTCTGAATGCCAGAGCCAGAAATAGAGACTTTATCCTATAGATGTTGAAAAATGACTGAAGGTAGTTAGAAGTCGATGAGTATAGAGGGAACAGGGTAAAGAGGTACCACATTCCACAGTGTATTCCACGAAGAACAATTCTACAGAAGTTTGTAAGAAGGACTGAATGTTGTGTGATAAGGGTGGGAAATGCGGACCATGAAAGTAAAAAGACTAGCGAAGAGGTTACTGGAGCATTGCCAGGCAAGTCAATGCTGGCCTGAACCAGGGAGGGAGGAGCAGCAGTCTCCACAGGAAAGATCAGATCCTAGAATTACAAGGAAGGAGTTTATACAATGTGGTTGATCACAAAATGGTGGTGAGAGAGGATGGAGGGAATAAAGGAAAATGCCAAGATTGAGTCTGGAGGACTAGGACTTACTGCCGAAGATGGGAAGCCTGGAGGACGTGGGCAGGGAAAAGTAGATAATGTGTTCCACTAGCTGGATGGTGTGTAGGACTACATTTTCCAAGTGAGCTCAAGGGTGAAGCTGCAGATTTGGGAATCACCCAAATCAAGATGACAGTTGAGTCAGACCTTCAGAGACCACTGGTAAGACGATCCTGTCCCTAAGAATGTCATCCTCTCCAATCCCACATTCCACTAGCCCTTTGTGGACAGACCCTTTAACAACCCATAAGTCAGAAAACTAGACTCATTAGCACTTATTTCTAATTGTAATATATTAAGTAGACGTTTCAAGGTTGCAAAAATGGATTTGGGGGTATAGTCAATGCCTACCAATGGGTTGTCAAGTGAAATCAGATACTTAACATTTTTACCCACCTCCTCCCCAACCAAATATTTCACAAAGACCATGTAAGAGCAAAGTTTCAGGCTAAGAAAGGGGAATTATCCTGTACACAGTCCCAATTTTCTCCTGAATATCCAAGATCTACTTTATGCTATAATTGCTTTTCTTTTCTAAATGAAAAACAGTTAAAACCCCAGGGATTTGTACAATAGATTCTGTATTAGATAATGCAAAGAGATTTTGTTCTTTCATTTTACAAGTTATAGGTGAAAACTGAACTCTTCCCTTTTCTAAAGAAAAACATTTAAGGGCTGGGGAAACTGTTACAACTCTTCAGATTTTATTGTGCTATGAAATACCTTTAATGACATAATTCCTCTATGGTAAATGATATCCAAAACAAAAGCTTTTTGTCAAGGATGGGGTGGGGACAAATTTATAAAAAATATATGTAATTTTTCACACATACCCAAATATATTAAGCGCAGATCTTGCCATGGGCACCGCATTCAGTTTAATTAGAACAATATTCCTTCTTACATGTGAAATATTTAGCTCCTACCCAGCTCATCACGCTGCAATGTTCCCCTGTCCCCAAATGAAATTACGGCAAGCCAGTACCCTAGGATGAGTGCGTGACTCGCATACTGCACAGCTGTAGAAAGCTAAGCCCCTTCTCATCAAAGGACAGCAGACTTGGCCGCAATGCATGCTAACATCAAGCCACTGGATTTAATCCAGTTAAATACATGCCTCAATTAGTAAGACATTTGCTATCCAGTTAAGGATGTGAATCTTGAGTTGATAACCTCTACAGACTATCTTATTTCTGTGTTTCAAAAGTTATAAAGCAAGAGAAACAAAACAGACAGTGTGGTGTGTACAGGAAGCTCATGGATAGTGGGAATAGCTTTAACAAATATACCATCTTTTCTTTGACTCTATTGGACAATAGAGACTCATCAGTCACAGCCGGTCATCTCATTCTCCCAGAACTTGGTTTAGGTAGTAGATGTAAACATGGCCACAAAATGGAATGCCTTTTTCACTCAAATGGAATCTGAGCAGCTTTCTTTCTAGAGGGGTTATAAAAATAAGCTTTTTATGGCTTGCATCTCCAAACTGCTTTATGTGGCATAGTGATGAAAAATGCTGGAATTTGTATATAATGTAGCCACCAGATAAGAAAGCAGGAAACAGAAAGAACAGGGGATTAATTGTTAGTCCTACCGAATGAACTTTACCCTGATAAGGCAATCCAGTCCCTGTAGGCATAGAAGAAGAAAAAATTACAGCACTCTGAATACACAGAGAGTTATTCACATTGTATACAAATCAAAGCAGGCCTCCTGCAACAGCTACGACTCAGATCTTCACAGATCCGTGGTGTATCTCCATCAACAGAATTAAACAAGGCAGTCTGTTCCGAGTGGGCAGCAACATTGCTGACCAGGCTGGCAGACAGGAGGATGTCAAGAAGATACATTTTCTATCAAGATGTGGCTTTATCAACGAGTTTACTTATTTACCTAGGAATTTGGTCTTTCAGTGATTAATGACGAGGAATTCTACCATGAGAAGTGACCTATCCTTAATGCGTTCTGCTCAAAAACAGGCAGCTAGAAACTGCACATCTCCCTAGACAGTTTGTCAATTTCAGCTTCTCAATGGAATAGAAATAAGAGCTCACTAATGACAACTGCGAGGGCTATGGCCCCTCTGGCCTTGACCTAATGTTAGCTATAAATGGATTGAACTCCCGGTAGATTGGGAAAATCCACCCAACTACAAGACAGAATCTGTTTCTTTCATTATGGAAAAGGGCTACAGAAAGAACCACACTGTATCTTTTTGCCTGAGCATTCCTAAAGCTATGGGTCCTGGAAGATGCCTGACCATAGTTGTGTCAAGCTATTCTGAACAGACCTAACAAACTTATCCAGAGCGTAGGAGGCAGGCTCTTTTGTAGCACAGGGAATGCCCAGGAACTCCCAATAAAAATAATAAATCATGGGAGTATTAATTCAGCCAAAAGAGTTTAATTTTAGGGAACTGTCCCCCTCAAGACTTGAGCTTAAAGAGAACACTAAGATAAATGCTATTTTTACATCTTGCAGAAAAATAGATTTTTAAAACGGGGGCAAAGCCACTTTCAAAACAATTCTCAATTTTTTTAACCATTTTTCTATTATAAATTTTGCATGAATTTATTTCAAAGTTGTTGAGCTTTTAAAAATCGTGTGATCCAGCTTAAGATTCTGAATGGCCACCTCCAGTTTCATCTGCCAAATAATGAAACTTGTTCTTCAAGGAAATCATTTAGTTCTATGAGAGTTTAAAATGAGTCTGCTAAAAAAAAGATGGATCTTCAGATCCAGGGCAAATATGCAGTACAAGGTACACCTTAAGTGGAAATACATGAGCTGTCTATAACTACAGCAGTTTTCAATGAAAAAAAGCTTAGTTCCTAATAAATAAAAAGAATGTACTTTTCAGCTAAACAACTGATGTGCAAAAGGTAAGTTTAAAATCATAATACTATATTTAATGGCTAACTGAAAAAAAAAAGAACACCATGTCACTGACATTTAATCATGAGGTTAAATAAATAACTGGTTCATTTTTTGTTAGGTGTCCTTCTGTTTACAACACAATTTAAACTAGCTCTACAAAGTAAAACATGTATCAAAGACACACAAGCCATCCATCTTAGAGTTTTATTGAAAATGTTTGTCTAGATTTAATAAGATCCTTCCAGTTCCTTGCTTTATTATTTTTTTTGGTAGACTCTTAATAAAAAGAAGAATTACTGAATAAGTAATGCTGATTACCATGAACCAAGTACTATGGTGATGTCTTATATGGATTATCTTTTTGCTATCGTCACAGTAATCCTATGGGATAGGTTCAGTGAGTAATCTTATTTTGCAGATGAAGAAAATGAGTGGTTATGTAACATGCTTAAGGAAGCACAGCCAAACTGGTACCCAAGCCAGGATTCAAACCCAGCTGCATCTACCCTATGGCTGGAACCTTTAGCTTCCAGGATATTATCTTGTACTTTTGAAAATGTGACGTGATGACCTAGATACATGATTATGAGTAAATGTAAAGGTCAGACCTCATTATTTAAATATGAACACAATATAAGAGGCATCTTAAGTTCTGACGACACTATAGTTAGCAACTTGGGTTCACAATCACCAGTGCATTCTTATCACAACACTATAAAAACATAGCCCAGAATGCCCACAGCTTTGTTCCCTCATTCATTTCTAGGAAAGTGTTGGCAATTTGCTCTCTGGGGAGCTGTGATGGGAGGACCAATGGTTCTCCTAGGGTGTTGTTAGAGGAGACAGATGACCAAGGCAGCTCTCCATGGAGGCTGCATTTTGGGTTTCTGGTCAACACATCTTCATACACCAATCGCCTTAAATGGTCAAAGTAGCTGAGACAAGAAGGACTATGAATTAGGGAACAGTCAGGATCTTGGCAATTATTTACAGGGGATGGAAGAGGTTATAAATGGGGACATGCTTATATTAAAATGGAAACGAAAGCTAAGTGGGGTTAAGAAAAAATCCAGGGTTTATAGTAAAATACAGTATTCTACAGAGCATAGAAATTACTGGCCTTTAACGTACACCAAGGCAAATGGCCCCATGAATCCATCTTTAGCCTCTCTGTGGGCTGAATTATGCTCCACACGATATACTAAAGACAGCCATGAACAGCTTTTATAGCTTTGATGAATGGCTTTTTAGTTTAGGTTGCATTATGAGAACAAAACAAGTGGTTGTGAATCATAACATTTTATGGGTCTGCTGCTTCATATAGTTTTCTAAAATTAAGCCTCTAAATTATATTCTGCCCTCATTAGGAAAACAGTCCCTGAAAGAGGAAAGCATTTTAGAGGCTACGCAAAAAGAGGTGATGGTAGATCTGTGCCTGGAGAGCCTGAAGTATAATTAAATCGATGGGAGCTGAGGAAGAAAGGATAGGTTGGTAGAAGGAAGTCATGTTGCTGCCCAAGAACCCAGGGCCAGAAGACAATGACTATAATCAGCTGGAGTTCACTGCCCCTAAGCAAACAAGGTTCAGAGGCCAGCCATTTTCAAATTATAGAAGGTATTGGAAGGAACGCAGTGAGGGGAAGTCATCCCTGTGTAAAGCCACAGAGGTGGAGGGAAGGGAAGAGGGTCTAAGCAAATCAGTGAGTGTTTACTGAGTATTTACCATCCACTGAGTGCTGTTTAAGACCCTATAGGGTTTAAAAAGGCAGCATAAAAATAAAATGAAGTCCATTATCCTCAAAGTAGTTACCATCCAGCCAGGGAGATAACAGACAGAAAGAAAACAATGCAAGGCAGCAAAAAATTAAATGCCAACTTCCCTGGAAGCTACTAAAGCCACGCCAGACATTCAGGGCAAAGTGGGATCGGTGCAGAAGACTAGGCAAGGTCTGGGCAAGGCTCCCACAGGGCCCTGTGCCACCTGTCGTAGTGTCTACCATGCTGCTGTAAAGGCCTGGCCTTGCTTACAAGTCCCCACTACACTGTGAGGTCTCAGTACAGAGGCTTGCCCACCTTGTTCAGCGTGGTATCTCCAGTGCTCAAATGTCTCTTGAATAGGACTGAATGCAATGGACAAGTGAAGAAAAGCTTTAAGGGATCGGGTCCTAGACTTGCTCCTGAAAAATGGTAAAATTATTGAGGCTGAAAGTGGCGTTCCAGGCAGGGGGGCCTGTGAGAACCAGGGTGAAGATCTACAAGCCCAGACACTCTCTCTCTCTCTCTCTCTCTCTCTCTGTGTGTGTGTGTGTGTGTGTGTGTGTGTGTGTGTGTGTGTATGGTGAGGAGGCAGAGAAAGCAGACGTGGGCAGACAAGAGAAGCACTTGTAGTTTGAAGACTTTCTGCTCCTAGAAATGGGTCAATTATTTTGTGGCCTAGAGATGATCCAGTATTACATTATTACTAACAAAAATAGATGTGAATTATTTTAATACTACTACTGTCGATGTTGTCTGTTGCCAGCAGAAATAATTCCCACACACAGCACAAGAGAAGGGAACAATAGGCTAGCCAGTCCTTTACTAGAATAATGCTCCCGGCTTCCATTTCTTTTCAATAGATTTTCATGTCAGTTTCACTGCTCTACTTTACCAATTATTTAAAGGTTATAGTCAGTCAGACAAGGTTTGTCTAAAAAAAAAAAACAGAAAGGAAAAACGTAAGAGGAAGATAGTTTTCAAAAAGGAATAAAGCACATTCATGAAAGTTTACATACTGTAACCAAGCACAATTCCAAATGTCTAGTTCCTCCTTTTCTATTTTTTCTTCACCACTACAACCACCCCAGTCACTCTGATTAATTTTTTTTAAAAAAGAAAGAATACAAACATTTTCTAATGCTTTAAAGTTACAATGTAGGGTGTGCATTAAAGTCAAAGGTATTATGTATTATTTCATGCCCTAATATTTTTGATTTTTAAAGGAGTTTAGTTAAATAACTAATGTTCTCCTATTTTCAATACGTCTAAGTGGTTAATGCAGGATTTTCTAAGTTCGTTCTTATTAAATGAACTGACCAAAGTCTTTACTTCCTAGTTAAATGGACTCTATCCAAGAATGCCATGGAAGACAAAGAAATACAGCTGGTTCAGTGAGTCAATCCAACGAAGCATTCACCCTCAGCCTCTGACAGCTCAATCTCAATGCTGCCTGACAGTATGAAGGATTGCTAATTTCTTATGCTCTCACTGGTGGTTCTTAAATGCTCACCAATGAACCAAATGTTGATCAGTCAATGCCAAGGAATCAGAAACCAAATTGCCAACCCCCTGATTTATACAGTCGAAGGACTCAGGAGAGTATGACTTTACCTTTCAGGCTTAAAATCAGATCGAACACTTAGAACTTACTAAAACGTTTTAATAGACACATTCACACTGAAAACAATTGTGAACACAATTTATAATCTAAAGGAGAAAAACTAATATAGCTCATAATATGTAAACTTCGTTGTGTACCTACTCTGTGCTACAAATTGTTCTAAGTACTTTAGATACATTAGTTCATTTACCCTCAATAAAATCCCAATGAAGTAGTAGTCTTATCCCCATTTTAAGTGAGGAAGCTGAGGCACAGAGAGTTGAATAACTTGTTCAAGGTCACCTGGCTAGTAAGGAGTGAAGTCTGGAATCGTTGAAAGAGTTTTACAAGTGTGGTGTCTATGATGCAAGTTGGTATAAGGAAAGAAGAAAAGACATGGGCTAGAAATATAAAGAAAAATTTAACACTCACTGAGTGACTGCTATGTGTTTTCATATATTTCATTTAATCTGAAAACAAATACAAAGAGGGTATTCAGTAGCCTAAGTTTGATAGATGAGGTAGAAGAGAAATTAATGTGTCTAAGAGCACACAGGCAGCTGGGGTTACACCTGGAGCTTCTGAGCTCTCGGTGAACCCCTCCCTCTGAGCCACTGTAGCTCTCTCATCATGTGGGTCCTGTGGGGCAGAGCTTGAATCTTAGCATGAATCCCCGGTGCCCCGCCAAGAGCCTGAAACCTTGGCACTCAATATCAGCTTTTACAGAGTGATGTTACTTTACTTTTCTGAGCCTCAATATTTTTCATCCATAAAATTATCATAGACATGGTTGTTTTGAGGGGAAAATGAAATAATTTAGCAGAAAGCACCATGATATACTCAAAGGCCACAGACACCTGTCAATCGTAAAAGCATAAGTAACAAGAGACATAATCAGCTCTTAGTTCTTCAGTTCTTCTAAAAGAGGTGGTAGTTTAGATATGTGTAAATAAAATTAAATTTTAAAAATGTTTTTATATAATCTTTTTAAATTAGCAAACGAAATTGCTACTCGTTATATGCACACTGAAGTTTACTTTGCAACCGCAGCAAATCTGTAGCACCCATTATCATAAATTTATTCAACAAGGGCTAATATAATACTACAGTATAATCTTTTCTCCCCCACATCAACACTCACACACTCACACCCACACTCACACTCCAGAACAAATACACAAAGAGAACCAAAGGAAATTTCATTTTGTTTAGGCCAGGAAACACCTATTAGCCATTCTGTTAAGGCTCAGGGCATTCAGCTTATATACAAAACTGATTACTATATGCATTTTCAAAGGAGTTTAAATGCAGTGACCTGACAGTGGACACAATAATGAAACAAAAATTCTCATGACCCTGCTCAAAGTAATACTATTTTTAAAAATGGAAACCTCAGTAATATTTTAATTTACAATAAGTGCCTGCTTCAAACGCAGTCCATGGCTGCTTAGGATTTCTAGTTGAAACAGAACCCAACTGGGGTAAAACATACATTCTGGTAGTTCAATTTGTTATGTTCTGCATAGGGCCTGTCTTTACAGAACTACCTCTCCCCCCAGTTAAGGAACAATTTTGCCAATCAGTTTTCCTGGCAACTCAGCCTCACAAAAGAGAGAGGGAAAGGAAGAAGCAGGGGTGTTGGGGAGGTTGCCGCACCTCCTGTCACATCACTACTGATTAAAGAGGCTCCAAAAGAACAGAAGGAAAGTGCATTTCAAGAACAACAGAACCTTTCAGCAAAAGTACATTCGCCTAATTGAAAAGCTACTCGAAGCTGTTATTTTTATATCCCAAAATGCTGAATCATTCTTCAAACAATTTCACAAAATCAATAAAAGAGAAGTAGTTTCTCCCGACCCCTTCTCCCAACTATTGCCTGTTTGAAACACTGCCTTTCCTTTCTTTTCTGTTTAGATTTAGGGCCAAGCATCCAAAGAAAAGCAGGAACACATTGCATTCTCTCAATTAAGAATGACATGCTATGCAAGAAAAGGAGCTTGTATATCTTGCACTGAAGTTTTTCTTCTGAAGTTTATACACTGATATTCTACAGCACTGAAAACCAGGTTGATGGGGATGGAACTCTAACACCTGCCTCCATGGGGATGATTTCATTATTAGTTGCTGTTATTCTATTGAAAGGTATGATGGACGGAAGAAAGAAACGAAGAAAGGGACAGAGGGTGAGGGGACGGAGGCAGGAAAAAAGGCAAGCCCAGATTACCTGGTTTAAAACCAGAAAAACAAGATGGTCCTTTGAGAGCTCCACGCTCCTGGCCTCACAGGCACACTCTGCTGCTTCTCCAGCGCACTCTAGTCATCTGCCAGAAGAAGCGTTCAAACACAGTGAATTGTATTTGAACACTACCACACTGGAGACAACCAGGCAGCTGACAAACAGCAACAGAGCATCAGTTTTGCTTAACAGTTCTTTGGTGTGGTGAAGATGAGAGTGGCCTCTGAGATTAGGTTACTGAGAATTACTGAGTTACGAATTGCCACAAAACACCAAGTCTCAATTATCTTTACAAAAGGAATAGTGAAATGGATCATCAGAAAGGTTAACCTAACCATTTTTTTGGGATCCATAACATAAATCAAGATAGAAATGATTCGCTCAGTATCTATTTACTGAGACGTACTACATGCCAGGGACTCTTCTAGGTGTTGGGCATATGACGGTATATACATCCAAGTCCTTGTCTTCAGGGAGCATATATCCTAAAGATGGGAGTCAGGCCATAAATAGACAATAACATCATTATGTCAGGTGATGATCAGTGCTTTGAAAACTTTAGGAGAGTTGGGGCAGTGTGTGGGGAGGCTGATATTTCATATAGGGTGGTCAGCAAGGCCTTGTGATGAAATGACATTCTGTGTGAAGAAATTCCATCAGAATCTGGAGCATGTGAAGGAGACAGCCAAGTGAATATCTGTGAGGAAGTGTGTTTCATTCTAGGCAAATGGAGCAATAAAACAAGGGCCCTACAGGGAGAATGGCCTTGGTGTGTTCCAGAAACAGCAAGGAAGCCAGCATGATCAGGAGTAAGAGATGATGTTGGGGAGAGAATGGGTCATCTAGAATTCTAGCAGGACCTCACACATAGCTCCAAATGAAATACTTTTCTTCCAGAAGTCCAGGAGAAAAAATTACATTTTACAGCAAACATTTCAAAGGAACGACAGGGTTTTGTTACTTGCAGAATTTTATGAGTGCTTATTTTATGAAATCAACAATCACCTTCGGGATTTAAAAAAATACAGCATCACATTTATGATTAAGAAAAAAAAAAATCACCAACCCCTGTTTCTATATAACTTGGCTTTCAAATCAGTTTATGCTAAAGAGGGTTACATCAAAGACAAGCAAACTAAAACTACACTGCCCACACAACTTGTGGTCCTTCTCTGATGTACCTCTTCCTATTTCTCTCCCTTGTCCCCACTTCACAGGGCAGTCAGGTACAATGTCTTCCAAGTTCCCACAGTCTCTCAGGCATTCCTATATCATGGCACTTATCATGCTGCCCTGTCACTGTTTGACCCTTGTTTCCTTCCACTACAGATAAAAATATTGTATTTACTTCACTGCAATTGCCTCTCAATGCCTAAAAAAAGTTTCTGGAAACAATGAATGAAAAAGTGGATTGGTACTCAGCTTTCCCACCTTGACCTTCCTCTTTAACCTTCCCATCTTGACCTTCTCCACTGGAGGCAGATGACTCAGGTAGCTCAGAGGGAGCCTCAATTTCAGCTGCCCTCCTCCCTCCTGTTCCTGTAAACCTCACACTACCCCCAGGTTAGGATAAGGAACATGTTGATTTTGCTTAGCTGACTGTTCTCAGGAAGAACTGAAGAAGCCAGAAAAGCTTAAACGTTTCTGGAGATGAAAAATAAGAGTTATTGCCAGGCTCGGTGGCTCACGCCTATAATCCCAGCACTCTGAGAGGCCGAGGCGGGCAGATCACTTAAGGTCAGGAGTTTGAAACCAGCCTGGCCAACATGGTGAAAACCTGTCTCTACTAAAAATACAAAAATTAGCCGGGTGTGGTGGTGGGCGCCTGTAATCCCAGCTACTAGGGAGGCTGAGGCAGGAGAATTGTTTGAACCCGCAGGGTGGAGGTTGCAGTGAGCAGAGATTGCACCACTGCACTCCAGCCTGGGCGACAGAGTGAGATTCCATCTCAAAAAATAAAAAAATAAATAAATCAAGTTATTTATTTACAGATTTTCCTCTGTAATAATTGTCTACCTTTAAGAATGGTGGACGATCTACACTGACACTGTTTAGTATACCTTTCTGGTACAATGAAAATGTTCTGTATCTGCACTGTCCAATATGGTAGTCACTCAACATATGGGAGCACTTGAAGTGTGGCTACAGCGACTAAGGAACTGAATTTTCTTTTTTTTTCTTTTTTTTTTTTTTTTTTTTGAGACAGAGTCTCGCTCTGTCGCCCAGGCTGGAGTGCAGTGGCGCGATCTCCGCTCACTGCAAGCTCTGTCTCCAGGGTTCACGCCATTCTCCTGCCTCAGCTTCCCGAGTAGCTGGGACTATAGGCACCCACCATCACGCCCAGCTAATTTTTTGTATTTTTAGTAGAGAGGGGTTTTCACTGCATTAGCCAGGATGGTCTTGATCTCCTGACCTCGTGATCCGCCCGCCTCGGCCTCCCAAAGTGCTGGGATTACAGGCGTGAACCACCGCGCCCGGCCCTGAATTTTTAATTGTATTGAATTTTGCTTAACTTAAATTCAATAGCCATAAGGGCTAAGTGCTTTCTGTGACACACAGTGTGGGTCTAGAGCCTCCTACAAAGGTATCCTCTCTTTCAGATAGGTCAAAATTGATTTGAATGTAGATTCCACGAGCGCCACAGCGTCGTGCTCAGATCCTAGAACAGTGCCTGGGAGGACTTCAGTGAATGTGGAATTATGCATGCACATGTAAACAGATGGAGGGAAGGGCAGAAAGGTGAGAGCAGTGTCTGCAGAGGCCTGGTGGTTCTGCCTGCAGATAAGCTGGCATTTTCTATACACAGTGGCTCTGCAGTGTTGAGACACTTCTGAGGGGAATGTTCATCTACGTGGTCTATACAACACGCTACTGGGTTAGTTTTTTTTAAAAGCAGGGTATTTTTAAATTAGAGAGGAAAACAGAGCTGATGACTCTTGCCATAGACAGTGGCAGGAAGTCTGCTGGATGGAAGTCACTCAGCTCACTCCTCTGCTTTCCCTAAACATTTAAAAAGTCAGGCATACTGTGCGGGAGAAATGCATTTTTTTAAACCTCATTTGTGATTTTGAGTAGGAAATTAAAACCTGTACACAGGAAAAGAATGAAGCCCTGATGTATTTGATCAGGGGTGCTTTATGAAGAATTTATTATCAGGTAGGAATATCAAATGAGAAACAGAAACAGCACAGAAGCCCCAATAAAACACCAGCATTTGACAAAATAAAACACACACTGATGGGCTTGAGCTGTTGATGGCTGGGGAGATAAGGAAAATAAAAGGAGGAAATTAGAACAAATAAGATGGATGATGTAATTACGAACAGAAAACAAGTGGAGAGGAAGAGAAATTTGAGCTTGTTGGCTATGGAAAGTAAGCTATTTCAACTTGTTTAAATCCAAAGGCTTGTTTAGAGTTCACAAGTGTCATAAAAAACTCTATATTTAAATATCTAAACATCAAATTGGGCCCACAGTGGGCTAAGGGCTTGCATTGACTGGCATCCCGTCTTCAGCATACCAAAACATCTCCAAATAGAATAGCGCAGATCACCTTCAGCTGCCTGACATTAACTCTATACTGCTCCCCACTCCTTGTTCCCATCTGATTGCCTTCAAGATAGCGTAGTGCCCAACATGAAAGGATTACTATAGCAACATAGGAAGCTCTTTTATGGGCATGGAGGAGGCTCTGTGGAGTGGCGCAGGAAATCCAGAGGCGAGAGCAACGAGGAGTGCCCACTGTCAAGCCTTCCTAGAGATTCTTAACTGGAGGATGTGTGTTCCAGGAAATGATTAATGCTTTGAGGGAAAAAAAAATGTTCTAATTGAACATACAGTAATTCTGAATTTTCTCTTTGTGTGACAGATAAGATATAATCACTGAATTTCTTTCTCCAGAGGCTTTGTAGAAAAAAACCCTTTGTGGAAGCAATATCTTCAGTGTCTGAAAGATAGTCTTTTTATATGAAACAAATTCTGCATTGGGTTACTAAAAGCATCCACCTGCTTATCAATCTAAAAGCTGCATCTTTAAAGGTCACAAGTGAAGGAAAATCAGATAGACTCATTCTAATTCCTAGCAAACGGGAGCTCATTTCTCACCAATCCACCCCGCAGCGCTCAGTAGCATGACCTTTCACTTACAAAGAGAACAGCAGATTCTGTCTCTCATGTGCTAGCCTTCCTTCCTCTTCAAGAATTAAATGCAGTTTTGATATTATCATTACACACTTCCATAATATTCCACTGCCCAGGCCTATAAATTAGCATTGCTGTACCAAAATGCCCAGCCAAATCTCTCTCTCACCCTCACTTGGGCCTGCAAGAGAATATTAATTAATACTATCAAAACAGGGTTTAGTATACAGTACTACACAGTCAGAGAAATCTTATAAAACCTGTGACCTGCAGCAGTGAGTGACAAAAAAATTAAAAATGAATATTTAATTGCCTGTTGCTCTTTTAAATTTGGACTGACAAATTCAGCTGGGAAAATAATTCTGAGAGATTGCAGAGCAGCCTTTCTTTGGCATTTCTGAGAATATAGGTGTCTGCATGACATTAGGAAGTAATTGGTATATTGGGAACCTATGGAAAACACAATTGGGAGAATTTTTCACACCTAAGAATAATGAAGACTAGGGGCTTGTCTTCTGTTTCTTACCACCCACTGAAACAACAGCTGGAGGGGTCATCCACCTGGTGTGATGGCAAAAACACTTACTTCCGCACAGTCGCTGACAACCTTGTTCAAGTCTAAAGTCAAGGGATTCCAAATACATACAAGCACACCAAGATGGGAGTATTAAATGGATCAGAGGCAGTCATGTTTACATTAAAACTAAAAGTACCTGTAAGACTGTATCATTTCATTGTCAGAAGAAATTATTTTTTGTAGCTTCATGCAGTAATTTCAGGCAATGTGAATTTAATTGATACCAAGTATAGTAAGCTCATTAATAGTATGCAAGGAGAAATGATTTCAATGGAAAACAAAAAGCAGTCAATTTCACATCTACATGCCTCAACTTCCCTAATATGAAAGAGGGGAAGCACGGCACATCCTTATCTGAGGCCAATTTAAATTCTATGTGGAAGCCAGAACAAATCGGGTGCTCAGAACATTTCAAATTAGTAATAATTAAAAATTCAGAGATGACAAAGTTTCTCCTGAAATAATAATAATCTACACTTGTATGGCATGTTATGATATACCAAGTCATTATCACATTCAATCCTCCAAGGGATATGTGTATCAGGCAGAACAGACATCAGCATGCCCATTTTGTAGATGAGAAAAATGAAACCAGGGGCGGTAGTTCAAATGACAGGCAGATCAGTCAATGGGGGACCCAGAACTCAAATCCTATCAAAGCTTGGCAACCAGTGTCTTTTCCACTATCCTGAAGCAGGATTAACATTTGTTAGAAATATTGTTTTCTTTTTGAACATGTTGAATCAATATTGATATTCTAATTTAGGAGACAAGGACGCCCCTTGCTATTTGCATACTGTAATAGCCTTCAGGATAATTACTGGATAGATCTTTTGAAAAAAGATGCCACATGTTTACACTACTTCACTGCTTTTAGAAAAGTAGATATATGACATTTACCAAATGCTGCAGCACAATTAGCCATCATTTAAACTACTGTGAAGAAACGACATTAAAAGAGGAGAAGAGGCAGAAAATCAAAGTTTCCAATGACTTTTTTTATAGCTAAAAGATCCAGGGCCGGGTGACGGTGACTCACGCCTGTAATCCCAGCATTTTGGGAGGCCAAGGTGGGTGGATCCCGGGGTCAGGAGATCAAGACCATCCTGGCTAACATGGTGAAACCCCGTCTCTACTAAAAAACACAAACAATTAGCTGGGCGTGGTGGCGGGCGCCTGTAGTCCCAGCTACTCGGGAGGCTGAGGCAGGAGAATGGCGTGAACCCGGCAGGCGGAGCTTGCAGTGAGCGGAGATGGCGCCACTGCACCCCAGCCTGGGCGACAGAGCGAGACTCCGTCTCAAAAAGAAAAAAAAAAGATCCAGTATAACTATTCTGCCCTCCAGAGACCCCAGAAACTCTTCTGAAGATCTCTGAGGTTTCCATCCCTTATTCCACAGCACATGAACAAAAAACCCAACTTGTAATTAAAGTTTCTATCCTACAGTCTCATCTAACCCAAAATCATAAATTTGAAGCAAACATACAAAATGTTATACTGTAAATGCCCTGGAGCCAGTATTATTGAATGAGACAACCACAGTAGTTTTTGTCTCATTATTGCTTAATAATATTTATTATTATTGGCTATGATTAGTTGTGTTATTATGCTGCCTAAGCCAAGGATTTAGCAGACTTCAGTTAGTAATCAACAACTGTAGTTTAAGTCCCAAATTCAAGCACAGAAACAGAATAAGAAGCAAACTTTTTATTTCTCAGGCATAAGGCCAGTTATTCTATATAAATGATCTTCAGACTCTATGATTTAGAATCTGAAGGTACTCTACGGTCTGAACTCACAGGGTTCAGATTCTGTGATTTAGAGAGGTAAATAAGGAAATTAAAACAACATATCTTAAGTTATTTCACAAGCAAGAATCAGATATTGAGATTCATGATGGCTTCCTGATACCCACCACTGTTCAGTTTGGAGTATTAGGTGGGGTGAAGTATCTCAGCAGTGCAGGTAATAACCAGGACAATGCTCAGATGGCTACTGGCCAGGAAACATGATCAGGATGAGCCTGCCTCTCCAGACGTAGCCTCTGGTGACCCCTACCACACCCCTCTAGACTCTTCACAAGGAACCTGGGCTGCCTTCTCAAGTCATGCATTTGCCAGAGGAGGCCTCTGCTAGCACCACTGAGAAACACAGCCTGTTCTCCAGTGGTGGTGTGTGTACACCTACAGCCTCCACTTCCTCACCAAACCCTCCTTCCTTCAGCTCTTACCATTTTAATGCAACTGAACTACTGAAACTACTCTCTTGAAACAATTTCTTCTTAAACATTACACTCAATAGCCCGTTCTCATCTACCGCCATCTCTTCTAGTATTTAATACTGTGCTGACCCACTCCCACCTCAGCACTCTCCCTTTAACTTTGGGAAGGGCCTTCCTCTTCCTCTGGCTTTTTTCATTTTTTTGTACCACACCCACCTCCAATTCCTCCTTTGCTTCCTGCCCATTAAATGTGGCTATTCTTCTGAGGGTTCTTATAAGGTAATAAAATAGAGAGGGAAGCCTCAGGTGATTATAAAATTTTCAAAAAGATCTCAAAAAGCCTAAATAAAAATTTTACTTGTGATAAGCCTCCTCACTCATACACAGAATTATGTCAGCTCAGCTGGGCGCAGTGCTCACGCCTGTAATCCCAGCACCTTGGGAGGAGGAGGTGGGTGGATCATCTGATGTTAGGAGTTCAAGACCAGCCTGGCCAACATGGTGAAACTCCGTCTCTACTAAAAAAAATACAAAAATTAGCCGGGCATGGTGGCATGCACCTGTAATCCCAGCTACTCCAGGAGGCTGAGGCAGGAGAATTGCTTGAACCTGGGAGGTGGAGGTTGCAGTGAGCCGAGATCACGCCACTGCACTCCAGCCTGGGCAACAAGAGTGAAACTCAGTCTCAACAACAACAACAACAAAAAGAATTATATCAGCTCAATGACACAGCAATGCTTATTAGTTAATCTAGTTTGCTTAGAGATGTTTTATCAGATGCTATCAATTCAACCATGAATTGTTTCTACACTCTGACGCATTTCATCCACTCCCAACTCCATGTTGACAATAGAGTCCTGGGCACTTTCACTTGCATCAGTGAGCATTCAACAAGTTCACGGCAAAATCCATCACATCAGTACGTCCACCTGCTCTTCCTTCTGGCCTCTCTCTAAGTTACTTTCACTCCCTCATTTGTGATCACTTGCCCTGCCTTTGTACATTCCACATCCTTGAGGTCAGTCTTCATGTCTCTCTCCCACTGCTTCTGCCCTGGTTAAAGTACTCAGTACTCCTTGTTGGACTATTAGGATCTCCCAGGCTCCACTCTCTGCCGTCTGCAATCCATACTATATGCTTTGATCAAGATATTTTATATATATATATATATATATATATATATATATATATATATATAATATATATGTATATGCACATATATAATATACACACATATATAAATTCTGCAATTTCCCTTCTTAAAAGGCTTCAATTACTTCTACTTCCTGCTTTCTACTGAAGAAAATCCGAAGTTCCTAACATAATATTCAAATCTCTAAAGGATCTACTACAATCTGCTTTTTCAGCATGATTTCTCATAGAATTACTCTCTCCAGGTTTTTGATCAAACTAGCCTACAACATACTGTTCTCTCACCATGACTTGGGGTTTCCTGTTTCTATGCTTTATCTAATGCTGGTCCTTCTATTTAGAATACCTTCAACTATTAATACTATATTCTTAAATGCTACAAATCTTCCTCATTTGTCAATGCTTAACTTAAGGGCTCCGCCTTTCATAAAGGCATTTTCTTTCTTTTCTTATATATTTTTTAAGAAACAGGGTCTCACTCTGTCACCCAAGCTGGAGTGCAGTGGTGCAACCATAGTTCACTATAACCTGGAACTCCTAGGTACAAGTGATCCTCCTGCCTCAGCCTCCCGAGTAGCTGGGACTACAGGTGAGTGCACCCATGCCCAGCTAATATTTTTTGGCCTTAGTAAGACAGGGTCTTACTACGTTGCCCAGGCTGGTCTTAAACTCCTGGGCTCAAGCAATCCTCCCATCTCAGACTCCCAAAATGCTGGGATTATAGGCATGAACGACTGTGCCTGGCCCATAAAGACATTTTCTATTAGCCCCACTGGAAGTGAGTTCTCCCTCCACTGGAGTAGTGCTATGCCTTAAGTTTGCCCGCACCAAAACTCATGTTGAAATCTGGTCCCCAGTGTGGTGGGTTTGGGAGATAAGGCCTAGTGGGAGGTGTCTGGGCTATGAGGGCAGATCCCTCATGAACATCTTGGTGCTGGTTCTTGCTGCTTTTGCAGTAGTGAGTTCTCACTCTGGTGAGACTGGATTAGCTCTTGTGGAAATGGATTAGTTCCCTAGAGAGTGGGTTGTTATAAAGCCAGGACACTCTTCAGGTTTCCTCCTCTTTGCACGTGTCTGCATCTCCTTTGATCTTCTCTACCATGTTATGACACAGCATGAAAGCCCTCACCAGAAGTCAGGGACATGCCCTTAAACTTCCTAGCCTGCAGAACCATGAACTACATAAATCCCTTTTCTTTATAAATTATCTCACTTTGGGTACTCTGTTTTAGCAAGACAAAACAGAATGAGACAAGTACCATGCCGCTTTTTGAGTATTTTCTTATAGAAATCAATGTATAATGTTTCTCTTATAATTAATCTACATGAATCTCATCTTTAGAGTGTGGACAGTATCTCACTCTTGAATCACACACAGTCCTATACATAATGGGTTTGTCTTAATAAGTATTTGACAAGGGAATACATAAATAAATCAGTGAATTAAATTCCTGACTTTCTACTGCCAATTTTTTAAAACAAATCAGTGTTTAGCAGATTGCAGCATCTATGTAGAACAAGCTTCTTTTGTATCCAGTAAATATAATGCTTCAAGTATTCCTATAGTACATTCCCCTCCTTGCTATACAGTATTTGGCTTTGAAGAATAAATTAGCACAAGGGTTTCACTGGATATGCAATAGAAAATTAGCTTCTCATAAAATGGTTCAGTTCAAGTTTATTAGAAAGCTCTCAGTTTTACTGTTTTGCTTTGTGGGAAATTTTGTGTTAACTATGATCAGAAATGGTGGAAAGCAGAGCTGCACTGACAGACCGTCTAGGATCAGAGAGACCTGGATGATGCAATTAAAAGGTGGACAGACAGGTAGACAGATGTTCAGCTGCATGATCAGGAACAAGATTGTATAAAAAAGGCTTCTTTGATCATTAGAGATACTGCTGTAATGAAGCCCTGGATACCTACTCGGTGTTTGTGCCGGCTCTCATCTCCAGCAGGTGTCTTATAGAGAAAATAAGGCAAACACAAACAGATCCACTGCCAGCTAGTCAAAGCCGCTTGGCATTTTTTCCTGTTGATTAAGCCACAGATAAAATCATACATGTTGTGCTTCTGACACAGGCAGAGTATGCAATTCCTGAATCGTTACAGAATACATCTTTCTGAAATATTTCAGCATCCATTACTCTACTGAGATCAAGAAACTAATATATGTTCAATAGATTATCCTATGTGATCCAATGCATCCCTAAGGGCCAAGAACATGACACAAACTGTAAGCACCAAAATGGATTTAAAAGCCAAACACACTAAAGGATGGTGAATTTGAGAAATGCAGGTAAATTGTGCATGAGTAGACAGAACACTGGGGTTTAAGAATAACTAACTCTTGGTTATGTAGAAGAATGGAGAGCTGCACTAATGTGGAACAGCCAAAACGGCAGAGCTAAATGTCATTCATATTTACCTCTGGACTGCACTGCATGGTCCCTTAGAAGTAACATTGGCCTCTCATTTCTGCATAGTTTAAAATAAGAGTGGATTCTCTCATCACACAGAGGCAGAATATGCAGTTTGTGAATTGTTACAGATTCACCACCAACTGACAGGGATGTAGGTGGTAATTAGGGATTCTCATGGGAATAATTGTTGCCGTGAATAATCCACAAAGTAGAGACTTAGACACAAGTCTCAGCAATGCTACTGACACCCTTCTGTATTGGGCATGCCAATTTATCTCCTTGTCTTGGCTTCCTCATCTGAAACACAGAAACAATTTTAACACTTGTTATTTGTCTGGTAGGGATTTTAGGAACGTAAATAAGATGCTCTAAGAAGCTATGTGATTCACAGTAGCATCATTTCTTACTGAATCTCTTGACTGATTCTGGCTCTAAGGATAGAATGAGGAGAAGAAGAAAGGGAAGGAGGCAGGAAGAGAAAGACGATGAGACCCAGTCACTAGATCCTATTTTCATGGCTTGGGGCAGAGGTGAATGCCTCAGTAAATCACACTTTCAAAGACAGATGGTCCTCTTTAACAATAACTTCTCCTCCTAGTCACCACTTCATCTTGTAAGAGACTTTAGCTCCGTATGTTCATGAATCATTGATCCTGTTACAATTGTAATGACACAAATCTGAAAGATATGATGACATTTTACCAGCGTGGTGAGTTTTTGAGAAAGAGTTGGAAAGATGCAACATTTTAAGTTACAGGTTGGAAAATCAGCGAAGACACCATTGTTTTCCTATTTCCTTCTCTACAGTTTACAGTTACAAAGCTCACTCCCAACACACTTTAATTAGCCACTCACTGTCACGTGGTATTTACTAAATATAGAAGGATGAGGAGAATGGCTGGCTGCCCTCCTTCTCGGTTACAGTGGTTCTCTCTGCACTAGCTTTCCGTGAGCAGCCCTTTGCACCACCACTTGAAATCTCAATATTATAGCCCACTCTCTGATGTTACCTGAACACTGCCAGGTCAGACTCTCTCGGAATACTAATATCAAGAAGATCACCATGACATCTGCCTACTGTAGGTAACAATGACCAACCATAAAGGTAATCTTAAATTGGGTTCTCTTTCAAGATATCACTAACTCAAATTGCTTTTGTCATAGTTCTTTTCAAAAAAATATTTTCAATTTAGAACTGGAAGGAAACATGAAAGACTGGGCCTGACTGCCCGTGAAGTTCACTGCTATTGCAGTGCTAAATGGGCATAGACTGGGAAGACAAATGAAATAAGACAAATGCACACTCTCCCTTATGCTCAAGTACAGTATTTAATACAGCTGAACATGGCATTTATTTTTATCTTTGACAGAACCACAAATGGCCACTGACTTTATCTGCAGATGGGATATTCTCAAAAATATTTTCTCCCTGCCCCACAGGGAGAACAAATTTTTTTGTTTACCAGCAGTGAGAATTGGTGAACATGGTGTATGTACTTTTTCTCCCCTTCAACCATCATTAAAGATTAAACATCAGTAACTCAATAAATTCTAGAAATAACAGCTGAAAATGCATGAGAATGGCAAGACCAGACACCAATACGCATCATGGTGGAAAGATGTTTAAAAGGTATGTCCTGTAAATTAGGAGATATTTATATAGTATATAGAATCTCAAAGTTGCACTGCTTTATTATTTTGAAATCCATTCTTATATTCCTGCAGAGTTTTGCAGTCTGACCTATTTGTCTTAAGGTTGGACTCCATTATACATTCTTAAGAAGCAGAAGCAAGACGGAGATGGCCTTGAAAATCACCATCAACATTGTAATCAGTCTCTTTGATAGAGGTGATACAGAGCACTGACACTTTAGCCGCCATTTTCTCTTAAAATGGTATTCTCATTCATTTGAAGACAGAAGCAGAGGACCCTGCCTTGAATTTGCAATGTTTAAAAATGGGAGAAATACACTATTTGATTCAATGTTCAGACATTAACAAAGTGCATTCAAGGAATCTAAATCAGAAAAAAAGGAAAGAAAACTTAGTTTGTAGTAATCTTTCCATAAAAGCATCCAAAATTCCTTTCTGATTGAAAACTGTGATTTCAGATTAGCTACTCTAAATGTATTATAAAAAGCAAATGCAACAGACTTTTTTTGGTTGATCCAGCCTAAATTAGGCTACAAAAAGGGAAGTAAAACATTAAAACAAACACAAACATAGATACATACAACTCTCAGTACTGTTAGCTACTCGGTGATGATGTGAATAACATTCCTAGAGACCTCCTGAAGATGAGAATTTTCAAGGGGCTCCTGCGTCTAAATTATGGTAATAATTCCTACCCTCTTAATCATGAATGGTAACTACAAATAGAAGATAGAAACTCTTTTCTTGGCTTTTAGGCTTTAAATACATCCTCACTTTAAAAACAGATCCCATCATCTGTCTTTAGACAGGAGTGTGTTTACTCACAGGAGTGAAGGTCTAAGATGCTGCCTTGAGAAAGATAAAATTAAGGCATCAAAGAATCCAAAATACAATTTTATGTTAATATCTGGCTTCCTTTATTTTATACCAATATACAGTGAATCTTACTTCTTAAGCATATATATCACAGAAAGCACATACTATCGAAATTCTGTCCTGAAGAACTCTTGAAACAAAATTTGCTGGAGTAATATTTCTCAACCTATACAAAGGGAATGCTCGTATCCCTATTTACAATGTACCTTAACAGCCTATGTCTAGCATCATTATAATTAAGAAGCAAAACTATGAAATGGAAAGACAACAAGAAAACGAGCACATGGAGGGCTGCTTCCTCATAGTTTCACCATGATCATCACTGATTATGATCATCCGGAAGAGGTGAATACATTATTTAAAACTGTGAGATATGCATGTAGGCTCTGGTCATAAAACTACATTTGTCCTAGTAAAGCTCAATTTAAGGTTGGGCTCCAAATTGCAAAAGTTCCGAGGAGAAGGGAGTTTCTCTAACCATCTATGAAGCACTAGCCTTTCCCTGAGCAAAGCATTTTGCCTCCACCGCCCCCCCACCACTCAAATAGAACTTTAGCACCTCCTTTATTGCTCACAGTTTCTCTTGTACTTCAGGGGATTTACACTGAGTGAGGGCAGGAGAATCCCTAGTCTAAAGCAAAATTCTGTATTGATATTTAGGATGATTTCAGCATCAGCACATTAGACTGAAGGCATGGATGAAAGATTGTGGTTATTATTCCTAAAGCTGACTCACCCTCACAGAAGAGCCCACAGCTACTGAAAAGGGTTCTATTTTTTTTCAAAAGAGGGATAGGATAGTGTGAGTTGGCCATGGCAAATGAAAAAGCCCAGCTTCACTTTCTATGTGTATGACACAGCCCGGGAGGGAAATAGGCATGACAGTAATGAGACTTGGGTGTTGGGAAGTTTAGTTTGAAGAGCAGAGCACTAATGGTTTCCAGTTGAGATGTTCAATTCAGTCCTCTTACTAGTCTTACTTGAAGTCAAAACAAAACAAAACAAACAAATAAAAAATAACCCTAGTCTTTCAGAGTCTTTTGAGAGTGCATCACATAAAAATATCTTGTGATCATCTACAAGGTGCAACATCACATTTATATCATATAAAACTGACATGTAGACCTTTGTACTTTACTGATCATATAGCCCCCAAGCCATGTTCTGTGAGCAGTAATATGATACAGTGCATAAAAGCTGGAATTCTAGGCTTAGACAGAACTTAGCTCCAAGTTCCAATCCAGACTTCGCTGTTCATTTGGTGTGTGACTTTGGCTTATTCAATTTCTCTAAGTCTCACCTTCCTCAACAGAAATTAAAAATAAAACAGTAAAAAAGAGATAACAGTACACACCCCATAACATTATAAGAATTAAATAGCAATGCACTCAAAATGCTTATCACAGATCATGAGGAAGTTTTTTGTTGTGACAGAATTGTTCTGTGTCTTGAGAACATATATATTTCTTAAAACTTCAGAACTATACATACACAAAATAAAATGTTACTGTATAATTTTGAAAATGAAATGAAAATATATATGTACATGTAAAAATGATATCAGGTAAAGCATTCAGTAAACGCAGACACACACACACATACAAACACATTACCACGGTGCCTAGTACCTAATTTGAAAATGTTCATTACTACACACGGACACATAGAGGGGAACCACACACACCGGGGCCTATTGGAGGGGGAAGGGTGGAAGGAGGGAGCGTATCAGGAAAAATGACTAATGAGTATTAGGCTTAATACTGGGGTGATGAAATAATTTGTACAACAAACCCCCTTTACACAAGTCTTCCTATGTAACAAACCTGCACATGTATTCCTGAATTTAAAGTTCAGAAAAACAGAAATGTTTCTTATAGTCATTATGTGAAATAGAATTTCTCAGATTCCCATGTTTGTAACCCCAAACCTATAATAAACCTACAAATAGCAAGTGCATTTTTTAAACTGATATATCAAAGAAACTTGATGGGAGTTTTCCAGATTTTTCCTACGAAAATACAGTGGGAAAGGTATTATGGAGTCATATCAGGCAATTCAAACCATTATATTTTCTAGATTTTGTGAAGTTTATAGTATGTGTTAGCTTTGTAAAGTTTGTACTTTGTTGTTATTTATTTTCTCATTCTAAATAAATGCTCATTTTCTTACCTAAAAAAAGAAAAAAAGAAAATGTTCATTATTGATATAGTTTTTGCTACTGGGGTTATTGTCATTAGCAAACCTGATAGAATATAGGTAACCAGGGTGACAAAAATAAAGGAGGCAACTGGTTGGCCCAGGAAAGGTTCTCAATGAAGGGAGATGGAGTGATAGACAAAGGGTGATGCACTGGGTCACCATTGGTGACCCAACGGTGGCAGCATTGGATTATAGCCAGGAGTAAGGCTGTGTATGAGTGGAGCAATGTTGCCATCTCTGTGCTGCTTCCAGGTTAGGAAGAAGACACATTACCAGTTGCAATTACAAGATGCCAGAAGAAAAAAGGAAAGAAAAAGAGCAGCTATTTCTGCTGCTAGACATGAAAACAAACCAACTGAGAAAAGTGCTTTGATGAGCAGAGTGTATGCTGCTGGGTGTGTGGGCTGGATTCTACCTCATCCCCCAAAAGGGGGGCAACAAATAATCTCCCAGGTTCAGATGGGTGTGGTACAAAAAAGCCAGCCAAGTATACATTCTCTTCTTAATAACCTTAAATCCTGTCCTCCTTTCTAGTGTAAACGTTCAGCATATGAAGCTGGAAAGGGGAATACTTTTAAGGAGGCAAAGTATAAGGGAAACAATTCAATACCAGATTCCAGTATGCATGTAATCACTGAGATTTTCTATGCCTGCATTTGAAAAAATGATGTTTTTGCCCAAGAGCCAGTAAGTCATTGGCTGCCACAGATCATATAATGTGTTGACGCTCCCCGGTGGGCAAGCAGACAACAGGAAAGCACTTATCTGGTTGTGAAAATGCATTCCTTCTCCATATGCAAGTCTATTTTTCTTCCTGCAATAAACTACATTTATTTGATTCTGTATCTGATAGTTTTATAGTGTTTGTTCACATACTCACTAATTTGCAAGATTGTGTAATTTGCATGGGTCTCATAGGTCATTAGTGCAAACTAACAGCATTCTGTAAAAGATAAAGCAAGAAAAACTGGCACTTTGTCATAGTGTACAGGTAAACGTCACATCTCAATTTAGGAACTTGACACCCCAAATCTACTCTTTCCTCGGAGAAGAAGCAGATTTTACTCCCCCTCCCCACAACCCTGTGCCCTACCGGGAGATGGGAAGCATTAGTGAAAGAGATTCTAACCTACCTCTTTAATCTCCAGGTTGTGATATATTTTGAGAATATACAACTGTATTCATATCCTGGCGCTTGTCCACCCTAAATAGTTTACCATTTATATTTGAACCTGAAAAGAAGGCACAAAGGCCTCCTTCCTATACAATCCCCTAGGCCTTCTTTTTGGCATGGAAAGCACATACATTTTTGCAAAATTATTCAGTGTATACAGCTGCATTCTACAGTTTTCATTAAGAATTCAAGAGATGAAAACTGTTGGCTTCTATAGGAAAGTGACCAAATCTACAGGGATATTATGTACAAATAGTCTGGTTAGAATAATAAATGCTGCATGTGCTTTATAATGTTAGACATGTGCAACATGGATTCATTTGTGATCTGAGTCTCAGATTTTAAAAAATGGATCTTTGCCTGCCTTGAGATAAACTTAAGTAAATAATGTTTGCCATCAACTCTAAATGAAGAATGACAGTTAAATTTTATAATCATCTTCACAGCTTCAGGACTTACTTTATATTTTCTCAGGCTCATGACCCAAAGGTTGCCATAGCAACTAGGAAATCCTACCTTATCAAGCGCTTACATTTACATTCCTTGCAGCAGCTCCCCGTTATGAATTAAATCCATCATGGTCTTCTATTCTCAAAATAAAAAGTTCTTAGGATTATCTTGCAGAAACAAGGATCAAATGCTTTGATAGAAAAACACCATGCAAAAGTTAATTCAATGGTGGTTTTCTTTAGGAAGAGATATAACTATGGCATAATAAACAGCTTATGTCCAAACTTCCTGGCTTCAAAGAAAACTTAAATAGAGATATTGTGCTAAAAATGACACATTTACTCCCTATGCATTTCATCTTAGAATTATCAAAGCAATAATCTGATTGGATATCATACCACAAACAGGTATACAAAGAATTAAAATTGTGTAAGATAAAACCCTGTTACATACGCTTATAAATATTAATAACATAACAAATGTTAAATTCACAACTCAAATTAAAAAAAGGAAACAAATGACAAGCTTCACTTTTATTAAGTGCCTATTGTCAGACAGTTTTTGTCCTTGATTTTGGAGTAGTTAAATTACCAGGTAATATGAGGTCACTGCCTTTTTGCTTATGGCTGTATGGAATCATTATGTAAACAATGGCAAAAACCTATCAACTGTCCATCTCTGACAGAAATGAATGGTAAATTATGACTACTCCTCTTAGTCACAAGTACAATTCAAGACTGCACAGACTGTCTCAACCATGCACGAAATAGACACCTAGACAGGAGACATAGAAGCTCACAGATGGTGAAATGAGAACTCACTCAACTAAGTGGGGAAACCAACTTCTGAGAGATAACACCGAAATCCAAATCACCCGGAGCCCTCAAATCAAAGCTTGACAAGTGCTTAATATGAGATGATGTTGAGATAGAAAAAAATTAGATTCTAGCCTCACCTGCCATGCAACACCCAGAAGGCCACAAGATTATCTGGACTCCTGCCTACGGGCGCCTTCCAGCTCAGACAAGTATCTGATTATATACACAGACCTCAACCCAGTTCGCATTATCAGAAAGCACTTTCCTCTCTCACTGGTTTTAATATGTATCTATCCAATTCTGTCTTTGAAATTCCTCTCCTTTTCTGTGTTTTCAGTCCTCTGCTTCCTCTAGTCAGTTTTTGCTTTTTTGTCCTTTTGGTCTCTACTGCTTATTCTCTGCACCTTGATTCTCAATCTTTTCTCTCCTCTCTAGCTTGGAGAGCCACAGCACAATGAGATAAGGGATAAATAGAGCATTGGCTGGCCACAATGAAAGAGGCATTCTTTAAAGTTCTGTTAAAATCCAGTTTCTTCTACCAGCACTAGCTCCCTCCTCCCCTCTGTGTTTTCTGCAGCTAATAGGGAACTAGTATCTTGACTTGAGATTTTTTTAGGATGGGCAACAGCCTTAGAATTCTAAGGCATTCAAAAAGGTGAAGCACCAAAATACTTTATTAGTGACTCATGTTAGAGCTAGAAACAGACCAGCCAGTCATTCGTTTCAGGATATTTAGTTCTGATCAAATTCTGCTACAGTGTAAAAAGAATATGCCAGCCTGGGCTACAGAGCGAGACTCCATCTCAAAAAAAAAAAAAAAAAAAAAGAATATGCCATGTAAACTTTCAGGCACTATAATATATAATTTTGATTATATAGAATTCCTACACATTTTCCTATATATCAAACCACTTTCAGCAATAAGCATTACTAAACTTCAAAATTTTAATTAAGGGATATTTGCAGAGGATATATACCACACACACACACACACACACACACACACACATACCGTCATGTGCCATATAACAATGTTTTGGTCAATGATGGACTGCATACAGGATAGTGGTCCCATAAGATTATAATACTGTATTTTTAGTGTACCTTTTCTATGTTTAGATATGTTTAGATACACAAACACCATTGTGTTACAATTGATTACAGTATTCAGTGCAGTAACATGCGTACAGGTTTGTAGCGTAGGAGCAATAGGCCATACTATAAAGCCTAGGAGTGTAGTAGACTACACCATCTATGTTTATGTAAATAGACTCAGTGATGTTCACACAATGACAAAATTGCCTAACAACACATTTCTTAGAATGTATCCCTGTTGTTAAGCAATGCATGACTACATCACCTACTAAGATTAATGGTCATCTACTCACTTCTAGCAGTTCTATATTAAAGACATAGATATAACAGAATTCTTCTAAAATTTTTCATAGTCATTGGTACAGAACAGAATCTGGGATAACATTTATCTAGTACTGAACGTGGTATAAGAGAAAGGCCTTGTTTTCTATGTCTTAGACTTCCGGGTCATTAACAAGTAGGATTGTGTAGGACTACTCTTAAAATTAGTAAGCAAGATGAAGTGTCACAGAATTATCTCCCCTGACTAAACTTAGAAGTTAACCAAAGCTTTAATACAAGGGAAATTTCTGGAAAGCTCTTTGATAAGCATGACTTCACTATCCAGTAATGAAATTCACAGACATGTCAATGTCCAAACATATAGACATGCAACAGTTTTAATTTGGTTAATGCACTTTCTATTCATTACTGGGCCTCAGTAAAAACTCGATATCCAACTTATGGATGCATTGCTTAATTACCCATGCTTCACTTTCAAATTGAGAAGGATTTAAGTTGTCCATCAATATTCCATGCAGGGTAGCATGGAGTGAGTGAGTGATGTAGTCAGAATGTCAAAGAGAGAGCTGGCATCATGCAATAGCATTCAAATAGTTACAGTATTTCAGGCCAATCAAATGCACATGATATTTATAACATATATTTAAATGCTTTCATTTCTACTTATCTGGATTTCCATATTTGAGGGCAAACTTAAGTTTCCACATTGCAGAGATAGTTGTTATAGATATGCCCCTAACCCATTTAAAAGTAAGTGTTGGCTATACTTGGTAATCAGCATTTACAATTACAAGAGCCCAAATAATTTTTAGCAATTTTCCTTTGCAAAAAGTAACTTGAAAAGTTTAAATGTCCCAGGTATCCAGATCTTGCAAATCAGAAAACATGTTCCTCAAAGGGACCTATCCTCTCTCAGCAAGAACACCAAAAATGCAGTTACCCTGTTTCCTATGAGACAAGAAGACAAAAAATATAAATACAAAATTTAAAAATCAGAAGAACATTTTTAAATGAATTTTCAACTATTTAAGCCAGGAAAAAAAAAATATATATATATATATATGCTGAGACCCAATTACTAAAATAGGCTAATGCCAAGGTTGACAGTGATCTTTATGTTGCTTCAGGTCTTTAGGATTAACTAGATCCTAAGTATTCAGGTTCTTCTTGTCCTGCTGTTGCACATCAGTCTTTGAGTCTATGTAAGGTGAGACTTTAAAACTTTGAAGAAAAATCACTGGAATTTATAGATTTAAAATTTTAAGAGAGGATTACCTTTCACAATAGTTGCCTTGAAGGGTCATATGTTTATTCCAACATTACTGTCATTGGTCCTGCATATTTTCAACTACTCCTTATATCCTTTCCTTCTATGACAATCAATGTGTCACACCTATACCCTAGTGTTTGATAGCTACAACTGGGCTTTCTTTTTTAAAATCCACAACTTCAGTGTCCACCTTAACAGCATGATTCCAAATAACTTTGGGCTGATTCCAAATAAATTATCCTAAAAAATAAAGATCTGCTACTTCTGAGACTATTCAAATAATACCCAAATAAAATTCACAAGGAGAAGTAGAAAAAAAATTTTTGCTCAACAGCCTCAATAAAATAAGTCTACATGAACTCCTAAAATGATTCCTGTAAAAGACACAAACTCTCTCTCTGTGTGTGTGTGTGTGTGTGTGTGTGTGTGTGTGTATATCACTCATAGGTGTGTATATATATATATATATACACACCTATGAGAAGGTTTTTGTCCTTAATTGGTGAAAGTTTCCAACATCACAACAGAATATTTCAGTACTCTGGAGCAAAACACTCCACTGTCTATTGAAGAAACCCAACTTGCTTTCTAGAAATAATTTTTGAAAACCTCATGATTGAAGCTCAGACATAAAAAGGGTTAAGTCAAAGGCAGTGGTAGATGCTTCATATATACAGAAATTGTAACCACTGTTAATTCTTTATCTGTCTTTTTACTCAATAAATATACTAGAAAAACTTTAAATGAAGACAATGCAAGATAATTTCCATTTCATGCAAAGCTGATCTGTGATATGGCACGTCTGCAAAACAGTAGTGTTAGAGTGATTTTTTTCACAAAGTAACCTATTTTTCACATTTTAGTTTTCTCGTAGAAAGGTATAGATATCTATGGTACCAACAACTTTTCTGTAGAGTGTGAGTGCTATTCCTGTTACACACAGTATAATAGTAACACAGCAATCTTTTACTTTTTTCCTTCCTTCCCTCCCTCCCTTTTTCCTTTCCTTTCCTTTCCCTCTTTCCCTCCTTCCCTCCCTCCCTTCATCCTTCCTCCCTCCCTCCCTCCCTTCCTTCCATCCCTCCCTTTCCTTCCTTATTTTATTCATTTATTCAATCAACAAATATTTATTGAAGCACTATGCTAGATATGAATGATGATTTACCTCTCTTAATTTTAAATTATCTATATAGACAATGAGTATTCAGTTAAACTATGTGTTACACAAAAGGTAGAGATTTGCTTCTACAAACTGGCAAGAAACATTTAAGCAAGATGTAAATGGTATTCACAATTTAGAATTAAGTCAGAAATGCTCTGCTGAAACCAATAATTTGGGGTTTCAATTTTCTTTTATATTCTTTATTCTTATACAAGCTATAAATCATATCACTACCCATTCATTCTTCCAAGATATGAGAACATTTAAATGAAAAGTTCTGTTTATTCTTTCTCCAAACCAGTGACTAAATTTAAATAAAATGTTCTTAAGGTTAAAGAAACATGCCATTTCTTTTAAAGTTGTCAACGCTCCAAAAAAGTTTAGAAAAGGAAAACCAAAAGAAAGATTGTCAATGCATAATTTTAAACATATAAGATTAGCTTTAACCCATGGGCTTTTTAATATACAAGCCAAGAATGCTGTCAAAGTAAAAATGAAAAGAATAGGTGAATTGGGGAAAAAAGTATCGTGAAATATTACTGCTTTTAAAACGGTTCATTTTCTTTGAGCTAGGTATTTATGCCAATTCAATCATTCAAAGAAGTTTAATAACGGATTTCAATCAGTCCTTTGTTTTTCTTTTACTTTTTGTCAGTTAGGAAACACGTATCTGTTTTTATGTTATGTAGAACTGAAATGGGAAATCCAGAAATGCCGAGCTTTTCTTGAAGCTAAGCAGTGAGGTTTGCATCTAGGACAGTCAGACACATGGACTAAAGGGCCAGCCGTGAGATGTTAGTTCCGGTTCTATCCCCCGGCCGTGTGACTTAAGGCAAGTCACTCAATCTCTGTGAACCTCCACATCCTCACCTATAAATGGGGATAACAACAATATCTATCTCAAATAACTGTTGCTGTGAGAATTACTGAGCACTTTCTATGTGCATAGCATGGTGCTAAATTCTACTGATACTCGAGAATAATCCCTAGCCTCATGCTTAGAAATCCAGTCATGGAGGGAAAGCAGATGCTGACACAGCTGGGTTTACTGTTGTTCTTTAGTATTTGAGATGGGGTAGTTAATGCAGAATGGCATGGTACAAACTAAAAATACCAACTTTGGCAAATGTACTATTCAAGACTTGTTAAGTTTCTCTATTACCTAAATGTTTATTTTTATTCCTTCGATGGGAAAAAAATAAAGGTAAGAAAGAATCATATATGCACGATGGGGAAAGGCAAGTAAAGGAAACATATTCATAAGTAAAAGGTCAAGGTTATGCCTATAAAACTTCATAAATAGCCAGAAATAACAGAGAAAATGGAAATGTCCAATTTATCTGGAATCATCATGACAGTTTTTAATTAAATTATATTGATGAAAATATTCCAGAAGTTAATAGAGTACCTGCCTTCTTAAACAGAGTGAAAAAAATAATAATTTTACCATTATTGCTGACTCAAGTCAACACTTGCATCCTGCTAAGTGTTATCAAGGAATTCTTCATGCTACTTGAGCCTACTTGTATCTAGCAGCACCCCCCAACTCTGTACCTCTCAAACCTCAAATTTTCTAGTTCCCATGTATGTATGGGGGGGTGGAGAAAAGATAACAAAGACAGATAAGATTTTGAACAAGTTCTACAGGATTGTAAAATTAAGACAGATTTGCTGTCGGTGAAACCCCGGGGCTTTTCTTTGAGTAGTGTGCATAGGCCTTAATGCAAAGACTGTGTGACACCTATGGCAGCTGGAGGCCTTTCTGGTTTACTCCTAAGCCGCAGCTGTGTTCCAGGTAGCTGAGGTTATCTGATACATGGCCTCCAGATAAGTGAGGTGGCACTGCACCTCATCACTAGATCTTAGAAAGAATAGAAAACAAATACCTGCTTCAATAAAAGGTTAGCAGAGAAATGCTTAAATACATTTCAGTGTCTGACCCAGAAATACACACTTTAAAATGAAGAAAAAAGAAGAGTAATATTTGTGGGTAACATAAAAGTCTGTGGCATCTTATCATTTCAGTGTTTTGTGCAAGCTTTCAGAACCATCTGATACCAGGAGATTCTATTTGTTGTTACAGGCATTACATGCTGGATAAACAAACAAGTACTACTTTACATAGTTCAACTACTTCGTGATATGATATCCCTACAAAGAGAGAGAAAGATTATCTTATTATCTCCTGTTTTCCATGACTGTAGATAGCTATCCTAACTTTCCCTGAGTTCTAGTCATGGTAATGAAAGACACTATTTGACGATTTCTGTCGAAATGAACTATTTAACAGTAAAATCAAGTAAAACAACAACAAATAGGTAATAAAAATTTTTAAAAGATTTAATAATCATGGAAGACGTCTCAGGAAATGAAAAAATCTACAACGATCCTCATGATTGTCATGACTAACATTTGTTGGGAGCTTACTATGGTGTGAGGCACTGGGCTAAGCACTCCACAAAATATAATCATCCCTCGGGGATCATCAGGGGTTCAGTTCCAGGACCTCTGCATATACCAAAATCCATGCATATTCAAGTCCTGCCATTGGTCCTGCAGAATGTGAGGATAGGAAAATCTGCCCCTAGTGTAGACCGTGGGTTTCATATCCCGTAAATACTATATTTGCCATTCATGTTTGATTGAAAAAAATCCAGGTATAAATGGACCCACGCAGTTCAAACACATGTTGTTCAAGGGTCAAATATATCTCATTCAGGCCTCCCAACAGTCCCAAAAAGCTAAGTCCCATTATGCCCCCAGTTTGACAGATGGGAAAACAGGCTGAGAGTGGGCATGGAGCTTGCAGAAAGTCAGAGACACCTCAGTGAGGAAAACTCTCTTTTTCATGTTATCATTTTTATCATTTTAGACCAATATACATGGTATCTGTATGTTTTCTTGATTTTTAAGAAAACTAAGATTAATCAGATGAGCAGTGATGGGCAACAAAAAGATTCCCTATATCCAGAAATCACCAATACCAACTTATTTGTCCAAACTTTAAAGGAATGTCATCAGATTAGTTTTCACCTATCGGCACAAGGATAAGATTTTCCTACTCAATGTATTTAATATGTTTCTTCATCTTTTAATTTGTTCATCAACTATTTAGTGACTAGGAGTTCCATGAACATGAATACAACACATTCCCGTCCTACAAGAAGCTCACAGTCTGGTACAGAAGAGAGAAATGTAAACAGAGTATTACAGAACAATGTGACAGTGTAGTGACAGCCATAGGAGCTGCTATAATAAGTGAGCCGGGAAAGGTGGCAATTGGTTAACTACCAGAAAAAGAATGATTAGTTTCTTGCTCCAATGCCGCTTTATTTAAATTTCAGGGACTCTATTTTTGGATAACTCAATTTAACATGCCCTAGACATTAAGCACATTCACAAGACAGTTAAAACAGACTAATATCACCACTAGAGAGGTGTGTTTTCTCTCCATCACCTCTAGCAAGCAATTCTACACTGAAGCATCTCATGTTTTGATTACCGGAGGGTAGGATGCTAAATAAATACACTGCTGGAATGTACTAATCCATTAGTAGTAGCCTCAATATAGCTGAAATCACAGGACTTATAGTAAATCATACTCAGGAAAAACACCTACTTCTACTTCATGCCGTATCAATATTAGAGCAACAAGATATATCAAGGAAGAGTATATTTAAAATAAAATTACATTCTACATAAAACAAAGAGCTTAGAACACACTTGATTGATTTCTTGTCCCCACCTTACCAAAAATAAAACTCCAGGTGATTTGTATTGGCACAAAACCAAAATTAAGTGTCTAGTTGTGCTAACACCTAAAACATCAGATGACTAATAATCTAAATCCTACCTTAAAAATAGAATATATTGCATAGCAAGAACTCTGACAACCCTTTGTTTGTGGGAACGTAGCAGAAGAGACTAAAGCCAGTCTAACCACAGGTTAAAATGTCCAAAGATTTTGATATATTTCACCCTAAAGCAGCCAAGAGATGGCTGGGAGTATAATTTCTCTAAACAATGTGAGCAGAAAATCAGACAATGTTTCTAAAATCTAATCAAAGCAGAGGAAAGTATGCTGTAAATGATTTTTTAGATCCTTGGAGAAAAAAAAAACTAGAAAAGCAGCAAGCAATAATATTGGCAACAATTTCTCATGTCACCTCAAGAATTGCTTCTAAACAAAGATCCTGAAGGGAAACCTAATTTTACATTAGGCAGTGACCATCAGCATATACTATATAATAATATTTGCAGACAACAGTGATTATGCCTTCTGGGTTTTCCTATACAGTGAATGACTAGCATACCAGTAGTACATACAATATCTTCCCAAATGAAGAAGAAATCACAAATCTACAAAAATGTCCCTATTCTACCATGTGTCCCAGACATAAAAAAGTGGAAGGAAATGAAGCAACCATTCAAATGTTAATTTATCACTTCAAAGGGTAAAAATATGTCTGTGCAAACTACTGAGTCCTTGACATTAACCAGAAGAAGGTAAGCTGAATGCTCTGCCAGTTAGTACAATTTATAAATAGCTTGGACCCAAAGAAACCTAAAGGGGGGAAATTATCATAGATAGTACTAGATATTATTTAAAGTCTAAGATCAACTAGCTTTACAATATAAAGCTGCTGGACAGCTAACTGACTGGGAAAAACCTAAGGTCCAAGAGACTGCTAACTGTCCACTAAATCCATTTTCCTCTTCTTCCATGCAGCCTGGCACAAGGCTGGCCTGCTCCTCTGCATTTCCTGGTCTTCCCTGAAGCGGGGTCAGCCAGGCGACTAAGTTCTTTTCCATGTGGGCAGAATTGATGTGTGCCATTTCCAGCCTAGTGCCTGAGGTTGCTCCTCCTGTACTTTCTCCTTCCTCCTTCTGGGAAGCTGAAACAGTAACACCAGAGTGCCTCCAGAGTGACATGCAAAAGGTGGCAGAGCTGCCATTAACTTAGGTCACTGAACAACTAGATGAAGCCAACCCATCCATAGATCTGGACCACCCACCCTAGACTAGTGAGTGAAGGTAAGAAAATTTCCAAACATTCAAGCTATTGTAAATGTGAAGCTCTCTATCCTCACTAACACAATCCCAGAGAACTGCTGATAGAGATGCAAGATATTGATAACAATATTATGGATAATGTTCTCAACTGACTAGTCATGAGTGACCATGCATCTTCAAGGTCAACAAGTGAGTCCACTGGGGAACTAGTACCCCAGGAAAACCTGTACAAACGCCACCACTATGCTCGTATTAGCAGAGGGAAAGGCAAGAGTAGAAGCCCTTCTCAGGATTCTTCACTCAAAGCTCATGGGGAAATACTGTGAAAGGGCACATGGGGGGACACTGGGGGAGAGAAGAACAGTCAGGAGCCACTAAACAATTAAGTTAATGAGCTCGGGTCCCTATTATGCATCAACATGGTTGCCTTTTCTTCTCATCCCCAGTAAATTATTTCTTCTATGAATATAAAAAGTTCACACGCATAAAATAATTGCCCCTGCCCTTCAACTTCAAAGGACATGCTTCACTATAAGTAATACAAGTGAGCCTTACTAATTTCTGAGAAACATAAGCAGAGTAGATAAGTGAGCCCTCAGAATCAAGAGTCTATGACTAAGACTATGCAGTATGACTATGTAGAAAGTGCTCATTCCTCGTTTGTATATGAAAGATTTATTTTAGGTGGCTTTCCAAGGTACTATGCTGGATGTCATGGATATGGTAGTAAACAGAGTGCCCATAATTTCTGTGCTCAGACACTCTTAAAACTGGAATTCTCTGAGCCAGCTTGTATGACAGACATAGCACCAGTGGAAGGCAAATGGTAACAAAAACACCCACCAAGCGTTCATTCACAAACCCTGCCAGCAGGAATAAAAACTGCAAAGATGATTTTGTTTCATAGGCAAAATGACCATACAAAAACAAATAACTTCTCAAGCTAAGTCAATTTTGACTGTGACATATTGGCATCTAGAACAAATGGTCACTTTCAGCAGAAGCTTGTTTCATAAATTAGGGGAGAAAGTTCATGAAATGTTAAAAATTCCAACCAAGCAACTGGGATGTAAATTGTGATCGGATTTGGAGTTGACACGTTAAACAGTTTAATCTAGGTACAGCTCTCAGCAGTGCTAGGCATATGCAAGAGAAACAGATGCTTTGAATCATTTCAAAGTACATCCCTGTCAGAAATGTCCTTTGTGACACTAAAATCAATTTCCTACGCCTTTACTAACTGTTCTACCAAAAGAAAAAGGAGGGAGGAAGAGAAAAAAAAGGACTCTTTTAATGGAAACGTCTTCCCACTGAGGCAAAATTAAACCCAAACCTATTAAACAGTACAAATTTATGTTCAATTTTTATAATTAGTGTTTCTTTGATAGAAAAGATGGCAAAAGGACAGGATGGGACACGACACATTTTCATTGTGGAGAACTACAAAGTTTTTGACTTGTCCTGAAGAAATGAGAGAAATCCAACAAGAGTTGTTAATGTATAAAAATGAGATTCCAGCTCCTGTCCAAACTAGCCCAGAAAACTGCATGAGAACAGATTCTGTTTTACTTGGGAATCTCAACTACTTATACAAACTCAGAAACTTTTTTTTCCCCTCTCATTGCAGATTGTTAAATTCACATGGCCACCTCTCCAGAAAACCTGCAGTGTATCTTTAAATATACTTTTTGACAGGTGCCTGTATCGTTGCCTTGGAAATTCAATTAAACACACATCACATATGTTTAGCCAAAAAAAAAAAAAATGGAATAATCAAAACACCACCAAACAAAACAAAAATGGGAACACAAACTGAGTATCTAAATACTATAGCGTGTCACAACTCTCCTGAAAAAGAGGAAAAGTTTCTCAGTCCCACTACCTGGAGCAACACGAATTAAAAACACAATTGTTTCTTTCTTTCCCATTTTAGTTATCTTGACCTACCACAAAGCCCATACTTTTGCTAAAAAGGGAATAAGTCATAATACAGTGCAATTTTCATTCAACTGGGAGGGTGTTTTCTGCATGCTTCTCTCCTCTTGCTTCCCGGTGTTGGTTTAATATGGAGCATTCCAGCTCCTCCTGTAGACAGGCATCCTGCGAAGAGTCTCCAGAGAGTCATATCCCACCAAAACCCAAATAATTTGGCCAGCCATGAACATGCCTGAGAATAATGCCCATTTTCCAAAGGATTTTGTCATTTACTGGACTAAGATACACACATTTTTTAAAATGCTCAGTATGTAAGGTTTTTCAAGTTATTTGGCTTTGGGGGACTCACCCCTACTATTTAGGGTCAGCAATTACCTTGCATCCTATAATGTCTGATCACAATCAAGTCAGCTAGAAACATCTCCACAGTGAGTTAGCTATGTCTAATGAGAAAAGTTCATCTTGGGAGAGTGAGTAACTCAGTTGCAAAGGAGGCATTTAAACATCTGAACAAGGCTCTGTTCACCTTGTTCAGCTTGTTGATAGTTTTCATTCTTTCCACAATGGCCAAAGAATAGAAAAGGAAGAGGCAGAGGTTTGGGCTACAGTGTGTGATAGTTCCGAGGCGGAATTCCGATCCTTCCATTTGGCACCTCCTCTTGCTAAAGCCAAGAGGAGACATGGGCACAAAAGTAGCAGCAAATGCAAAGAATCTTATCCAGACACAAGCAGCAATAAATTCATCCTTAAAATGTATAGTGTTACCGTGAATAGTCATTTTGAGCTAAAACCCAGAAAACTGTTATGTTCCTTTAGTGACGCTATCTGGTCACCTCTAATGCAATGATACAAATGCCAAAAATCTCTCCTTAAGGCCCTGAGAAGACTTGGACCAGAGGAAAAGATTTAGCATATGAGACAGCAAGAGAAGCCATCTTAAGGAAGTGTTCTACTAACATCTTTTACAAGGAATAAAACTGACTATATAGCAAGATAAAGTGAGAGAAAATGCAACGTGCTATACTGACTTCCTAGTCAGCAAAAGTTAATGAATTGCAGATCACGAGCAACTCAATGTAAAACCACAGTGTGTGCATGTTATGAAATTACTCCACAAAAGATTGCTTAAGCAAATTTACAATGAAAAACAACATCAAAACACCAAGGAAGTGGAATGAATATAAATACGAAGCACACTTAAACACCTAGGACATTTATTTTAAGAAGGCGGAAAAAACGGCTCCTCAACCTTCAATGACTTTTAAAAACTATAAAGGAGGATCAGATAAGCATCTAGGTCTTCTTCATAACAATATATATTTTACACAAGCAAGTAAGCCCAGATACAGAAAATTGATCTTCAATTGCCCCTGCAGCCTTGCAGACAGCATGCAAAAATCCAACCGTGGACAGTCTTTAAAGGGTCAAACTGAATACACAACACCTGGAGATGAACACGAAAAATTTAAATAGGGCCTGTGGGTCTCTAAAGAGCAGTTTTTAACTGGCCTATAAGCTAATAAGAGTGGTTATAAACTGTGAACAACCAATGCCCTACACGAAGGAACATTTATCACACTAACACGCCTGTAAAGTGGAGAGGGTTCATCCACATGCTCTCTGCAGCTTCTATTAGAACGTTAATTGTTCATACTGAAGAAAAGGAGACATAAGGAATGGCTTTTACCATCACGTGTTAAGTTTATTTTTGTTCCTCTGACCAGTTCCCAAGGGGCAGGAGGCTAATGACTGTTCTTCATCATCAACTGCAAAGGATATTTACATCCATCCTGTAACCATGACAGCTGTGTCACTAATTCCCTAACTACCTCCACCACATGAACCAATCATCTGGCATGAAGCTGCAAGATGGAGTGCCCTGCAGTCATTATTCACCAAGCACTTTCATTAACAAACTGCCCTTAATTACAGTGGTAATTGCAAAATTATTTCATAGCAGCAATTATTTTTCTCAGCCAATCCAGGCTATATAAGTAGGACATTGCCTATGAAAATGGCATAAGGCCAAGTAATCTATGACCAAAGATATGTTTTAATTGTACTACCAACTTAGTTTCAAAATATTGCATCAGAGGGCTTTGAAATTACATTATACATCCTATTACACACTACACACACACACACACACACACACACACACACAATAAAAGTAAAGCTAACCTTCCCTACTTATTTTTTTTAATTTGAAAGCAAAATGCGTACATAACATTCACATTAAGTACCTAAACTAATGCTACTGTCTAGCAAAGTAAAAATAATGAGTCTCTATATCTAAACCTATACTTTCAGAACTGCTGAACAAACTAACCCATCCATTAGAAATGCATCAATTCCCTTCCATCCATTCCTTTTACTTAAAAGCCCTTCGTTCTTTCATATTCATACATTTAGATACTCAGCTATGATAAGAAATACTGGAATACCTGTCCATCTGTTGGCCTCATAAATAAAATCACAAAGGAGTTTCCAGAAATCACATCCTAATGTTCAAAATTATAGGCTGAAACACATCTATGCTTAGTTTCCTCAAGTTTCAACTTGAAAATTCGTAAAAATTTACCCTGAAGATGAAACTAGAGTCATAATGTCCTATTTGGGGAATAGTGAATTTTCAGTGAAGTTAGAGTACAAGAAGTGTGTGATCTGGAGACTAGGGAGATGTGGCGGAATCAAGATTAAGCTTTTAATACTTCAATCAGACTACATGAAGACATGAATACTATTCTAAGGAGTTTGGATGTGATCTTGTAGATAGTGAAGACGGGTAGAAGGCAAGGAAAGATGACGGCTTGAATTCAGATACGGGAATGGAAATGGAGGGACAAGTTTGAGAAATCCATGAAGAATTTTGCAGGCAGAATTATACTTGATGACTTTTAGGTACAGACAGCAATAAAGACATACTCAAAGATTGCTCTGAGGTTTCCAGCCTGTTGGAATAGGTAGGTGGTGAGCTAGGTAATGCAGTAAGGATCTGTAATACACATAAGCATTTTAAGTATCTATAGGACATTAACCTAGAGATATTAAGGAAGTAGCAAGAATAATAATTAACATTTATTGCTTACTTATATGCCAGACACTGTGCTTAATGCATTATATGCATTAACTCACTTGATACTCAAAACAATAGGATCTTGAATTAGATCCTGTTTTTACAACCATTTTTTATAGACAAGAATGCTGAGGCTCAATGAGATGAAAGGATCCAAGGTCACTATGGCAGAGAATGCTAGTTGCCTCACAAACATCCATTCTTCTTTCTGTCCTTGGTAACAGAACCCCTCTTTTTAAGCTGTGCCTGGTAAAGATAACATTTCCTACCTCCCTCACATCTAGGTCATGAGCTTTAAGAGGAAGTGTTGCGTGGGTTGGAAAAGAAACTGGTTGTGCCAAAAGCAGCTCTTCTTTGTCTTTCCTGCTGCCTAACAGGCAGCAGCACTGGCAAAAACTCCATCTTGGACCATGAGATGACCATCAGTAAAAAAGTCACCAACTGAGGATGGTGAAGCAGAAAAAAGAAGGCTGAATTCAAGATTTTTGTGGAAGCACCATACGTGCCCTGGATTGCCCATCTCTCCACTTCTTTCTACTTTAAATAATGTTTTAAAAAACATTATTTAAATCACTATTTTGGTGATTTTGCAGGTAGAATTATATTCCCATTTACTCATTATATAGGTACCCTGCCAATTCTTTGGGAGCCAAAAAGTACTCCTAAAATAAACAGTCACACGGCTAATAAGTCACGTAGTCAGAAACTGAAGGCAGTTCTTTGATTCTAAATTCTATGATCTTAACAAAAAGGGCCAGACTGCTCAAGGGAGCAATTGAGGCTATAGGTACAGATTGTCAATTATTGGTTTATGTACATCCTGACAGATGTTGTTACTTCCTCTAATACAAAAATAATGCAAAAATGCATCATTCAAAAAAGGTATTGCCATTAGATAAACCATGTAGATGATGAAGAATTAACATCTTACCAATTTTAGAGAACTAAAATAAATAATCCTAACAACCCTAAAATTATCAAACATAATTTTATCTTCCTGTTGGGGCCTTATTTGGAGATTCTGTAGTGTATTTTTATTAAACAGAGCTACAAAAAAATCGGCAAGTTACCTATATGCTGAGTAAACGGGAAACAATCTAGTTCCATCTTTTCTAAACTTTATTTATTTATTCATTCATTCATGTATTTTTTAGAGACAGTATCTCGCTCTGTCACCCAGGCCGGAGTGCAGTAGTGCGATCATAGCTCACTGCAGCCTAAAATCCTGGCCTCAGGCGATCCTCTCACCTCAGGCTCCCGAGCAGCTGGGAGTACATGCCACCATGGCTGACTAATTTCCTTAAAATTATTTTTTATAGAGACGAGGTCTCTCTATGTTGTCCAGGCTGGTCTGGAACTCCTGGGCTCAAGCAATCCTCCCGTCTTGGCATCCCAAAGTGCTGGGATTACAGATGTGAGCTACCATGATGAGCACTTTTCTAAATTTTAATTAGATGAAAATCTAGTTCTATAAAGAAATGAAATACCAATGATTTTGCAGTAAAGCATGTTTCCATATAAATAAAATTTGCAATTTCTTGTGTCAGAATCTTGAATAATTTATAGGATAAAATCAGTTATTATTTTGAATTTCCTATGCAGATAGGTGTTTATAGTATTTCCCTATACTGTATTATAAACCAGTATTAACTAAAAGGTTAATAATGTTTTATTCCTACAAGAAGAATTGCAGAATTAGTGTTTAGACCTACAGTTTTATCTTCAATGCTTGAGTATCCTGAAGTTGGTGGGAATCCAGAAAAAAAAAAAGTTTCATTTAATTAAATATAAGTCAGGTCTCCAAGCAGAAGGATGATGTAGTCACATGTTTTTGTGATGAAAATACCCCTAAAAATAGAAGGAAAGAGATTCCTTATGTAATATAGGGGAAAAATCAATATAAAATGTGGGTTTTTCCAAAGAGAATTTATATTCTCCTGTTAAAATATTATTTTTGAATTTCATTATTTTACTAGAATTCCAAATCTAGTCTTCCTTTGTAGCAAAGACATGAGATAAATAATTATTCTATCTAAAGCAACCATTGCTATATTTTGTAAAATCCACATAGTTCATACTTTTAACAACATTACAGCCAGTAAGTGAATGTATTTCATTTTGATGATTTCATATATTGCATTAATGAGAAAAATTGAGGCATATTATCTTAGGTTCTAAAATATTGTGCAATTGTAAGTTTTATGCCAGCCTTCAAGTAATTCAGTTTTTCAAAGATAGTAAAGGGAAAAGAATCTGACCTAGGCAGTCTATCCCTTAACAATGAAAGTAATTCTACTTACCAATTTGGTTTTCTTCCTAAAGAGTTGCAAGATTGGTAAGAAGTACTGGATTAACTCTATATTATCTCTGCTTAGGTATGTTTTCAACATCCTATGGAGTAAATATGCTAGTGGTAAGTGCACAGTACTTGGGGAAAAATGCATTTTGTAGGACACTCTAGGCCCTCTGTAGTGACTAAAAGCAAACATAATAAAACAACCTGACATCAATTCAGTATTTCTCCATTTACTGAAACTTCTCTGAGCACTTTAATACATGCAAATCATATTCCAATGCATTTTTAATGTTTGACCCAGATTACACGAAAGAATACTAGGGTAATAAAAATCTTCATATACTTTATTTGCAAATATTGGAAAGTAAAGATGGGTAGTAAATGGCTACAGCCGTTATGTCATGGATTCCTCTCCTTAATATCCTAGTTCCAGTAGCTGCTAACTACTAAAACTCCTGTGGAGTTCAGGTCCTTTTCTAAACTGTCCTCCAAGATTTTCTGACTACATTATTACAATGTGTTTGTCTTCCTGGTAATTTTGCAACAGTGGCGTGATACTCCAGGCAAAGCATTCCATAGGGTTAGAGTGCTGCTTGAGGAAACCAGTGGAATGCAATCATCACCCACAAATGCACCATCTGCTGTGTCTTACTGCTTAATTAAACTAAAACTGGTAGGTTCTTAATTCTCACAGCTCATAAAAATAAAGGTCACAACAGAGCACTGGCATCATGCATCATCCACATAACATACAGTCGCTAAAGTACATTTTGCCAACCTATCACTCAAAAGAAAAAAGAAATATACCATCTAGCTGGCGTCAAAGCACAGAATGATTCTATCAGACTGACATCAGATCAATGACAGGACAGCTGAACTGTCAGCCTAAGTGAACAGGAGGACAGAAGCTTCAATTCGTGGCCATTGTTCTTTACCTCTCTCCTGTAGCACTTGCCAAAAACAATCCTTCCACACACTGTAACAAGACCACTCGTGAATTTGTTTGTTCAATCATCCACTCATTCATTCTTCAACCATTTATCAAAGGCTTACATATGCAAGGCATTGTGTTTAGCATTTTGGAAGACACAAAAATGAATCTGACGCAGGCTGTTAAGCATATACAGCTGCCAATGACTTCATTAGATATAGTCTTATGTCAAGTATATATAACACTTTTATGGAGATATAATTCATATATCACAGAACTCACCTGTTTATAGTGTACAGTTCAATGACTTTGAATATATTCATAGAGTTGTGCAACTATCACTACTATCTAATTTCAGAACATTCTCTTCATCCCAAAAAGAAACTTTATATCCACTGATAGTCACTTCTGGTTCGCCTCTTATCCCAACCCGTGGCAACCACTAATCTACTTTTTGTCTCTATAGCTTTTGACTTTTCTGGAGATTTCACATAAATGAAATCATAAAATATGTGGCCTTTGGGCTTCTTCCACTTAGCATAATGTTTTCAAGGCTCATCCATGTCATAGAATGTATCAGTACTTCATTCTGTTTAATGGTTGCGTAATATTCTGTTATTTGGCTATACCACATATTGTTTGTTCATCAATAAATGGATATTGGATATTGTTTCCATTTTTTTGATTATGAATCATCCCTGCTTAATAATATAATGCATTACATTATAAATAATAATATAATATTCATGTACATGTTTTGCACAGACACGTTTTAATTCTCCTGGGTATATAACTAGGAGTGTAACTGTTGTGTCATATTGGTAACTCTATGCTTGACACTTTGAGGAACTGTCAAGCTGTTTCCAAATTGGCTGCACCATTTTACATTACCACTAGCAACATATAAGAGCTCCAGTTTCTCCATATCCTTGTCAACACCTGTTATTGTCTTCTTGTTAAATTCTAGCTATCCTACTGGGTCTGAAGTGGTACTTCACTGTGGTTTTGATTTGCATTTCTCTAGTGACTAATGGCATTGAACATCTTTTCATGCTTATTGATGATGTGTTTATCTTCTTTAGATAAATGTATTATAATTTTGAGCAACTTTTAGTCAACTATTCGGTAGAAATATATAAAATATTGTATCTATAATCTTCCAGCACTGTGTGACATTTCCCAACAAGCCACTGATGTATTTTCTTACCCTAAGTTACTTTTGATGTTTAAATAAAAACTCTAAGATAATATCTAAAACCAGTCTTGAAATTCCACAGCATAAACATGGAAGTGGGGTGCAGGGAAAGTAGATGGGTGAAATTTCACTTGATTAGATAGCTCTTTCTAGCCAACAGCCCATTTCCCAAATCTACTAAAAGTCAACTAGTAAGAATTTCTGGAGCTAAATGATGCGGAAGAGGTTGAGTTACAGAAAATTCAAGATGATGAAATGATGGTAAGAAGAATAAAGCACAGATTCAGTTTCAGATGAAGGAAGTTCACGAAACGTTACAAAGGTAAAGCAACTTATTTGGACTTAGTAGTAGAGAGGTGTTGAACTGAGAAAGATAACTAAGAATTATTTCCTAGGACAGTGGATGATTATAGTATCGCTTGCCCAAAGGAAGAGGGAGGAGGAAAAGGAGAACAAAACAAAACGTAAATATTCTGAAGGAGGATTCATTATGTGGCAGTGGTTTCTGCTGCTCTTTTAAGAGGAGAGATACGAAAAAGGAAAAAAAAAAAAGTGGGATCAATCTAATTTGGGCCACAATGGACTTGGTCTAGGATATGTTAAGTTGCTGTTCCAGGAGAAGCAGATAGCCATACAAAGAACCCAGAAGGAGTTCAGGAGAGGATCTGGGTTAAAGATGCTGTGGGAAAAAGAAAGAGCCACAGGCATTCATATATGAAGGAGAAAAACCCTGCATTCTTCTTAACTCCTTTCAAGCCAACTCACTCTTGTTTCAAACAATGGGGAACAACTTAACTCAGTGATATAGTTATGAGATGCTAATGAATGAAAATAATTGATTCTAATTATCTCTTCAACACCCTTAATGTACCCGTAAAAGTAATCACATGTCTTCCTTTAGACTTCTCTGAACTGCATCATGCATCTTGAACTTTCTTTGCTATGTAGGTTTTTAACTACCTAACATTTTTCTCTAAATAAGGCAAAAGAAAACAAAATCAACAACATCAACAATAAAAATGATGATTTTGGTGCCATGCTCTCTCCAACAAACAAAAGAAGGCAAAATTGTGAGTAAGTCAGCACTAGTACTTTTACATGCTATATACTACAGAGCCCCAATCGGTAAGTCTGTTCTCTCTTGTTGGTGTGTTCGTGGAAAAGAACATGACAGCAGAAACAGACAGAGACCTTAAAAAGCAATTAAGGGTGAGGAATCTCCTGCCAAACAGCTAGTGCAGATAGAACCTTTTCTTCCATAGACCTTAGCCTCATTCCATAGCCAAGAAAAAAGCTTGATAAATACTATATGATGAACAAGTGATAAAATGTATAAAAACTGCGATGAGGAATGACCAATGGAAGAAACCAGGTGTCACTCAGAGACTGAGTGGGTTATTGTGCTTCCTGTTTCCTGTAGGTGGCGACAAACTCCTTGAAGAGGAAACAGAAAGCAAAGTTAAAAGGCTGGTGTGTGTCTAGATTGAAGCGCTGAAGAATTTGCTTGAGAGTTGGCAATTTCTCCTCCAAGGCAGCTCTTCTTCACTGGTATTGGCAAGCTCTAGATTTCAGAAGTGATTCACCTGCGCCACGTTATTTATGAGCTGCTTTTTCCCCTTTAAGTGCCCAGCTTCACATTAACAGTATGAACAGCTTCACTGCAGAGCTCAACCGTGCCTATCACGTAAATGGAAGGTTCGTTAGAGCATCTATTAAGAGGATTTTCAAAGGCAAAATAGCATTTTAAAGCCATTAGCATCCCTTAAGTTCTATAGAAGAAATGTTAACCAACTGCTATTTAAAACCATCAACCAGAAATGGCCATAGGTCACCAACAATCCCTTAGATTATCTCCCCAGAGGGCTCTCACACCTCTATATGCTCCCGATCTTTCAGGCCTTGTAGTGAGAGAGCATCAACGTGAACTCTAGGAGCACGTCCCAGACGTGCATCTCCTGGAGGCAGCCAGGGCTTGGACATCAGTCATCAATAAGGGTCCTTGCCAAAAAGAAGTGGTGGGGGGCAGCAGGAAAGCAGGGTGCTTGGTCAAACTGCAATAAAAGCAGGATGAAGAGAAGGGTGTGTCTTGGAGGGCATACACAAGCAACCAAGAATTAGATCTTATGTCCTAGGTTTTCACTATTATTCTCAAGATACAATTTTTATAACAAATATTTTCTGCCAACCTCTTAAAATTTTTAAACAACAGCAGCCAAGACTGACTTCTACTCGGCACAATTACATAAGACCAAGCAGTGTGTTGCTCTCATTTTTGAAGCTTTGTTTTAAGCTCCCTCATTAATCTTTCAGTCTTTTCTCATCTCTGCCTGACTATAACTGCCCTGAATTTATCCAAGCCTGCAGAATGCCAGGCTCACTGGAGTCTAAATCACCAAGAGCTGAATACACAGTCCACTCATGGGACTCTACACTTCCATCAGAAAGAACCAATCACAGCTTAGGAGAGGTAAACCTCTTTTTAATTGTATTCTATGATACTAACAGGCATTCATTACACATGGACCTTAAAACAAGATTTGCTCTTGGCTGCTCATAATTGTATTTCTACAGCAGTTTAAACCGTTGGCACCTGCAATTGCTAGCAGGCCTAGGCTAAGAATTTCTATTATCCCAGTTTCAAGGGTTACATTTAAAATAAAACTCAGAGGGGCAAAACATTACATACACACATATTTACACAAATTAAATACTATGCACAAGTCAATACCTTCTGCACACAAAACTACATTAAACTCAATTAGCCCTAAGCAAAACTACAGGAAGCAGGTATTCTATGAACCAACGGAGCTGTTCTGTATAATAAAGAATATAAAAGCAGCTAGATTATAGAGTTCTGCAGAACTGTCAATAAATGCTTTTAAAGAAATCATTATCAACACTGATTTCTAAATTAATTAACTTAAAATTAACACAAAACAATCCAACCCAAGGTATTTATATATAAATAACCTCTGGTTTCTGGGTTCTAATAAAGAAGAACTTTTGAAGCATGTATGTATGTGTATGTGTGTCATTCAGGGCTTTTCCAGAAGGATATTCCTAAGTCACAAAACAGCCACCAGACTAAAGTACAATGTCCTTCTTGTTATGGTTTACTACTTGATTATGACCAAAATTAAATTATACAAATATTTCACTAAATATCTTCTCAAACCTTATAAATATTAATATGAACTCAATTTCCTATGTGCCCAGCATTTAAAAATCCATTTAAAAATCTCAGAAACTAATTTAAGATTTCCATCTAGAATACAAATTAGCAAGTCCTCTTCCTAGCTCTGTTTTGCTCAGCACCCATATCTGCACATTTAGTACTAAATGTCAGTTGGTAGCACTTAAAGATGATGAATATTAAAAGCATGCTTCTGCCTGCTAACATATTAGAGCTTGGCAACCATTGAATTTGTCATAAGCTGCATTTTCAGTGAACAAACGACTGCCTTTAAAACACCAAAGCATTCGGTAAACTCCCAAATTGTGAAAAGGGTACACAGAGGGTGAAATTTTACTATCAAATATGTTATCTGAGAGGACTGTATAAAATTAGAATCTTTTTTAAAACTTACCACCGGGCTATACTTTCTAAAGTACTTACTTGAAGATTGTATCTGGATAATAAATAATAATAATGCCAGCTACTATTAATCAAATATTCATTATGTGTCAGGCACTGAGCTAAACATTTTACATATAAAAACATACATACTATTTTTATATACATGTTATCTTATCTACTTGCCATCTTTACATGCATACTATCTAATTTGCATATGTGCAGGCTACCTTTACATATACGCTATCATGTCAGATTCTCTACTCCATGACATAAGCAGTGTTGTTACTTCCAGAGGGGTTAGGTGACTTACTTGAGGTAATAAGCAAATGAAAGGCAGATCAGGAATTTCGACCCAAGCCTCTCTCTCCAATCCCCTATACACTACCATGCAGCCAATTTTCCAGCAGATAAAACCTCCTGCAAGGCTGGCACTTGCGGGATGCTGCTCACTCTATCGGGTCCAGGAGCCTAATACCTGTTTATTTTAAATCTGCATTAAGAATGCTTTTTCATATACAAATCTTGTTTCTGCAAGGATTCATTCATCCAGAAGACTGAACAAAAAGTACACTTTTGATTGGAATACATAAGAGTTTTTTTTTTAACTTAATTAAAATGGCTTGTTAGAATCACCTATTCAGCATTTGGAAAACCAGCTGGGTTATTCTGTCAAACCTCTACACAACACACCTACTGAGACCCAACTTCATGACTAGAAGGCAGGAGAGTATAGTGATGTGGACTGAACTCTAGAACAAGAGTTCAAAATACGGCACTATCTCCTACCAGCCTCATGTGACCAAGCCTCAGTGTCCTCATTTGTAAAGTGAAGATTGTATTAGTACCTACTTCACAGATTACTGCAAGATTAAATGAAATTATGCATACAGAGTACCAGATACATTGTAAGTACTCAATAAATGTTAGCGCTTGTCTGTCTTTGGGGTGTCAGATTCTATCAAAACAACTTTACTACCTTCTTTGGAATGCTATATGGTTCTTTGTCTGTCTATTAAGAACTGTCTTACACTCAGTATTTTTTTCTGCTTCATTTTATGCCATCAGCTCTACCGCTCTACAAAGCATTCTAAATTATCCTTCTGTTTCTCTGGGTTTTGAGAGATTCAAATCCTTTTTCCAAATTATATACTAAGATCTTCTTTCTGAGTTAATTTTCCTAGCTGCTTAATCACTTCTGTTGACCTCCGATTTTTTTTTTATATCAGATTGGCCAAGTCTCTCTGATATGAAGACACCCAGAACGAAAATCCAAATTAACCTTTTGAGGGCCTAAAACTTAGGACTTATTTACGTCTCTTCTGATTTCTGCCTTCCCCAGCATTTACTACCATGTTCATTACTGCATGCTAATCTCAACATTTCTTCCATGGCTTACATAATGACAGATGTTTTGTCCAGATTTCACAGTAAATTTAATGGGCGAGAAACAGTGCAATTATTTATAAAGTTATTGTTTGTAGATGAAATTACATTTTCCAAGTGTATAGCTAGTTAAGTTATACATGTCTTCATTCCTTCAACAAGTATTTCTTTAGTGCCTACCATGCACCATGACAGGTGAATCACATACTTTTTGCAAAAAGACAAGGCAATACCTTATGTGCTAAATTCCCTTGTCTGCCTACATCACAGAGTTGTTTGAAAGGAATGTTGTAATTTTTATGAGTCAAATTAATTATATACTATCTAAATATAAATATATATATACACACGCACACTATATATATATGTGTATATATATGTGTATATATATGTATATATATATGTGTATATATATGTATATACATATATATATATATAGAATCCAATCTCTTTTGGGGGGACAAAAGAACTTTTAGTGGGCTAAAAAAGTCCCTAAGAAAGTTGTCAGTATATCTTATGGGATGTGGTAAGAAGATGTACATGAGAGACAAGGAAAGAAAGAAGAACAGTTCTGTTTCTCTGTAGCCGGATGAGATTATGGCATTTTATTTGATTCTGTTTTCTATATTAACTTTTATGGGCATCCTGTTTTTTACTTCTATTAGTTATTTTTATAACTTTAATAAACCTTCAATAAATTTTAATGAACTATTAAATTTAAATAAATTTTATTAAACTTTCAACCACCACTTAACTACTCTCAACATAATCCCAAAAGATCATTTTAGTCTCTCTTAAATGAAGGACAAATAATTTAGCACTTTTATACTTCCTTACTCTACCTGCAAGTTTTCTAGTTAGAAAAAAAAATCTGAATATTTTTCAATGTTGATTAATAATTAGAAAGTGTACCTGGAATGTAGTGTGGTATATCAGTACCCAAGATCAGGTCTTTTAGAACTGAAAAATGTCCCTCCAATAGTTATCACAGTGGATTGTTTTGCTGTGTCTTCCACAATAATCTCCATCAGTTTTAGGTTGGATCTGTGTCTTTCTAGGCTTTTTTGTTGCAGTCTGGGCATTTTTTTGAAGTCTATCCTCTATCACTATGAAACGGGAGAGTTCCCTGACCCCCCTCACAAGACATGCAACAGGGGTGTGGCTCGTCTGTTGGGCTGCTGCATGCTCTAACACCTTATGGGAGGGGGAGCACACAGAAGGGCAGGTGCAGGAGCCGGGGAGAGCACTTTTGGGAGCTGATCCCATAGTAGCGTCTAGGGCTGGGTGCCCGTGACTCCCAAAGCCCCAGTGGGTGTGCTACAGTGCTCTTTTAGCTCTGCTGTCCACAGACAGCTTAAGTGTTAACCAGCTCAGTGCCCTCTTGGTACCTGGGATTTTGTCCAGTGTCCAAGAAGAATCAGGTCACACAGACAAACTGAAGGATGGTAAATGCGGAGGATTTTATTGCTGGATGGAGATGGCTCTCAGCAGGATGGATAGGGAGCCGGAAAGGAGATGGAGCGGGAAGATGATCTTCCTCTGGAGTTTGACCATTCCATGGACCATCTCCTCTCCAGCTATCCCCAGCTGAACTCCTCTCGGTGTTCAGATGTTCCTTCTCTTCTCTCCTTCTCTACCACGTCACTGCTGCTCTTCTGCTCCTCTGCTCTTCTGCTTGTGGAGCCTAGGGTCTGGGGTTTATATGGGTACAGGATAGAGGGGTGCAGCAGGCCAAAAGAGAACATTTGGGTGTGAAAACAGGAAGTCCTGTTCTCATTTAGAGCCATGGGTTTCTGGGCTTGAGAGTGGGGCCTTTGCCAGGGAACCACCCTCTTTTACCCAGTATTTCCCTGCCTCCTGTCCATATCAACTGGATGAATTTTCTAAGTACAGTCAGCTTTTTATTTACAATGGAGATTTATTTTATCTACTATAATTTTCACTTCGTTTTATTCTTTTTAAAGTTCTCATTTACTAGATGTAAACTCTTCAGGTATCTTACTGAGTTTACAAAGCACAGCTTTTATAACTGTCTCATAAAGGAAAATTGTTTCAGAAAGATATTGCTGCAGATCTCTACAATTTCTTTGCTTTGGAGCTGCAGAATTTTGTTTTAATTATTCATCTATAATGTGTGATTTCATTTCTTTTTTACATCCTTGGGCTTGGTTTGACCTTGGCCTTTAGTGCTTACCATGCTTCAGGACTGCTTTTAAGTCCTTCCCAACGATTGAGTTACATTAATGAGTTTGATGCGTGTCTTCAGTACCCAACATGTGCTAAGTACTATTCTGAGTGTTGGGGATTCAGTGAGAAGGAATATACTCCCACCCTCATCTCTTCCTTCCCCACCCTCATGGAGCTCAGTCTAATGGAGGAGACAAGAAAATCCTACACTAGTGACCGCATGTAGACGTCTTTGCAGATGCCCTTGTGTTCAAAGTGGAGCCAAAGGATGATTGGAAGCAGGTGCAAATCCTGGTTCTTGACTTTCAAGCACCTAAATTCACAGACCAGCCCAGAACCTGGGTGGGAGCCAGGAGTCAGTTCAATGAGAACCACCTCCACCCAAGAAGGAGCATGTTAGCAGCTGTTACAGAATCAACTAACACTCAGCAGCACTGGACATGAACAAAAGGGTACAGGGTACATGTTGAGCAGGATTCCATGACTAGTGGCTGAAACAGGGAAGTGAAGAGGAGGAATCAGGTTGCAGGTTGGGGGGCCTGGTGAAGAAACGGCAACTCCATCTGATTTCAACTACAGGAAAGAATGTAAAAATTCCTTCCAGAAACTAGAATGGGCTCAGTGCCTGCCACTCATTGTAGTTACTTCTGGGGATTTGGTTTTTTTGAGACAATTTCATGGGCATTTTAAAGGAAATAAGGAAGACATTGTTCATAGCACTTCCACTCACTCTGCTATATTCTTGGAAGTCAGTGGTTCAATCTCAAATTAAACTTCTCACTAACATTATGTTCAGTTATTTATGCTCTCTAAACAATGAGTGTTTTTAGGCAAAGATTTCCTAGCCTTTCCAACTAAACAAAAGAGCCTCCCACACACAGAGACACACATTTCCATTCTGAAAGCCCTGCAGGCAGATCTGTGAAGCTTGCCATCATAAGACTCATTTAATTTTAAATTAAATTAAGGGCCCAAAAGGTAAGCACATTGTTCAGGTTATTCCAACTAATGTCCTAAACTTACAATTTCAATGATTCTCCATCCAGTTGATGACTCCTACTATATATAATAAAGAATTCATGAACCATGGAAACAACTGACAAAAATAAAATAAATAAATATCACTCATGGCTTAGAAGAAAAAGCATTCACACAGTCCAGTTCCTAACTCAAATAGAGTAAATATGTGCAGAAAATTTTTATCAAGATTTTACCAAGTCTATACCTGTAAGGAAAAAAAATGGGTACAAAGGCTGATTTTCTAATAGAAATAAAGGTATGAAGGACCCAAATTTCTGACCACTATCAGGTGACACACATACAAATATTCACATAGGCAGAGCTAGTTGAGATGTAACTAAAATGAAATATAGACCTTTTTTTTTGTTTTTTTGAGTTCAACACAGCCCTAAGCTTCCCCTCCCCTGCGTGGGGAAGGATCTGATAGATTTCTTTATTCTACATACATTTATTGATCCAATTGTCCCAGTTTTTATGAAATTTACTAACAATGCCCAGGTGCCTGAGCGTAACAGTCGGGGAAAAAAACAGGAAAAGAACCTGAGTTGGAAATTCTCAAAGAATACTATGTGAGGAAGTCTGCAGGGTAAGCACAATCATTATTGAACCATCTGAATAGTTGTGGGCTGAGTACGGAAGCAGGGATTCGAAGAGAGTTGCCAGCCTCTTCCCTCCCCTATCTTCCCATACTGGAAAACAAGGACAGAACAAGGAATGGAACAAGGAATGGAAGAGAAGACAGGTTGAGGAGAAACATGGATGGGGCAGGTAGAAGTTAGAAGGCTATTTCAAAGAGGAGACTAATAGAGTTTGAAATATTCAAAGTGGAGCAGATCTATTAGGTGTGGCATGTGTGTGCACAGCCAAAGTGAAATGAAGATGAAGGTCATTTTAGTTGAGGGATTTAAAGAACTACGAGATCTGGGTATTAGTAAAGCCATCAAAAGGAATGCTCTACTTACTGAGGATTCTGCATTGAATCACTGAGGGAAAAGTCAGCTGATCTTAAAGCAACCACGGTCCCAGAAGTGTTATTAGGGAGGTGAGGTGCAGCAGGGGTGGTGAGAAGTATGTAAAGTTGGAATGGTATGGCACTTACATATGCTCGATAACGTGTCAATTTCCACATCTAAGAATGGAGAAGATCATATTGATTATAGGGGAGTACCCTTAACCCATCCTTTGCTTGACGCCTCCACTGAGCAGAAGGTAGATTAGAGTGGTATGACTGATTTTTGTAAACTTCATAAATTTAAAGTCCTTGAGAAATAAAAATATAAATAATCTGATAGTAAATGAAGAGGGTTAAAAAATATATTTAATCCCTACTTGTCAACCCAGGAATACAGAGAATGGGGGGAAAAAAGCGATGTTCCTGGATCTCCCTGCGCTTCCCTAAGACCATCACTCCAGCCAAACACTAGCTGACATTTTCTCCCCAGGAACTCTTCACTTCTCACTCTATACACCCTGTGCGAGGTCCTCCTCACCTCACCAGTCCCAGACTAGAACGTCCAATTGCTTACTGGTCTTTTCTCCCTGATGTCCCATCAGTTCTTCAAAATCAAAGCTGTTTAGCAAATTCCTCCCCTCTTTTCCAATCTGACTGCAACAAACTCAAGGCCAACCATCTTTTCTTACCTGATTTTCCCAATGGTGTCCTAATTAGCCTCCTACTCCCCTAAAACATCCTCTACACTACCACCAGGGCAATCTCTCTAAAGGACGATCTGATCAGATCACTTCCTCACTTAAAACCCTCAAAGGCTCCCAGTGCCTACAGGATGAAGCACAAAACCACTTAAGCTCTGAGTCATGCTCTTCTGTTGAGAGATCGAGAGAGAAAGAGAGAGAATGCCCAACATGCCTCCCTGAAAATCATTGGGAGGATCAAATAAAAATGTATGGAGAAGCACTTTCAAAACTATAAAGCTTATCTAGTGGTTCTTAGTCTTTATGAGATCACAATCCCTTTGGAGAGTCTGATAAAAGCTCTGGAGTTTTCTCAAAAACACACATCCACCTACATGTAAAATTTGGCATCCAATTTCAGAGCATCCATGATTCCTCAAAGACAATCTTGACCAACAACCTTACTTAGGTATTTTATTATTTTCACGTTGGTATATAGAATGGGAGTCGGTATCATCTTGATAGCATTTCCAGCCTTACAAACAAGCAAGCAGCTCTACTGTGGGCAGTAACATTATTCATGAAGATGTCTAAAATATTCATCAGCAGAGTCACTGGGCACATAGTAAATATAGGCAGAAAATTAGTACAGTAGTTAGCGTATAGGCTCACAGTCATTTCATCAGAGTGCAGCTGTCCCTACACACAACTGTTAGAAAAGAACAGGTTATTTTGAAAACAATCAGCTGAATTGAGTCAAAAAACTGACCAGTGGGCCTTCATTCTAACTGAATGAAAACGAAGTGAGGTTCCTTCCTTTTCATACAGCTCATGGATGCAAAAACACAAGCTATGCCATAGCATAAATGTTCATTATGCATGAGCCTGTTTCTTGCAGCTGCATCTCTCATGACTTGGCTAAGGCTGTATTTGTCTATATGTCCTTCTACATGTTTGTGCATATTTACACTGTGTATTTTAGTGCTCAAGAAAGCAGAAGGCAAGGAACAATGTTTACTCTGCATGTTTGTACAGGACACATCACACAGAACTACAGTGATGTAGTATTTAAGGGCAGCAAATTCAAACTCTTCACCAGAGTGTGGACCTAAACTCCACATCATAAAGAATTGATCACATTTCCCTTTAGAAAGAAGAATATTATCAGCCAAGTTTCTGGTATCAACCAATGACTAAACCTTAAGTCAATCACAAGTGATGATACAGTAGTCCCCCCCTTATCTGTAGTTTTACTTTCTATGGTTTCAGTTACCCTGGGCCAATGGGGGTCTAAAAATTGATGAGTACAGTACTCATCAATTGATGAGTACCCCATCAGGTGATGGAGAGACCACATTCACATAACTTTTATTACAGCATATTGATATAATTGTTTTATTGTTGTTGTTAATCTCTTATTGTGCCTAATTTATAAGTTAAGCTTTATCATAGGTATGTATGTATAGGGAAAATAGTCTGTATAGGGTTCAATACTATCCTCAGAATCAGACATCCACTGGGGATCTTGGAATACATCCCCTGAGAATAAAGGGGGACAACTATATGCCACCAGAATATCACCACAAACATTTATCAGTGTTTTGAACAGTAAATACACATTCGAGTAGTCTATAACATCACATACAAAGGGGCTCAGTGTAATAGGAAATATACACACTGAACATAAAAACTAAATGTGTTCTTAACAGAAGACTGGCCCCAAACCAATGTCAGCCCTTTAGAAATATGCATTTAATTAACTGTTTTTTGCTTACCTTCTGAAAATTAATATTTTTGGCACATATATTTTAAGACATAGCCCTTGGAAATCTGAACTTATATCTTTCTCTTGATAAATTTCCAACAAGTAGTCATTAGAAATCACTCCAAGTCCTTAAAGATGAGCTTTTCAAAAATACTTGCATTTCCCTATTTTGTCACAAGATGGCAATCTCATGCACTGGTAAACCATAAAAATTCATAGGAAAATTTAATTTTACCACGTCAGGGGTGTGGTTCTCAAAGTTCATAATGTCAGGATCACTTTAAACTCTTAAAAATAAAACTGATAATATTTTTTAAAGAATCTTATGAATCCACTTAATAAACCCATCGCGTGTTAACACAAAGGACATGTTTTTGTGAAAATAACTACATTTTCCACAGCAAAAAAATTAGAAAAGAATTTTGCAAATCTAAAGTTTGGCTTAATAGAGAACAATTGGCTTTTCACATTTGCTTCTTCATTCAATCTGTTGTGATCCATTGTTTATGTTGAAGTATATGGGAAATAAAATAGCCTCATGTATATATATAGTTGTAAAAGGAAAAGTATTTTAATAGTCTTTTCAGATAATTATGGTTTTATTCTCCTTTGATACTATACCAAAACTCAACAAGTGGTGGCTTCTTCATGGTTAAATTGGATTGTGGAATCTGAAACCACATCAAAGAACTTCTCATACTCTGTCACATTAAAATTCATTAGTCAATCCTGCACTTTGAATGGATCTTTTAGCCACTCATGATGTTTTAAAATCATGCACTGGTCATTTGGAAAATATTAGTTCACTGAGTTATGCAGCACTCTTCCAAATGGTGACACATTTCATTATTCAGTATCAAAAAAGTCACATTCATTAGTATCACCACCAATATCATAAGAAAAGTCAATGGTTCATTAGGAAGCTGTCAAGTTCACAGAGGAAGATGCAAGTTTTAAAAAATTCACATTTCCACTTGAAATCTTTAATTTTATCACTGACAACAATGTCCATTGTTTCTCTTAAAATGACAGGCTCACTGCTTTCCAGAAAATGTCTGCCAAATACGCGTCTGAATAACTATAGTTTAACTCAATCTCCCCAGTCTTCTTCCTTGAGACAAGTATGTAGCAAAAATGCTTTATTTGTAATTCTCCTTCACACAAACTATTTTTAAAAACATGTAACTCAAGGTCAAGCTTTCATAAAATTAATAATTTTTACTGCTTCATCAGGGATATTCTTTTTTACTGTATGTGGAGGTGAAGAATACAATGACTTCTAGGACAGTTTAGTGCCACTAACTCGATTCAGGCTAAGGCTCCCACAACTTTCCCCACCATTGCTTTTGCACCATCAGAGCAAATGTCAACACACCCAAAAAAGGCAATTACGTCTTAGTATTATGAGAACAGTTTTCATCTCATCGATCCCTCAAAAGGAATTTGGGAGCCTCCAAGGATCCATGGACTGCACTTTGCGAAACATGCTTCAGAGGTTATAAAAGACTTTCAATTTATGTCAGCATTTAAAAATAAAACCGACTGCCACATTTGCAGAAAAAGAACAAGTGGGAACTCCTAATACAGTAAAACCTCTATTACTAAAACACTTGGTTAATGAGTACCCTTATTTAATTTTCTGATTAACTCTTCAATTATACCTACTCTTGGTTTCTACCCTTTCTGAAAAAAATTTAATTAATCAGAACCAAAATAAGTCAGGAAACACTAGATTTAAGTTCTTTCCTGATGTGTTTGTTCACAATTTAATCCTTTTAAAAGGATTACTAGATTTCACAGCCAGAATTAGAAGCACTGTCATTTCACAGTAGTAAGGTTAAAAATAAGTATGAGTGTTTTTCCAACTTTTTCTTAAAGAAGTGGAACATTAGTTAACATTTTACATGGCATCTCAAGATGAAAAAAAATTAAATTGAACTTATTCTGTCTGGTTGAAACATACTCTGTTGCTGTTATTATTAGTAACCGTTAAGTAAGTACTGACTATATATTTGAATTTGTAAGAACTTTACATAAATTACCCATTTCATTCAATCCTTACACATTTCAAAGATGCCATCTTCAAATTAACCTTATCACCATTTTACAGATGAGGAAATTGAGGTACAGAGAATTAATTAATTAATGTTTCCACTAATACAACTAGTAAGTAGCTAAACTGAGTTTAAAACCAAGTCTGTCTAAGCTTGGCTGAGTCCAAAGATGAAATTCTTAATTCCCGGCTCTTTCAGGGTTTTTCAGGGCCAGCAGCTCTGATATGCTTCTGCAACTAGGTCCTTGATGTTCTCCAGTTCCTTAGCTTCTGACTGAGATTTAGCTGGCATTATCAGTGCTTAATACATGTGCTAATTTGATAGGTTGTAGACATTAGGTGTTGCAGGTAACAGAATTTCTTTCTTTCCACATAATTGTCTGTCTTCCAAACTTACCAACTTGCTATCCTATTAGTTCTCAACAGCACCTCTCTTTTCCAGAGAAACCAACTTGCTCATGGTTTCTCTTAATGCACCACAGACATTCTTCCTCCACCATTCGACCTGCACCCCTCCTTTCTGTGTATTGAGATCCTGCCTTCTATATTTCTATTTCTGCCCCAAGACTTAGGGCAGGCATTCTGTTTCCTTACTCTAACCTCCCTTGGCTCTTTACTAATGTTTTTTCTTAATGCTGTTTAACGTTTGATATGCATTTGTTATGTCTTCCCAACTAAGTTATACATATATTTTTTTCTTTTTTGCCCTCTTTGTATTCCCCATGACTTCTATCACAATACTATAAATAAACTAGAGGGCCACAGATGTGGTTAAATTAATACACCATGGAGTAGTGATAATAATGCTGTTGTGATAATGGTTTATTAAAAATCCATTTCTCAGGAAACTTTTAATAGATAAAAATGTTATGAGAGGGTCATACTGATACGTCTAGTAATAAATCACCTTAGGGATGACCAGAGAAAAACAATTACCATTACTGAACTGAGGTTGAATTTTGACTCCGGCTTTTAAGAGATTGGTTGGAAATAACCTAAGCTCAAAGCTGGTAGCATACTGGTTGGCCCTAAGTGGGTATCTCGGGTTGTAAAATACTGGTCAGGAAGACTGGCTCTTCTCAGATGAAGCGAGTAGATGAATTGAGAGAAAGTTCACACTTCTACAAATGTTAGCAGGAGGAAAAGGAGAAAGAGGAGGAGGAGGAGAACATCATTACCACCATCATAACAGCTAACACATGTACGGTGTTACTATATGCTAGAAACGATTCTAAGTACTTCGCATATGTTAACTCATTTAATATTCACAAAAACCCTAAGAGGTAGAAACCATTGTTAAATATCTTTTATAGACAAGAAAATTAAGTCGCAAAAAATTCAAATAATTTGCCTAAGGTTACTTACACAGCTAGTAAGTAATAGAGCCAGGATGCAATAAACTCATTTAAACTGTTTAAATATTTGCCTAATACTAAATTACCTAGTGTTCATGTCTCAAATTTTAGAGAAACTACCATTTGGAGAAAGACTTAAAGAACTAATATCTAAGGTACACACCAGTGTACTCTATTTTACCTTGAATTTACTGTCTTTTAAAAATAGATTATAAATCCTTGAACCCAACATGTTTTCAAGTATCATAATCACTTCAGCCTTTGGAAGGCCCCCACTGACCAACGGCAGATGCTCACACGTAGGAAGCACACTGTGTCTCCGCCTGCATAACTGGTTATAGCATCCCTACTGTGGTGTGTGCTATGGCTCAACTCTCCTTCAGTATTGGGCAATTACATCTCACACTGCTTTGTCTCCAAATATTCAAATTTCTTAATCCTTCCTGGCATAAAAGTGATAAGAAGAGGGGAGGAGACTGCAAGTGCTATATGCTTTGTAAGATCCTGTACTTTCTATTTTAAAGAGGTCTGTTCCACCTTCTTTTATTTTTTTTATTTTTTTTTTTTTAATTTTTTTTTTTTTTTATTATACTCTAAGTTTTAGGGTACATGTGCACATTGTGCAGGTTAGTTACATATGTATACATGTGCCATGCCGGTGCGCTGCACCCACTAACGTGTCATCTAGCATTAGGTATATCTCCCAATGCTATCCCTCCCCCCTCCCCCGACCCCACCACAGTCCCCAGAGTGTGATATTCCCCTTCCTGTGTCCAAGTGATCTCATTGTTCAATTCCCACCTATGAGTGAGAATATGCGGTGTTTGGTTTTTTGTTCTTGCGATAGTTTACTGAGAATGATGGTTTCCAATTTCATCCATGTCCCAAGTCAGTGTGGCGATTCCTCAGGGATCTAGAACTAGAAATACCATTTGACCCAGCCATCCCATTACTGGGTATATACCCAAAGGACTATAAATCATGCTGCTATAAAGACACATGCACACGTATGTTTATTGCAGCACTATTCACAATAGCAAAGACTTGAAACCAACCCAAATGTCCAACAATGATAGACTGGATTAAGAAAATGTGGCACATATACACCATGGAATACTATGCAGCCATAAAAAATGATGAGTTCATGTCCACCTTCTTTTAAATAACCATCTAAACATGGTGTAATTAAAAAAATCAAACAAATGTAATCATAACTTCATGGAGCTTTTCTCATACCTGCTTCATAGAGGCCACCCCTACCTTCTGCCTCTTCACTAATTTTACTTATGCAGAGTTTAGTTTTCATTTTTAACATGTATCCAATTATTTCATCATGTATAGTCATACAAGCAGCTATCTAATATCAAAGTATAGAAAATGAAAAAAAGAATATTAGATCCAAAGTTTAATTACAAATTGGGCAACTTTCAGCAAGTCTCTTCACCACCAATTAAGAGAGTGTATTTCCTTTTAATTTATAGCACAGAATAAGTAAATCCAAGCTTTGACCAGAGAGCTCGGACACAAACCCTCTTCAATTCACTACCTCTCATGCCCAACTGAGATTCATAGTATTTTAGTATAAAAGAGGTAGAAAAAAAAAAGTATTCATCCCTCCACGTATTCTAAGTTATTCTTTTGTTTCCAATAAGATCACTAAAGTACCTCAGATCAGATTTCAAATCAGCCTACTCATCAGGTCCACTCTACCATGCCAGACCAGGCATCCAAGTTATAAAGATGAGATTCCAAATTACCCAGCTGCCATAAAGCTCGCGTTCCCGTGTGAATCCTGAACTCTGGCTGACGACATCTGGAGTCCACTGCAATCATGTGTTCCCTCAATGACTGAAAAACCTGAGCATAATGACTACCTAAGATTCATATCTGTACATACCCAAAATGTTTATTAAATAGAAATAAAGATAAAATAATGTGTAGGTTTATGGCTGTATTTTTGCTTTTATGGCATTTGGGTCACTTCTATGATTATCTCTGTTCCATCTTTGATCACAAATGCAAGCTCTATTGTTCCTTTAAGGAAATACAAAATCTTTCATGACAATCTCTTTTAGGATGTGTCTTTCTAGGAACACTCTGAAAAATAACTAGAATTGGCAATGCTAAGAGTTTTTAATGATGAAGCTTACTCAGTTGCTGAAATGTATTAAGTGTTTTGGGGTGGGGTTGTGGAAAGAAAAAAAAAAAAAAAAGCCAGGTCATAATATACGCCATATAAGGGGGATTTATTTAAAATCAAATTTCCCCTGGTCTCAGAGTGGAGTCACACAACATAATAAATATTATATATATATATATATATATATATATATATATTTTTTTTTTTTTTTTTTTTGAGACAGAGTCTCACTCTGTCGCCCAGGCTGCAGTGTAGTGGCGCAACTTTGGCTCACTGCAACCTCTGCCTCCCGGGTTCAAGACATTCTGGTGCCTCAACCTCCCCAGTAACTGGGATTACAAGCATGTGCCATCACCCCCAGCTAATTTTTGTATTTTTAGTAGAGACGGGGGTTTCTCAATGTTGGCCAGGCTGGTCTCAAACTCCTGACCTCAGGTGATCCCAGCCTCCCAAAGTGCTGGGATTACAGGCATGAGCCCACTGTGACCAGCCAGAACATAAAAAACTGTCAATACATGCAAATGGAAGAAAATGTTGTTATAAAGTCTCTAAAATGTAATATATTTCAAAAAGAATGAGTTCCCAGGCCTACTTAAGAACTGATGACATCGTCGCATTCTAAAAAATTAAATTCATACTAGCTCAAATAGAAAATGTTCTAAGTTACCAACTCTCAGACTGATGGTAAAATCTGCATATTCTGAACTACTTTTTAAGACTTGCATCCTCCTAGGTCATTATCAGTTTATTCACTTAACAAATATTTCTTGAGTATATTTCTGTTGCCGGCACTAAGTATTATTTCAGTGACTAGGATAAGCTTATATTCTGATCAATTTAGGTGGCCTCCTCATGAGCTACAATGAAGCAAAAATAAATAAAACTCAGTAAACAATTAGTAATGACAACTACCTTTAATTAATAAGATTTGAAAGCTTTAAATAGGATATTTATTCTACCTGCAGAAATGTTAAAGTTAAGTAGAATATAAAATAAACCACAAGATAACCTCTATATAAACACTGTTCTCCATCAAGGAATGTGAGAACTAGAAAATTCTTTGTTTTGCAATTTTCAGTTTCAGTAAGATAACAAAGTTTACAAAGAAGCACTGTGTTTTTGCTCAGGAGATAAAACATTAATCTAACTGTTGACCTAGAAATAACATACAAAATTATAAATTTGTCACATGAAAGCTTTAGGGAAACAAGCAAACTAAGCAGCTCACAGCATTGGTTCGTGGTGGATTTGGGAAGACCATGTATTTACCGGTGTGTGACAGAGAATAATATAAAGATCCTTTTTTCATCTGTTTTTGAACAGAAAATAAATAGCAGAACTTCCCCTTAACCTTCTGGAGTTCAAGTCTAACACATGCTGAAATAACTGTCAACTCTTATATATGTAACTTAAGTCCCATAGCAATGCAAAATTACCAATACAAACTTAGTGAATTGGGTTGGTTGCACATTATTATACAAACTGGATCAGAATACAATTTACTTCTTGCTTATCAACATAAATGCTTTAACATCTAATCCAACGTCTTAGGCTAAAATTCTATAAATTCATAAAAAATGCATACCCAATATATAAGATCTCCAGTTATATCCATCTACAAACAAAAATAAATTATGCCAGCCATTTGTCCTGTCACTGAAAAATAAGTAACAACTGGAAAGGCTTTAACTTACCTTAAAAATTGCGACTACATTAAAACACATATACTTGTAAAGCCTTGCCATCAGATCATACCAACAGATTAACTTTTCTTCAGATAAATCAGATTAAAGTAATCATGGAGAACCTAGAAACTGAATTCCAATTTGACCAACTCAAGAGTTGTATGTGTACTCTGGCCTGAATCTGTCTTAAGTAATACACGATGTAGTATCATGTTTCTGAGAGAAACTAGGAAATCCAAACATTGCCTGTGTCCTGAAGGAGATGGAAGGAAGATAAAGAGATTCTACATGGAGGAACAGAGTGAGTGGAGAGAAGATAAGCTCCTTACCGGTCTCTAAGTCTCCAAAGTCAAGGGCTAGTATATGCACTTAAACCCTAAGGCCCCAGTGACAGAAATGGCCATATGACAAACCTTGCTATGCCAAGGATATGCTTCACTATCTTCATCTATCAAAACACTATGCATCATAGATATCTAATTTTTTCATCTCTTGCATGAAGTCTTTCCTGATTTCCCTCTGCTGAAATTTCTCTCTTCAAATGATGTGTTTCCATAGTACTTTGTCCCTTTTCAAAGATATATCTCACATTGCATATTTTACCACAGTTAGTTTCATTTCTTAACTCTCACACTAGATTACAAAGTCAATATAGACAAAGAAATGTTCAACCTTATATAACCTCCTCTGCCTATGCTGGTAAATTGCACCTACTATGTGTTCAATAAGAGCTTGTCTTTTTCAATATACAAAACTTTGTAAAGATTAAAGACCTTGTAGAAAGTCAAGAGGAAGATAGCAATTTCACTTCTAAGAACTTACCCTAAGGAAACATTCATGAAGAGATACAAGGGGTTATGTGCATGGATGTTCATTATCATATTATTCTTCATTATGAAGATTATGATGGTAATAATGAAAATGATTATCTTGTATTGTGTCCTTATTTGAAGTCAAGCATTGAGAATGTACTTTATCTGCATTATCTCACTGAGTTCTCGTAGCAGCCCTATAAGGTACAGACTGTTATCTAAGCTTAGAAAAATTAAGTTAATTGTCCAAGGTCAAACAACTAGTAAAAGATGGAGTTAGAATTTGAATCCAAAAGGTCAACTCTCAAGGCTATGATCTTACATATATAGAGCTTGCCATGTGCCAAAGACTGTTCTAAGTACTTTACATATCCACCCTCATTTAACCTTCACAGTAACCCAATGGGGTAAGCACCATTATCATCCTCATTTTACAAATAAGAGAACTGGAACACAAAGGTAAGAAGTTTATCAAAGATCTCATAGGTAAGAAATGGAAGAGCTCAGATTTAAACCTAGACAGTCTGGTTAACTTATACAGTCTCTTCCCATTTATAAGAGCAAATGACTAGCACTGACCTAAATATTCAGAGACTGGTTTAAATACATTTATGAATATATAAATGAATCAGCACAATAAAAAGGGAAAAAGCTGGGGACTATCAATATCTGCATTTCTCAAAATTATTCTATCAGATTATACACATCATTTATCCTTTATTTCTATAAATAATGTTCAAATCTGTATCATACAGATTGTAAAAAAAAAAAAAAAAATAGCATCGAATACAGAAAAAGCACTTAGAATGAAAATCACAAGACCTGAGTCTCAGGCCCAACCATGCTACCTATTATCTCTGTGATATTGGGCAAAACTTTAACGCTTCTGAGTTATTTTTCTTCTCTAATAGGAGTTACGATTGAGTTTCTTCTTAGTGTCAATATTCTATATAATCTCAAAATAGCAGACAAGAGACCTGTTGCTCAAGTCAGTACTAAAATTTGGTAATTAATAAACAAGGTAATATTTAAGAGTTTAAATAGAGTATCGTGGAGCTTTGTTAAAATTTAAAAGTTGTAGACAGAGAACCCCAAACACTCACCTACTTCCAAATGCTTACTATGCTCAATTCACTTCTGGTCTCCTTACAATGTGACTCAAGATGTAAAAATGTTCACAATCAGTTCAGCATTGATATGGACACAGAATTCAAGTTGACCTCTACTAATTTACCCCCGCCCTCTCTGGTTTCCCACCCTCAATCCAAATTGCAAGAGTAAAATCACCTATCCATTCTATACAAATCACCTCCAATCCAATCTCTGGTACTAATCGCAGTCCCAAACTTCAATGTCATATCTTTGTTTGCTGGATATTTCTCCTTTAACTATCATTTCTCTAAGTCCGGTCCGCCAGGCTTAAATATCAGTAGTCTTTTACACCCTCCATAATTTACTGATTCTTAGTACTTCTCCCATTACATTGTGGATTATATCTACCAGAAGCAACATCTGCACAGAAAAGGTGTCCCCCTTCTCCATTGTTTCAACCATGGCAGACACCACTAACTGTTCATAGAACTCCTCCCCTACCTCACCCTCCACTGAGGCCAGACAAAACTTTACAAAATCCTTCCTATAGTAGTGTACTCCAGGGAGCCACTGCCATTGACTGGAGTCAGGGTGTGAGATGAGGCCCATCCCTCATCCTGATCTATATATTTTTGCCACGACTACTCCTGACACTCTAATACAAACCATTTCTCATACCCTGACTAGATTACTACAACAACCCTCTCTAATACAAGTCTTTGATACTCAGACTCTTTGATACAAGTCTCCATTCAGTCCATCCTTCACATGGTCTCTCTCCTGCTCAGTCATCCTCAATGTTTCCCCATTACGTGTCTACAGATAAAATAAAAATATATTCCCCTTTGTCAGGTTTCAAGGTACTCTACAATTTGGCTTGAATCTTCCTTTCCAAGCCCATCTCTCACAATTCTCCAGCATCCCAGGTTTTCATGCATTCTTCAGTGTTAAAACTCTCTCATCAAACAAAGTATTCGGCAGAATCCCAATAAACTAAACTGACAAAAAGCACCATCTGGGCTGCAACAGGCCTAGGCTGTCTAGGGACAGCAAACAATTTGGTCCCCTTTGTCCCACAGCAGGGGCTGAGGCTCTTCTGCACGACCACAAAAGACTGCCACCACGCTGACCAAAGAACATGAGGAGAAGCTAAATTAGACTCTTAACCAGCACTGGTTTATAAGCACTTCTGAGACTACAAAATAAACCAAGGGCAGAACTAATCAAAAGAGCCCAAACATTTAAAACCAGAGTACAGCAATACACACAGATGTACCCCTCCTCATACATAAATTTAACATGATTTTCCTCTGCTCTGAAAATGTCAGTGCTCAGCAAGGGACAGGACAAGGTTAAGAGAATCTGACAGAAAGAATTGGATGGGGTTGAAAGCTGAAGTCCTGTAAGTTTATCTACACAAGCAGCACAAGTTCTCCTGGCATATTCCCAACTCAGCCCATTGCCCTCCAGCTGCATAATAGCAATAATTTTTTTAAACACCCTCATTCTGTCCTACCACATCTCATAATGTGTAAAACTCAGCTGGATAGTGTGTAGGATTTTGTCAAGCTGTCTTTAATCTTTAGCTTTACCCACTCCCAACAACTGAGCTGGCAAGTACTTAAGTTGCTGATGTTTACATCCTGTTTGTTTTATTATTTGTTTTCTGAGAAGCACTTTGGGTTGATAGAGGCCAGTGGCTAGGGGGACATTTGTCACAGCCTCACTGTGCTGCTCCATACCCTTCCAAGGACCCTCTTGCTCTACCTCCCAGATGCTCAAGCATTTCTTCACTCAAAATTATGTTTGTGTTTCAACTTGATTTTTTTTAACTCTAAATTTAAAAGGAAAATGTACATGCATCTAAGCAATTATCTGAAAAGATAATAAAGTGAAGTCTTCATTAGGTTTCCAGGATGTCTTTTCTTTGTATCCTCATTATGCCTACCAATTCAGTACATTATCTGTTGATCATCTCTACTGAAACCAGACAGCCTCTGATGGGCTCTTCTGCTCACGTGAATCATATTACCTTAAGAAGTTCCTTTTTCCAGAGACTTCGGTTTGCAAGCTGGACAGAGAGCAAAGTGGGGTGCAGCCACCTCTCAAATATCCACATGTGGTTCAGCATTATCCCTGACAGCCTTTTAATCCCAAATTGACTTACCTTGCCACCCACTGCATGGCTTGGCTTGTATTCAAAAGATACGTGCTTAAGGACTGCAAGTGAATGTCAAAGTCAGAATAAGCAAAACAGAATTGGATTAACCTACTGGGGTAAAATTTCATAAAACATTACAAAATCAACTCTAAATAACTTCAGGAAGCCATTGTGGGTTTTTGGTTTTTGTTTGTTGTTTCTATAGAGATGGGGTCTTGCTATGTTCCCCGGGCTGATCTTGAATTCCTGGCCTTAAGCTATCCTCCCCACCTCAGCCTCTCAAAGTGCTGGGAATACAGGCTTGAGCCACCACACACACCTGGCCTGCTTATTGTTTTGTTTTTTCTTATTTTTTTCCATTGTTGAAAGACATTTCATGAAACTTCTTTTTTGTTGGGGTGAGTAACAGACAGCTAACCAGCACTTTCTGAATATCAACTTTTCCCAGGTTTCTTTAAAATGAATGAAAGCTGTCAGAGAGAGGCCCGGATCAAGCCAAAGGGTCACCGGCTAACCTCTGGAGTCCCCCAGAATCCATCACACCTTATATGGGCTTGCCCCACAATTCAGTTCCTAAGTTTTTGTTTTGTTGGTGTTCAATTGTTCCAGTTTAGAAGAGTGACCATTACTAGCAACAACTGTTAGCAAACTGCCTGAATGACTTTCTTTGACCCAGATCAGACTATGTATAGCCGTATTTAACAAAGAATAATAATACCAAACATTGTCAGAAGGAAAAAACAAAAAAAAACCCTATTGATTCATCCTAAAGGTGAAAGAGACAGAACGAAATTTAGAGTACCTAAACTAAATAAGCATATAAACATATACTCTCAATGCAACACCAGTAAACTAAGATGCGGGTACAAGTGAATAAAACAATCTTCATTGCCAACACAACGCTCCAGGATAGACTGCTATAAAGAATCTAAACTTCTTTTGCATCCTCAGGTCAAAGGTCATGGATGAACCACAGTGACAAGCAGGCTTCCTGCGCCAAAGACAATCCGTTTACTCATCATGTTGTGGGGTACTAGCCCCCCCAACTGCTTCTTGGCATACGTCTGACTCCCCTCCTTCCCCATTATACTCACCCATTCAATAACTTAATGAGACTGACATAAAGCTGAGAGCAGGTGTGTGCAATATGTTGTTTTCATCTCCCCACTTGGAGTTATTAGCACCTCCCATCACTCAATTTGGCAGGTCCATTTTAATATTAGCATCACATACAAGCTGCATCCTTGAGAAAGGAGGCCATTTCAGACTTTTCTGGTGAACTATTACTTAGATAATAGAACATTTATTTTATGTCATTATAAAATTAAACTTTACCTCTGGGTCTTTAAAGGCTAATAGTTCAAATTCCCTTTTTGACATGCAAGAAGATAAGATTTTCCTGACATGAAAATATAAAAGGGCATTTTTAACCACTGTAACAATTCTGCTAGGCTGCTTAGTGCAATGGAATATTTTTTCAACTATATAAAAACATGTACATTAACATACTTTTGAAAACTACACCATGTCACTCATGTAAGGAAAAGTTTAATGCCCTCACTATACTGCCATGCTACAATAGTTTTACATCTCAGTTATGTACATCCAAAGTAGGATTCAGAATCATTCACAATGTCAATCATATATATGGCACTGCTTTAGCCAATAGTATCCTCCATTACACAATTACAATCTGTTTGAAGAGAAAGAAAAACATTTGACAAAGTGGTGCACGAAAAATAAGGCGAACATATGATATAATGCTCTACTTCCTTTTACACAATTTCATATATTTTGAGGGAGTGCAGGAATGTATTCAAAAGAACAGATTATTCATTTTTGGAAGTTAATTACCTATTATTAAGTTCTAAGTACCATGGGAAATCAGTGTGAGCGTTTGAGTAGTGCTTGCCTATTGAAAAGAGAAACCACACCAAGATTTCTTTGTTAAAGGTAAGGTAGGTTCTTACTAAAGCCACACACATGGGTTACTTCTACATAAACCTTAACTACCAGAATAGAGTTGACATGATTGAAAAGATTACTATAAGAAGTTTTCTAAGTTTGCTAATAAAGATGGTAAATTACTAGGCTGAAATCTGTCATTTGTTAATCAAATTTAATAGTAATTTCTTCCTGCAGACACATGCAGAAGACAAATTATCAATTTCTGTAAATCATAATTAGTTCAGAGGCAGATTCCAATTCTCCTAAAGATTAGCTCCGTGTAGTTTAAATTAAAGGCACTCAGTTACCACACAAATTGTAGAAAACCTTACCCTTCACTGAGGTACTTGAAATCTTGGGTTATGACCACTTGAAGGCTTGCGGTAATAATTCAAAATGCTTTTACTTTGTTATATTCACCGGTGCCAATTTTCACTAAGTGCACAGGCAAGAGACTGTGTAGAGGAGTATCAAACGCAGCTCTTGTCTGCTATGTTTTCCCCCATGTAGATGGCTTTGCTGCCACTGAGACGCAAGGCCCTTTCCAATCTTTAATTTTCTTTAAGAGTGGATAAGTGCCGTGAGCAAAACTGCTCACCACTGCTCTTGAGGTGCTTATTTAAAAAGAAATAAAACATGATTAATTTCAAGTGCTTTACAATTAAAAATATATGACAGGAGGGTCATCTGGGCAATTTAACTACATCGGGAAGGGTCATGGGCCTCTGAAGTTTGAGAAACCGTGAGCTAGACTCAGTGCATGTATTTATTGTCACTGGTAGCATATTAGATTATTAAAAGGGACATGCTAATGTGACATTTTACTATTACAAAGGAAACTCAGTACTAAAATTAGAGCATAAATCAGGCAGATATACTTCCAGACATGCAATCAACTCTGTCTTCCACTTATCTTCCTTTACGCATCAAGGGGTTATATTCGATTTCATTTTGTATTTATTTGTTAACTATATGTGTCGCTCCTTTCTAAGTTCAATGTGAGTAACAAAAATTCAGCCGCATCCCAGTAAAACAGATTTAACTTTAATGCACATAAAGCAAGGTGGTTAGGATGTCAGAAAAATATACTTTAAAAATCAAGACTAAAATATAAACCTATTAGTTTTGAATATTTATCCAGATTACATTTCATATGCAAGATTCTCTTCAATAAAGCTTTCTTCTTTATTACAGGAAAGTATTTCTATGCATAAAATAGTAAGATTTGTCTTTGAAAAGAGCATGACAACCCAACCAATTCTGTTCCTAAAACAATGGCTAGTTTGGGGGCGTAAACAGTAGACAACATAAAGTAAATCACTGTCAGGAAATAATAATTAGCATCGTAAAAATAACCTCCACTGCCTCAGCTGACTAATGCACAATGCCTGTTCAAGCCCGTATTTCAAATCTGAAAGTCACCAAATGAAATTAGCACTTTCATTCCGAAGCCAGATTCTGTTGGTATTTTTGCCTGGAAGGAAAGGGAAACCATTTCGTACACTCTCACTAATCCAAAATAGCAAAAACTTGTCATCTTTGTTGCTTAAAGGGAAAGCTGTTCAAGGGCTTGACAGACAAGAAGATCCCAGTTCAATTCAGCATCATTCTCCTTCCTGTCCTCCCTATTTCACTGTTCTAGGTCCCTCCATTAGAGGGATTAATGACTCATATTTTGTTCAGAGTATACATGTCTATGGAACTGTCGGGGAGGTAGTTCACAATAAAAAGGCCAAAGTCATGGCTTTACACCACATGGGCCAATTAGTCTTCATTTGTTTCATAGCCTTACCATCTTTTTCTTTGTTTGTTTTGTTTTTTGTTTTTTTGAGATGGAGTTTCGCTCTTGTGGCCCAGGCTGGAGTGCAGTGGCATGATCTTGGCTCACTGCAACCTCCGCCTCTTGGGTTTAAGCGATTCTCCTGCTTCAGCCTCCCGAGTAGCTGGGATTAGAGGCATGTGCCACCATGACTGGCTAACTTTGTATTTTTAGTAGAGATGGGGTTTCTCCACGTTGGTCAGGCTGGTCTCGAACTCCCAACTTCAGGTGATGCACCCGCCTCAGCCTCCCAAAGTTCTGGGATTACAGGCGTGAGCCACCGCGCCTGACCAGCCTTACCATCTTTAACATTAAAGATGTATAGCCTAGCCATGCCATGGCAAATGCATGCTATTGGTCAAAAGGGTGATTCAGGAAGTATGTGAAAATGGTTCAGTGGATATTAAAGGGAAGGAGGGAAGAAGGCAGGGAAGGGGAGAGGTGGAAAGCCAGGGAGAGAGGAGGTGCCCTGTAGAAATCCTAAAAGTGCTTTGCCTCACTATCTGAGAGCCTATGACCATTCTTTTTTTCTTTTTTTTTTTTTTAATAAAAACCACAACATATTTAGGTCATATATATTTAAACATCAAATAGGAATACACAATAATTAAGAAAATGGCTAGCTGGCTAATTTATTCTGAGTTTGTCCCATACTAACTAAAAAAAAAAATTAAATCTATATAAAACGAAACAATGCTTATGAATTAAACACTGTATTTCATGCCTTAAAAGAACTTAGCGCATTAGCAATTAGCATTTTCTTTGTTTTGAATTCATTGAATTTATATCATCCTTCAACACTGTTTAGCTAAAGCAAACAAAAACAAGAAAATCACATTATTCTTTCTAAGCCATATAAAAGTGATCTGGAAAGTCACGTTTAAAATCGCTATCATGGATTAGCTTAAGGCAATTATTTCACTTGCCGCATTCTTTTACGAGAAGTTAAAAAAAAAAAAAAAAAGTCAAGCTTCTTGCCTAACAAGAAAAATGAAATCCCATTAGTTGTGTTTCCAGTGTATATTAACATTCCTTTTGTTTAGAAAGGTTAATATCCCCCAAATAAAGGAGCATACAGTGCCTGTTAAAATAATTACATCATGACATTTTAGAAAGGTTGGCAGATAGACATGGTTGCAAAAGCAAGGAAACAAACAAAAAAAAGTAAAAGCGAGTAGTTTTTAAATTATCTGTGACTTCAAAAAATGAAAAAGACTGGAAATTCCACCATGTTTGCAATTTCCTGCCACCTTGTCTGGTCTCTGGTATTTGGCTTTTCTCCTTCTTCTTCAATATCTTTCTGTCATAGAAACTTAGGAAGACGTACCTTCATGCTCTAAATCAGATGATCTACTATCTGAAAAGGAAACGACAAATCTGACAACAAAAGAATTTCACAACAGATAGGCAGTTGATAGCATGAGGCACTAACATTAAACCCAAGTCTTTCAATGGCCACTTGGAGTCCCAGGGTACAGAATTTGGTGTCACGATAAAAGAATAATTTTTGTATTCTAGCAAGCTGATCTAAGAGCCCAACATCAGTAAGACTGAAATCAGCGAGCAATGAAGTCTTCAGATTCTCCCCTATAAGACCTAGAGAAAACACTTCAAATTGTATGCAAACAAAATACAGAACTCTGGCCCTAATGCTTGAGGCAGAGAGAAGCAATTCTCCAGATATGTAAAATAAATTATTAATCTTTTAAACCTCTGGACACACAGAAAACATTCTCTTAATCAAAAATAGGCACAGTAGTAATATAAAACCTAACCAGCATGCTCTTTCTCATTCTCTAGGGCATAGGAGCCCCTCTGCAGCTCTGGAATTGGACGGCCTCTTCCTGCACTGCTCCCAAGAAAGTAGTGAATGAAGTAGGCAAGACAAAGATGAGGAGGAAGAAAGACAATGGTTTTCCTCACCACCACTTAAACCATAGGAAGCTTCCTCAGTTAATGACAGCTCAACCTCTGGACAGCAGGTCAGAGAAGCTAATTGAACAAGTACTTTAGGAGTTTATTAATATTCCCAAAAGTCATAGACTGCTTTACATCCGCAATTCCCAATAATGCCAATAACAAATTGTGCAGATGTAGTGATGAAAACACCACTGCCTTAAGAGTCTAAAAAAAGAATCCAATAAAATCAAATTAAAAGCCCCCAAGTTACCATAACAAAATCTCTGAAACTGTATAAATCTACTAAAGGGAATTCAGTGCAACATCTCACCTGACAGTTTCATAACAAAATTGTGACGGAAAGTCTGTCCCAGTTCTATACAAAAGTGGAGTACTGATCCCTTTGGCAGAGGGCTTGTCAGCACGGAATGATGATTCTAAGTCCCCATCTGATGCAGATATAGTGCCCTGCATTTAAGAAGCAATCCTCACGCACTTGTGCAAGAATGAATGAATGAACCAATGCATGGCTTACATGGAATAGTCTTCTAAAACAATCTCTAACACATCTAAACTGATATTTTTATATAACTGTCACAGGCTATGCAGAGTGCTGGATAAAATAGAGGAAATATTTTCTTTTCCCAGAAGCCAGCTAAGAGCTCATCTCCAGGAAAAATATTACAGGATGAGCAAAGTAAATTCCTTTCTCTTCCATATTCAAAGAATATGTGTTTCTTAGTAAAACAACAGAGAAGACTTAGGAAGAAGAAGAGGAGGAGCAGGAGAAGGTAGAAAAAACACAGCATTGTACAGTGATGGGCACTGTTTTTAGTATTTTTGTGTATTTTACACTAATTGGCTTAATCCTCACCACTGCCATATGAAATAGATATTATTATTATTATCCCCATCTTGCAGTCGAGGTAAGACAGAGGTAAGTTTCACTCAGCTAGTGCCTGTCACAGCCAGATTTCCAGGCCAGGCAGTACAGCTCCATAGTATTCCACGGTGTATATGTACCACATTTTCTTCATCCAATCTGCCACTGATGGGCATTTAGGCTGATTCCATGTCTTTGCTATTGTGAATAGTGCTGCAGTGAACATATGCGTGCATGCGAACTTGATTTCTCTTGAGATAACTTTTGAATTATTTCCTTATCTTTGTGTTCTGGACTGAAAATGCTAAAGGCTTTTTGAGTTTGATAATTTCTATTTATGTAATTCTAGCAAATTAAGCTTCTACAAGATGTAGAGAAGTGTTTTTGTTCAAGAAAAACGGAAATGGGTACAGACAGGATTTCTTTTAACTGGCATGAGTGGACACATTAGAGATGTTTAGGGAAATCTTCTCTGTAATGTACTGGTGATGAATGACCCATGTTACTGTGTTTATAACAGCACTGTCCAACAGAACTTCCTGTGTTGGGAATACTTTACATCTGCATTGTCCAATACAGACATCACTAGCCACATGCAGCGATTGAGAATTGCAATGTAGCAAGTGCAACTGTGGAAGTGAAGTTTTAATTTTACTTAATTAAATCTAAATAGCGGCATGTTGCTATTTAAACTTAAGTTTAATTAATTCCATAACATTTTGTTAAAGCTTTCTTTTGGTTCAGTTAATGGAATGCAAGACTGTTATATATGCCACTCTTTGAAATCAACTCTTAGCAAGCTCCTTCTCTCATGTCAACTTCAATCTTTAGTGCAGTTGGCCAGAAACTAGTAAGATTCCCAGACTGAGATAGAATACGCAGAGAAGTTGAAGGGTGACTTGAGTTCATGCCTCAATCCATAATCCAATCCAGCTTTTATCAGAGCTCTGACCTGGAGGTTCAGGGAGTGGTATTCAGATTCTCATTCTGCTCCTCCTTGCATTGGGAAAGGAGGGTGGTAAGTGGGTAGACGTGATTGGTAGGATGGGATTTGAGCCTTCCTGAGTCCCTGGATATCGTCTCATCCCAATTCCTAACAATCAGGAACTAGGAGTATTCAATTTGTAAGGATTGTTAGGTATGTGAAAGGCATGGCACAAGATAAGGCTAAAAAACTAGGCTACGGCCAGACTGTGAACCGAAGCAGTGATGGGCTGTTTTTGTTTGTTTAAAATCATGCACAGGAAAGAAAAAATCTAGTGTCCAGCACACAGTACAAAATTAATAAACATTTAATCTGGCAGCAATATCTCTGCTGATCTGGAAGCAGAAGAGACTAAACAATAGGGAAAACAGTTAACAAGAATCTAATGCAGTGAAAGAATTTCAAAAAATTACTGAAGAAGGTGAACTGATTAAAAGATATGGGGAAACTATCATTTACTAAGGACCTACTATGTGACAATCATGCTAGTCATTATT